>NC_000007.14:66749203-67052233 GCF_000001405.40 Homo sapiens
CCTGTATTTTGCTCCAGCTGAACAGTTGCACTTTCAAGTAATAATAGTTCAAATTTATCAAATGCTAGCAGGAGCCATGCATTGTGTTAATGGAGAGAGACCATCCTTATTCACTCTTACTCAGTAAACAGTGGGTGAAACTGCCCTTGCCTAAATATAGTTATGTAATGCTGTGTTTCCTTAATTGTATATCCATAAAGCTTTTGACATTGTTTTCTAAATGTGTTCCTCAAAAAGGAGTTGGGCTAGTGACCAAAGTTTTGAATAGAATATTGTAAGAAAGCAAATACAAAGTGTAAAAACAAAAAACAGAACTTTGCGAGGTGTTGTTCACCTGTAGTCCCAACTACTTGGGAGGCTGAGGCAGGAGGATTGCCGGAGGTCAGGTATTAGAGGCTGCAGTGCACTATGATTGTGTCTGTAAATAGCCACTACACTCTAGCCTGGGCAACAAAGCAAGACTCCATCTCTAAAAACAAACAAACAGGCCAGGCACGGTG
The DNA here is from genome assembly GCF_000001405.40 of Homo sapiens. Lineage (NCBI taxonomy): Eukaryota > Metazoa > Chordata > Mammalia > Primates > Hominidae > Homo > Homo sapiens. The sequence goes on from NC_000007.14 coordinate 66,749,704, forward strand.
GCTCACACCTGTAATCTCAGCACTTTGGGAGGCCAAGGCGGGCGGATCACGAGGTCAGGAGATAGAGACCATCCTGGCTAACACAGTTAAACCCCGTCTCTACTAAAAATATTTTAAAAAATTAGCTGGGTGTGATGGTGGGCGCCTGTAGTCCCAGCTACTCGGGAGGCTGAAGCAGGAGAATCGCTGGAACCTGGGAGGCGGAGCTTGCAGTGAGCCGAGATCGCACCACTGCACTCCAGCGTGGGCGACAGAGCGAGACTCCATCTCAAAAACAAACAAACAAAACTACAGAATAATGAAATAGAATGTCCAAAATTTATCATAACTGGTGTCTCACGAGATAATACGTTTGGGTCCTGTTTAGCAAGTTGGATTATATTTTTATTTGTGTAAATTTATTGGCCGTTGCAGTTGGGGTTGTATTGAGAATGTAGATTTTGTCTGATGAGAGTGTAGATTTTATTTGTAGTGAGTGCATGTGGATTTTTATTTGTCTAGGGTTTTAAAAGTTGTATAGTCATGAATGGACACTTTTTAATACCATCTATGAGAAATTCAATGGCAAAGTGTTTTCATACCCATATGCTAACTGCTGATGCTTTTTATAAAACATTGTTAAGGTGTTACTTGCCCCAGGAAATACAATGTTTTATGACAGAGACAGTACTGAAATTCAGTATTTAAGTTCTTTAAATACCAGCTATGTTGAGTAGATATTACTTTCTCCCAAGAGCCTATTTTTGGTTTATGACATATTAGGGAACAAATTGCAGACACAGTTTTTTCATTACCTGTAAGAGCACTTATAGGATGTAAGCTATTTCCTTAAAGAGGAATTTTTGCCTTTTTAATACTTCTGTCTAGTAACTCAATGCATTAAAAGATACATATTTTTCTAGTGCTATAAATATATTGGTACATTTAAATATAATATACACACATATAATGGTGCTTGAGAAATAAGTTGAGATTATTTTAAGGTTAAGGTTCTTAGATTCTGACAGAAAAACTGATCAGCCAGTTGGACTACAGGTCCAACCAGTTCCAGCCCCAAACATGAGCAATAGTGATTATGGTAGTGATTCTGCCATTTACGTCAGTGAAATGCAAAGATTTCAGTTTCATTCTTCAGCAGACGCTTTATGTGTATTTGGAGAAGAATCTGAGTACTAGAAAATACTCTTCTCCTGTGTTTGTTCTGCTGTTAAATACACGGTTTGAATTCTTAATTTTAGAAATACTTTTCAGATCTAGAATTTCAGTTTGACACAAATTCCAATTCACAGTTGAAATTCTTAATCTTTTTATGTTTTCCCTCTTTTTTTCTTTTTTTTTTTTTTGAGACGGAGTCTCTCACATTGTCGCCTAGGCGGGAGTGCAGTGGTGTGATCTTGGCTCACTGCAACCTCCACCTCCCAGGTTCAAGCAATTCTCCTGCCTCAGCCTCCTGAGTAGCTGGAATTACAGACGTGCGCCACCGCACCTGGCTAATTTTTGTATTTTTAGTAGAGACGGGGTTTCACCGTGTTAGCCAGGCTGGTCTCGATCTCCTGACCTCAGGTGATCCGCCTGCCTCGGCCTCCCAAAGTGTTGGCATTACAGGCGTGAGCCACCGTACCTGGCCTTCCCTCTTTTTTTCTGTTTTTAAAAACATACCATTAAATAAGTCTTTCTGGTAAAATCAAGTATAAATCATCTGAGCATCTGTTTCTATTATCTGCGTTTCCTGTTGGTTTTTAGTTATCTGAATGTGAGACATCGTGAATACAGTAAGGGTCTGGATGATGCTATTTTTCAGAGAAGAAATCACTCTTCCTTTTGCTAGGCAGGTAGAGTGGGGCTGATCACCTAATACTGCTAGAGACTGAGCTGAGGGTTGAGGTTGTGTTGCAGGTTGGATAAGGCCGCATTTTGCTCTGATTTGCCCTTACTCCTAGCAGGTACCCACCTAAGACTTTCAGCTGATAGTCTGGGAGTTTATAGGAGTCCCTCCCCGACAGAGGTTTTATACTGTCATATTTGTCTCTTGAGAACAATGAGATTGCTGAAAATTTCACTCTTGATTTTCAGAGGCTTTTAGTTTTGTTTTGAAGCCTTCCCTGTGTGGCTATAGAATTTGGATTGTGTCTTCAGGGGAAAACCAGCCTCCTCCCCGGATCTTTGACTCCTATTTCACTGGGCCCTTGAGTCCCAAAAGTCAAAATCTTAGGCTGGGCACATTGGCTCACACCTGTAATCCCAGCACTTTGGGAAGCCAAGGTGGGAGGCTCACTTGAGCCCAGGACTTCAAGACCAGCCTGGGCAACAAAGACCCCATCTATATAAACAAACCAAAAAAAACCCGCAAAAAACTAGCCAGGTGTTGTGGCTTGAACTCAGCTACTCAGGAGGCTGAGGCTCAAGATTGCTTGAGGCCAGACGTTTGAGGCTACAGTGAGCCATGATTGTGCCACTGCATTCCAGCCTGAGTGACAGACTCTGTCCCAATTAAAAAAAAAAAGTCTTGGCTGGGCGAGGTGGCTCACGCCTGTAATCTCAGCGCTTTGGGAGTCCGAGGTGGACGGATCACAACAAGGTCAGGAGTTCGAGCCCAGCCTGGCCAACATGGTGAAACCCTGTCTCTACTAAAAATACAAAAATTAGCCAGGTATGGTGGCGGGCACCTGTAATCCCAGCTACTGGGAGGCTGAGGCAGGAGAATCACTTGAAACCAGAAGGTGGAGGTTGCAGTGAGCCGAGATCATGCCACTGCACTCCAGCCTGGGGAACAAGAGTGAAACTCCGTCTAAAAAAAAAAAAAAAGTCTTGATTTTTGTCTCTTCCAAAAGCTCTCTCATGGTTCCTCATATTCAGAAAAGGGAGTCTCCCATTGGGAATGAAGTCCTGAGAATAAATGGACATTTTCGTAATTGTGGTGTTTTCTTTATAGCAGTGGTTCTCAAAGGTAGTTCCTAGCAGTATCACCTGGAAACTTGTTAAATTCGAATTCTCAGGCCCTTTCCCAGGCCAGTTGAATCAGAAACTCTGGGGTGGGACCCAGTACTCTGTGTTTTAACTAGTCTTCCAAGTGATATTGATGTACATTCAAGTCTGAGAAACACTGCTTGTCAGGTTAGTTGTTTGCTGTTTAATTTTTTTACTCCCACCTTCACTGGGCCCTGGAGAGTGTGGAAGGGACAAAAGTGAGAGAACACTGTCTCTGCAGGTACTTTGCCAGTCTTCTGATGAATTGTTTGAGAAACCTAGAAAACATCTATTGAGCACCTCCTCAGTTCCTGGCACTGTGCTAAGTGGCTAAGAGCATGGGGTGGACATGTAAGCAAGTAATTGTAATAGGACATGAGTATTATAATGGCTGTATTTATAAAAAGCTACAGGAACGGGAGAGAGAATTACCCTGTCAGTGGGGAAGTTGGAGTCAGATGTCCCTTGATCCTTGAACAGGGTAGGATTTGAAGGTGAACAGACAGAAGGGTATTCTAAGTGGGTTCATAAATAGGATGACCATGTAACTTATTATCCACAGGTGGTCACTTTTGAGAATCAAAGGGGGTGCTTTTAGGCCAGGACTGTTGCTTGCTAACTGGGGTGTATGATTGTCCTATTTGTAAAGAACAGGTGTTGCTGTGAACCCAGAGTTCGATGTAAATTTGTGGAAAACTCATTTCTTCTAATTATTTGTAGAGTTTACAACAATTCTTATTGGATGGTATATTTTTCCCCCAGGGCTGCTGTAAAATATTACAGGCATACTTTGGAGATATTACGGGTTTGGTTCTGCACCACTGTAATAAAGTGAGTCACACAAATTTTTGTGTTACCCAGTGGATATAAAAGTTGTATTTTGGGCCAGGGTCTCTCTGCATCTCTGTGTTCCAGTTGGGGTAGGGTAATTTCCCTTTCAGTTTGAAGAGCTCTCCCTGGTATTTCTTCCAGTGGATGTCTTCGCATAACAGTGTTTTTTCTCTCATCTGAAAATGTCTATTTTGCCATCGTTTTTTTTTTTTTTTTTTTTTTTGAGACAGAGTCTCACACTGTCACCTGGGCTGGTGTGCAGTGGCACGATCTTGGCTCGCTGCAACCTCTGCCTCCCGGGTTCAAGCAATTCTCCTACCTCAGTCTCCTGTGTAGCTGGGACTACAGGCATGCGCCATCATGCCTGGCTAATTTTTGTATTTTTAGTAGAGATGGGGTTTTACTGTGTTGGCCAGGCTGTTCTTGAACTCCTGACCTTGTGATCCACCTGCCTCTGCCTCCCAAAGTGCTGGGATTACAGGCATGAGCCAACGTACTAGGCCATTTTTTTTTTTTTTTGAGACAGAGTCTTGCTCTGTTGCCCAGGCTGGAGTGCTGTGGCGCAATCTTGGCTTACTGCAACGGCTGCTTCCTGGGTTCAAGCGATTCTCCTGCCTCACCTCCCGCGTAGCTGGGACTACAGGCGCCCTCCAACACGCCTGGCTAATTTTTTTGTATTTTTAGTAGAGACGGGGTTTCACTATGTTAGCCAGGACAGTCTCGATCTCCTGACCTCATGATCTGCCCACCTTGGCCTCCCAAAGTGCTGGGATTACAGGCCTGAGCCACTGTGCCAGGCCTTTGCCATCAGTTTTTAAAGGAAATAGTCACTGAGCACTGGATGCTAGGTGGCAGGTTTTTTCTTTCAGCTTTTTTTTTTTTTTTAAAGCCATCATACTTTAATATCTTTCAGCACTGTCAGGTTATCTTCTGGCTTCTATTATTTCTGTTGAGAATTTAGCCCAGGCATGGGGGCTTATACCCGTAATCCCAGCACTTTGGAAGGCCACAGTGGGCAGATCACGTGAGCCCAGGAGTTGGAGACCAGCCTGGCCAACAGGGTGAGACCTTGTAGCTACATGTGGTAGCCCTTTTTCAGTACATTGGCCAGTCCAGCTCAGCTGGATGTCATTTACATATGTGTCTTATATTTTAGATACAAAAGACTTCTTAAAAGCTTAGAGCATAACACAAATATTTATTTGATTGCGCCATCTAACAAATCTGAATAAATACATTTCACGTCTAGGCATTGCGTTTTGTATTTCTCTAAACCAGTGTGGGCGTGTGTGTATGTGTGTATCACTTTACCCAGCCACAGCAAGTGATTATGGATGAAATGGCTACAGCAAAGCTAAAACTATGATATGCCTTTGAGAAAAAAGTTCTGAGCTGAGTGCATTGTCTCATGGCTGTAATCCCAGCACTTTGGGTGGCAAACCATGGGAGGATTGCTTGAGGCCAGGAGTTCGAGACCAGCCTGGGAAATATAGCTAGATCCTGTCTCTGTTGGCCAGGCACGGTGGCTCACACCTGTAATCCCAGCACTTTGGGAGGCCAAGGCAGGCGGATCACGAGGTCAGGATATTGAGACCATCCTGGCTAACACAGTAAAACCTGGTCTCTACTAAAAATACAAAAAATTAGCTGGGCGTGGTGGCAGGTGCCTGTAGTCCCAGCTCCTCTGGAGGCTGAGGCAGGAGAATGGTGTGAACTTGGGAGGCGGAGCTTGCAGTGAGCTGAGATTGCATCACTGCACTCCAGCCTGGGCAACAGAGTGAGACTCTGTCTCAAAAAAAAAACAAAAAACAAAAAACAAAAAATTTAGCCAGGGATGGTGATGCACACCTGTAGTCCCAGCTACTTGGGAAGCTAAGGTGGAGAGGATCACTTGAGCCTGGGCAGTCATGGCTACAGTGAGCTGTGATCATGCCACTGCACTCTAGCCTGGGTTATAGAGCCAGATCCTATGTCAAGAAAAGAAAAGAAAAAAAAAGCGTAAAGAAAAGAAATGCCTTTAACAGAGACCACCTAATATGTTGCAAGTTGCTGTTACCTTAGGTGGAGTTAGGAGAAATAATTTTTGGTCAGTAACTTAGTGAATAAATTGACCATTTGTGCTGCTTCCCTGGGCGAGGGCATAGAGAATGGTACAAAGTAGGCTACGGTAGCCAGATTATCTTGTATGTAATTTTGAGCTGTTATTCCGGAGAATGGCATGCTCAGATTAGAGTTACAATTTTGCTTAACCAAGGAGAGCGTGATCTAGTACAATAGAAGACTGTTGTCTAGAACTCATTCCTTGAGAATGCTCCCCTGCTTGCTCTGCTCATTCCAGCAGCAATCAACTCTACATTGTATTCCAGGGAGTTGATTATCATTTGGAATTATTTGTCCAAGCTAACGTTTGGACAAATAATGTTTTGTTATATTTAACATTAAAACTCTGACATTGACATTCACATTCATTTTGGAAGCATTATATTTAATCATATGAAAGTTGGTGAACCTTGGATTACAGATTGCAAATGCTAATAAGTCTTTTATTAGAATGATGGCGTCTTCATACCATGAAGGTGAGTACTGAAAGATATATAAGAAGAATATCTATAAATCAAAAGAAAATAGTAATGACATAGAAAAATGAGCAAAATCAGTTATTCAAAGAAAATATACTAGTGCTAATAAATATCTCTAAAGATGGCTAACCTTAGGGAAATGCACGTTAAATGATTTTTTTTGTTTGCCTGTCAGATTGACAAAAAATTAAAGTTCGATAATGCTATGCTTATGAGGTTATGGGAGACCAGATTCCCTCATACACTGTAGGTGGGAATGTAAATGGTATAGCCTTTTTGTCAGACCAGTTTGGTATATGTCAGAATTTTAAATGCACATACCCTTTGGCATTCCGTTTCTGTTTCTAGCAAACTGCTCACATTTTGCGGTCTGCTCAAGGTCATGGTCTGCTCATAACCTTGTCCTGCTTGGCTATCAAAGATTTATAAATTGTGTTAGTACTATTTCTGAATTTAATAAAATACTTCATTGTCCTGTTCAGATTTTTTTTTCTAGTCCCTTATTTGCTTTTATATTTTGGCTACAGATAGCCTCTTAAAAACTAGCTAGATGTTTCAGTTTATGTATTTTAAGTTTTGTTTCCTTTCTGACTTTCCCTGCAGTTTGTAACCTTAGATGACACTCATCTCTTTAGAACTTTCATGAATACTTCATTTTAGTTCTTTCCATTTTCTGTTTGTCTCTAAAATCTTTAACTTTTTAAAGATACCTGTAATTAATGTAGGGGGTGTCAGATTGCTGACCAGTTATTGCAACACTATTTATTGAAAATTTCCCCTTCCCCTCCTTCTTCTAACATTAAATTACCTTATATATTACATTAGATTCATTTTTGAGTCAGTGTATCCTGTAGTGGTTTGACAGGTCTGTTCTTGTGTTCACAGTCTTCTAACTAGTTTGCAAATAAAAATTCAGAAAATTAATTTAGAAAATCAAAAAATAATTGAGTCTGTTTATTTTTGCTGACATTCATTTTGTTGAGTTCCAAAAAGTCTTGTGGGATTTTTATGGCCATTTGTAGTAAACTTACACATTTTGGAATGTTTGACACTGTTACAACATTTATTTTCACACATTATGTTAAGTATATTTCCATATTTTTATGTGGATTATATTTTCTCATTAAAATGTTTTTCTACAAGTGTTTACATATTGATGCTATTATGACTGATATCTTTTTTATACTTTCTAACTTGTTATTGTTTCTCTGTTACAAGAGTTCCACAGATTTCATGTACCTATCTAGCTTATTTCACATAAATGTGAATTCTTTTTTAAAGTTAGCCATTTTAAAGTTAATTTCTCAGCATTAATAGTGTTTTATTTTCTTTAGGCCTTTCAGATACATAGTCATATCTCTCATATTACACACTAAGCTCCGCAATGACTGAAATGATTTATTTTTACTTACATTTGTATCCCAAGTGCCTTTCGTGCAGTAATCAATCAGTATATAAATATTTGAATGAATGCAGAGGGAACACTATAGGAATATGTACCATATACAGTAACTGCCTCTGGATGATGACTAAAACTTTTTTTCTTTTTGAGATGGAGTCTCGCTCTGCCGCCCAGGCTGGAGTGCAGTGGCATGATCTCGGCTCACTGCAAGCTCCGCCTGCCAGGTTCATGCCATTCTCCTGCCTCAGCCTCCTGAGTAGCTGGGACTACAGGCGCCTGCCACCATGCCCGGCTAACTTTTTGTATTTTTAGTAGAGACGGGGTTTCACCGTGTTAGCCAGGATGGTCTCGATCTTCTGACCTCGTGATCCGCCCGCCTCGACCTCCCAAAGTGCTGGGATTACAGGCGTGAGCCACTGCGCCCGGCCGACCAAAACATTTTTTTTTGCTTGTCTGTATATATCAGGTTTTGTAAATAATGAGTATTCCATTATTTTCTAACTGGAAAAAAAATTTAAGGGAAAAAAATCACCCGTAAGTTTTATTTCTTAACTGAGGTCAAAGGATACCTTATCGTTTTACTAGAATTGATTGGATGTTTCCTGTAAGTCCCAGATGAGTTGCCTGGAGAGAGGAATGACCTCTGAGGGCATGACATTGAACCCAGGAATAGGAAGCGGACCGCCAAGAAGGATAGAGGGAAACTACTCACATCTGCAAAGTATTTTCGTTTTGCTTTTCTGAGACGAAACTGGTTTGCATCCAGAGCCTTAAGAAAGAACACTAATAGTTCTGTGAGCTTTGTAAGTAAGCTTTGTACCTCTCTGTCCTTTTTAGGGTACCTGGACCTAGAATAAAACCTAGCGCCGAGGCACAATTTACAGAATCCTAACTGTCCCAGCAGCAGAGATCATTTTTACTCTGTCTTCCCTGACATAAGTGGGACCAATTGAATTGTGCATTCTTTATGCCCAGGTTGCTCAACCAAGCTTCTATTTATTGGAATGCAGTGCTCCAACAGGAGCGATGTGTGGCCCCTCGGAGCTCCCTCCTGGAAGCAGTGCTGGTGGTGGTTACTGTCTAGGGACAGGTCTGTCTGCCCAGGAGAGAAGGAGTTGAGTCTCACGCAGCTGATCCCCCATGTTTCTTCCTGTGTTTACAGGATATGCTGTCTGTAGCTGTGATGTCCAATCTGGGTGTGCCGACTCTCCTGCCTTCTACCGTAACAGCTGTCACCACCACCACATAGCCTTTCAAATGATGGCACTCTCTTTTGGTGGTACCCTTGCTCTCTTTTTATACTTAGAAGCAGCAGAATGATCTGAGTGTTGTGTTTAACTGGTACACATTAGTCCCATGATAGGTGTTATTTTTATTAAAAAACGTTCATGTGTGATTTTTAACTAAACTTTAAAATTTGGAACAATTAATGACTTCAAATCCATAGGAAGCTGTAAATACAGTACAGACAGGTCCTGTGTACTCTTCTAGTTTGCCTAATGGTTACATGTTACATAACTATAATGTAATGTCAAAACCAGGAAATTGATATTTGTGCAATGTATGTGTATAGTGTCATGCACATTTCATCTCATACGTAGATTCCTGTAGCCACCACCATAGTCAAGATACAGAACTATTCCATTACCCCAAAGACTTCCCTTATGACTCTGTAGTCACATCCTGTGTCAGCAGTCCCCAGGGCTGCCCCCAGGTTTCGTAATTCGTTCGAGGCTCTCACAGGACATATTTATTCCTTGCTATGGTTTGTTACAGTGAGGGGATACAAAGTAGGATTAATAAAGGTTAGTTGTGCATTGAGCAGATTCTACAGGACACCAGCATTGTTAAGATTCGAAGCGTCTTCTCCCAGCAGAGTTGCCCAGGATGTGCTTACTTCCCCAGCCGTAAACTCTAGCAACATGTGTGAAGTGTTTTTTATTGTGAAAGCTCATGTACACCTCAGAATCCAGGGCTTTTACTGGAGGTTGGTCACATAGTATATTAGTTCGTTCATTCTCACGTAGTTATAAAGAAATACCTGAGATTGAGTAATTTATAAAGAAAGGAGGTTTAATTGGCTCACAGTTCTACAGGCTGTACAGGAAACATTGCAGCTTCTGCTTCTAGGGTGGCCTCAGGAAGCTTCCAGTAATAGTGGAGAGCAAAGGGGGAGCAAAGTGTCTCCCCTAGTGGGAGCAGGAGCAAGAGAGAAGGTGCTATACACGTTTAAACAACCAGATCTCACAAGCACAGAACCACAGGGGATGGTGCGAAACCATTCATGATTAACTGCCCCATGATCAGATCACCTTTCACAGGCCCCACTTCCAACATTGGGGATTACAATTCAGCATGACATTTGGGTGGGGACACAGTTCCAAACCATATCACATAGGCATATAGTCCCTTTAAAACTGATCACCGTTACAGCAACTCCAGAAGGAAATCAGGTGTTTACCATAAATCATACAGTTTGCACAAAATATCTAGACAAGCTGGACAGTGTGGTTCAGTACCGTAACCATACAAAACACCCTTATCATATAGAGCATAGGGCTAGTACAAGACCTCAGTTTCTAGGAGCTGACCAAGGGCCAGTCTAACCCAGCTGACCAAGCAGGCCCGTCTGAGAATGTGCATCATTTGAGCAACTCAGGCCTGCTGGGTTAACTGCTTACACCATTTTCCTTCCCCTCCTCTTCCTTGCCTTCGACACTCTTAACCTGGAAAAAGCACTAATTTGTCCTCCATATCTGTGGTTTTGTCATTTGGAAAGGTTGTAGAAATCCTAGAGTATGTGACCTTTTAAGATGCACTTTTTAGAAAACTCAACATGTTGCTCTTGTGTTAATAGTTTGTTCTTTTTAGTGTTCGGTATTCTCTTGTGTGGTCATGCCCCAGTTTATTTAACCATCCCATAGATGTTTATTTTCCCTTGTAAAGTTGGTTAGCATGTATTTTTTTTTTTTTTTTTTGGAGACAGAGTCTCGCTCTATTGCCTAGGCTGGAGTGCAATGGCACGGCCTCACTTCATCACAACCTCTTCCTCCCGGGTTCAAGTGATTCTCCTGCCTCAGCCTCCTGAGGAACTGGGACTACAGGTGCATGCCATCATGCCCGGCTAATTTTTGTATTTTTAATAGAGATGGAGTTTCACTGTGTTGGCCAGCCTGGTCTCAAACTCCTGACCATGTGATCTGCCCGTCTCAGCCTCCCAAAGTGCTGGGATTACAGGCATGAGCCACCGCACCCAGCCAGCATTTATAATTTTAACATAATGGCTAATACTCACGAGGGGAAGAGATTTTTGAACATTTTTAAATAATAGAGACAGAGTCTTGCTGTGTTGCCCAGGCTGGTCTTGAACGCTTGACTTTGAGCCATCCTCCCACCTTCGCCTCCCAAAGTGCTGGGATTGTAGGCGTGAACCATTGCACCTGGCCCTGGGGAAGGGATTTTTGTATTTATTAAGCGTTTAGTACGTATCATTGCTTTATAGCCCTGTTATTCTATGGTCTCTACAATAACCTTATTCATTTAGTTTTTCTTCTTTCAACAAAGAATTGAGAACCTGTGATATGCCCAGTTGTGCAGGGAACAAAACCCCTCAAACTGTGTTTTTCCTCTGCTCACGCCACAGGAATCATCAACACAGAAGACTTCCATGACCATATGTGTTGGGTTTCTTCCCCTACACACCACACCAGCTGGGTGTCTTCTAGTTCACTTCCTGCACTATCTACCAGGAGATAGTGTCAGATCACACAGGGTGAGGACTCAGTCCCCATGAGTGCCCCTCCTAACCCCCATCAGTTGCAACTCTGGGCCTCCAGAAGTTCTAACTGACCAGCTTCAAGTTGGGGTTCCCATGGCTCCCTTTTTAGGTTCAATTAATTTGCTGAGGTGGTTTACAGAACTCAGGGAGATGCTTCTGTTTACTGGTTTATTATAACAGATATTGCAAAGGATCCAGGTAAAGGAGATGCTGGGGGCGAGGAATGGGGGAAGGTGCAGAACTTCCATGCCTTCCCTGGGTGCACACCCTCCAGGAACCTGCACTGTGTTCAGCTGTCTGAAAGCTTCCTGGGCCCAGTTCTCTTGGGTTTTTATGGAGGCTTCCTGACACCAGCATTCGTCCCTCAGAGTACAGAGCTGGACCCTCTCTGGGGAGGGTTTAAGACCAATCCAGAATAGAGTCCTGCCTTGGGGCAGGTAAAAGGAGGGTAGGAGAAAGAGAGGCTGCCCATGAAGCCTAACACACCCAGCCTTTTAACAAAAGCCTGGGGGTGGGCGTGGTGTCTCATGCCTGTAATCCCGCACTTTGGGAGTTTGAGGTAGGCAGGTCACTTGACGTCAGGAGTTCGAGAGCAGCCTGGCCAACATGGTGAAACCCCATCTCTACCTAAAATACAAAAATTAGCTGGGCATGGTGGCAGGCACCTATAGTACCAGTTACTTGGGAAGCCGAGGCAGGAGAATCACTTGAACCCGGGAGGTAGCGAAGGTTGCAGTGAGCTGAGACCTCACCACTGCACTCCAGCTTGGGCAACAGAGCGAGACCCTGTCTCAAAAAAAAACAAAAAAACAAAAACAAAAACATAAAATCCTAGGATGAGGGCTATGGTAGTTACCAGCCAGGGACTGTGGACGAAAACCAATATATATTATAACACCACACTGGTACTATTTGAGTCACTAGAAATGTAACAGTGGAGAAGGAAAATAAGGTCTCTGTCCTCAGCAAATTGCATTCTGGCAGTGAGGGAGACAGACCAATGGGTAAATAAGTAAATAAAAAATATTTATTAGAAATAGGACATGGAGGCTGGGTGCAGTGGCTCATGCCTATAATCCCAGCACTTTGGGAGGCCAAGGTGGGTGGATCACTTGAGGCCAGGAATTCGAGATCAGCCTGGTCAATATGGCGAAACCCTGTCTCTACAAAAAATACAAAACTTAGCCAGGCATGGTGCCACATGCTATAGTCCCAGCTACTCAAGAGGCTGAGACGAGAGGGTCGCTTGAGCCTGGGGAGGTCGAGTGTTGTGAGCCATGATCACACCACTGCACTCTAGTCTAGGTGACAGGGTGAGACCCTGTCTCAAGAAAAGAAAAGAAAAAAAGAAAAAAAAGAAATAGGACATGAAGGCTGGGCATGGTGGCTCACATCTGTAAGAAGTTCAAGGCCAGCCTGGGCCAGGTGGTAAGAACACGCCTCTACCCTCTCCTGCCACCCCCGTCCCCCAAAAGAATAATAATAAATAGGACATGGAGAAATGGCATTGGGTCCAATACGGAGATGAGGGTTGGGTAGGCTGGGGTAGGTAGTATTTCACAGAGGCTAGTGAAGGCCTCTCACAGTCTGATGTGAAAGCTTAGACCTAAACGATGAGAAACAAACCACCACCTGGACAGCAAGGGCCACAGCATTCCTCACTTTGGAATAGCATGTGCAAAGGCTCTCCCAACAAAGGGGTAAGTGGGAAGGATAGCAGTTTAAAACACTCATTTATTTTTTATTTTTATTTTTTTAAGAGACAAGGTCTCTGTTGCCCATGCTGGAGTTCAGTGGTGCAGTCATAGCTCGCTGCAGCCTCAAATTCCCAGCCTCAATCAGTCGTCCTACTTCAGCCTTCCTAAGTGCTGGGAATACAGGCGTGAGCCATTGCCCCTAGTCCACAGCACTCATTTATTATCTGAAAGTTCTGTAGATTAGAGGTTCAAGCAGGCTCCGCTGGGTATTCTGCTGAGGACCTCAGGAGGTCAGAATTAAGCATCGGCCAGCCTGGGTTTTTATTTGGAGGTGATAGAGAGAGTCTCCTTCCAGATGCACTCGTGTTGGCAGAATTCATTTTCATGTGGTGAAGGTCTGAGGTCCTCATTTCTTTGTTGGCTGTCAGCCAGAAGTCATTCTCAGCTTCTAGAAGCCACTCAAATTTCTTGGCTATTAGTCTCCTCCAGCTTCAAAACCATCAATAGTGCTTTGACTCTCTCTAACTTCACATTCTGTCTCTTCTGTTTTTTAAAAAGACAGCTTTATTGAGGTATAATTCACATACCATAGAATTCTCCCTTTTGAAGTGCACACTTAAGTGACAGCCATTACCACAGCCAACTTTAGAACATTTTCATCATCTCAAAAAGGAACCCATGCCCTTTCTCTTATCCCTCTTAGTGCTCAGTGACCACTACTCTATTTTCTGTCTCTAGATTTCCCTGGTATGGATGTTCAGATGAATGGAATCATATAATGTGTGGTGTTCTATAACTGGCATCTCTCACTTAGCATGTTTTCAGGGTTCACCATGTTGTAGCATATATCAGCACTTCATTCCTTTTTATGACCAAGTAATATTCCATTTTATGGATATACCACATTTTGTTTATTAATTCATCAGTTGATGTACATTTGGGTTGTTTCTGCTCTTGGACTATTATGGATAATGCTGATATAAACATTCACGTACAAGTTTCTCTGTGGACACATGTTTTTATTTCTCTTAGTCTAGGAGTGAAATTGCTGGTTTCTATGGTAATATTGTTTAATCATTTGAGAAACTGCCAGACTTCTCCACAATGGCTGTACCATTTTACATTCCTACAAACAGTATATGAGGGTTCCAGTTTCCCCACATTCTTGGCAACACTTGTTATTTCTGACTTTTTGGTTCTAGTCATCCTACTGGATGTGAAGTGGCATCTCATTGTGGTTTCGTTTTGCACTTCCTTGATGACTGATGATGTGGAACATCTTTTCATATACTCACGACTGTTTGCATATCTTTCTGGAGAAATGTCCATTCAGATCTTTTACCTGCTAAAAAAAATTGTTAATTTTTATTGAGTTGTAAGAATTTTTTATATATTCTGGATACAAGTTCCTTATTACATAAATGACTTGCAAATGTTTTCTCTTATTCTGTGGGTTCTGTTTTCATTTGATAAGGTCCTCTGAAGCACAAACATTAAAATTTTGTTGGAGTACAATTTATCTGTCTTTTGTTGCTCCTGCTTTTGGTGCCATATCTAAACATCCTTTGTCAAATCCAATATCATGAAAATTTTACCTCTACATTTTCTTCTGAGAGCTTTAGTTTTAGCTTTTACATTTAGGTCTTTGATTGATTCTGAGTTAGTTTTTGTACGTGGTATGAAGTAAGCATCTAACATCTAACATCGTTCTTTTGCATGTGGCTATCCAATTTTCCCGGCACTATTTGGTGAAAAGACTCTTCTTTTCTCCATTGAGTAGTCTTGGTACTTTTATGGAAAATCAGTTGACAGAAGACGTATGGGTTTATTTCTGGAATCTCAATTCTATTCCGTTGATTTCTATGACTTTCCTTGTGCCAGTACCGCGCTGTAGTAATTACCATGGCTTTGTAGTAAGTTTTGAAATTAGGAAATGTCAGTTTTCTTACATTCTTTTTCAGTATTGTTTTGGCCATTCTGGGCCCTTGTTATCTTCTGCATTTTAGAGTTCATGTGCTTTCATTGGGCCCATCTAGATATCTAGCATAGTCTCCTTATTTTAATGATTAGTCAACTTAATTATATCTGCAAAGTCCTTTTTGCAGTGTAAGGTGACATAATCACAGGTGTAGCACCAGAGAGTGAAGGTCATGGGTGCACAGGTCCTATGAGGCTTAGTTGGGTGAAAAGGTGGAGAATGATAGGAGCAGAGAGGTTGGAGAGGGATATAGGAAAGGGAGTTTCAGAAATATTACATAGTTTGCCTAAAGTTACATTTCCAGTACGTGGCAGAGCTGGGGTTGGAGTGCAGATAGGACTGATCTCTGTGATTTCATGGTCCACACCAAATCAGTCTTCTTAGACTCAGAGCTATTGTTATTGTTTCTGTCTAATACATAGTGAGCTTTTATTGTATGCCAAGTAATCCACAGAGCACTCCTTTATGTTTTTCTAGCTCTTAAAGAGCATCTGTACAAGTCTTTTGGCATAGATAATAGGCTCTACTGGAACCAGCTTAAGAAAAAACGACAAAAGTAGTTAGGGGACCAGGGTGTATGACTCAGAATCTGAGGATGGGCGTGCACGTAAACCTTAGCCAGGGATTGGAACTGGGAGATTGAAATCATTCAGGACGTACAGGACCTTCTACTTTTCTCTGCTTCTTGGGGTATGTCTATTTCATTCTGTAGACTGTCCTGATACTCAGACCACTTGATAGAAGGATCATGTCACACAGCTCCATCATTCAAGAGAACAGCCCCGACTTAGTCCCATTTCCAAAACTCGAAGCAAAAGACTCTAACACAGTTGGAGGCAATCAGCTGTGATCCTGAATTGGGGGACCATTCACCTTATACAAATATAGCTGCTGCCAGCTTATCTTTGTGGATTGAGAGGACAGTTTCCTGATAACATGGGAGGTTATGTGCTAGGCAGACTTCCCAAACTATGTTCATTTTAGTAACATTGAGTAGTACTATCATACTTATAGTACAAAATTTAAAAAAACTTAATTGATCTATACTTAAAAATAGGTATCTTCCTTTTGCCCATTTCTCTTGGAAGGGAAGAAAAGGGACATCAGGATGATAATGGCAAGATTAGCTCAGACTTTCAAAATAATTTGAAACCCAGGACTTGGCATACTAAGTATAGGCTTACTTGAGCTCAGGAGTTCAAGACCACCTGGGTAACGTGGCGAAACACCGCCTCTACAAAAAAATAACAACAATTAGCCAGGCATGGTGGCTGAGTGGTGGAGTATTGCTTGAGCTCGGGAAGTCAAGGCTGCAGTGAGCTGTGATCACGCCACTGCACTCTAGCCTGAATGACAGACCCTGTCTTCCAAAAAAAAAAAAAAAGGAAGCTTAGTGCTTAGTGATGTCTCTGCCACTTACTACCTTTTTGATGGAATAAGTCATGATTTCTTAATGTTAGTATCTTTATCTCTTACTATAGGATGTAGTAGATGGTCTTTAAAAACATTCTAGGACTCTATTCTTTTCTTTTTTTCTACTTGTTATTTTCTTGCTTTCTACCTCAGCCTTATCTACTATTTATAAATGGCTGGTGTCTTAGATCTAAATCCTGACCTTGGAGGGCTTTAACCTTGTAGAGGAAGTAAACAGTAAACTTGAGAGTTTTTTCTAATTAGATTTCCCTCTCTCTGTCAAGTCTCATTAAATAACTATTAAAGATCTGATCTCTAAGGTAGATTACCACCCGTCGTCTTTCCATTCCCACTGTTACCTCTTATTTATTTATTTATTTATTTATTTATTTTCGAGACAGGGTTTCACTCTGTTGCGCAGGCTGGAGTGCAGTGGTGCGATCTCGGCTTACTGCAGCCTCTGCCTCCCAGGTCCAAGCGATTCTTGTGCCTCAGCCTCCTGAGTACCTGGGATTACAGGCAAGCGCCACCATGCCTGGCTACCCACTGTGTTACCTCAAGTCCTCTAATTGTAGTTGTCTCTTGGTCAGTATCTGTGTCTTCTGTTCTGTACTTCTCCCTAATCCAACCTGGAAATTGCCTGTCAAGTTTCTTTTTTTTTTTTTTTTTTTTGAGATGGCGTCTCCCTCTGTTGCCCAGGCTGGAGTGCAATGGCATGATCTTGGCTCACTGCAACCTCCATCTCCCCGGTTCATGCGATTCTTGTGTCTCAGCCTCCCAAGTAGCTGGGATTACAGACGTCTGCCACCATGCTCAGCTAATTTTTGTATGTTTAATAGAGACGAGGTTTTGCCATGTTGGCCAGGCTGGTCTCAAACTCCTGCCCTCAGGTGATCCACCCGCCTCAGCCTCCCAAAGTGCTGGGATTATAGGTGTGAGCCACTGTGCCCAGCCGAGGTTTTTTTTTTGTTTAAATCATAGAGTAAAATTGATCTGGGAGGAGTATAATGGTCTGCGAATTTTTAAATTTTATTAGATTTATGTAAACACCTCCACAATCAGAATACAGAACAGTTTCATCACCCCAAAAAACTTTCTCGTGCTAATCCTTTATAGTCACATTCTTTCCTACCCCTAGTTCCTAAATGGAATCATATAGTATGTAAACTTTTAAGATGGCTGCTATGGTCTGAATCTTTGTCTGTCCCCCAAATTCATATGTTGAAATTCTAAACCACAAGGTGTTGCTACTAGGAGGTGGAGCCTTTGGGAGGTGATTAGTTCATGAAAGTGGAGACCTCATGACTGGGGCTTGTAAGTGCCCTTATAAGAGACTGCAGAGAGCCTAGCCTGTCTCCCCCTCCCACCATGTGAGGACACAGGGAGAAGGTATCTTCATTGAACCACCAGACACCAACATCTGTTGACTTCCTGATCTTGAACTTGCCAGCTTCCTGCACTGTGAGAAATAAATTTCTGTTTTTTATAACCTACCCAGTTTATGGTATTTTGTTACTGCAGCCAGAAGGAACTAAGATGCTGGCTTCTATCAGCATAAAGCCTTTGAGATTCATCAAAGTTGTTGGGTGTACTGATACCTGTTGTTGTTGTTTTCCTGAGTAGCATTCTGTTGTATGGGTGCACCATAGTTTGTTTATTCATTCACCCATTGAAGGATATTTTAGTTGTCATTTTTTGTCATCACAAATATTGCTACTATAACCGTTTGCGTATAGAATTTTGTAAATAGCAATTTTTATTTCTCTAGAGGAAATACCCAGGAGAGGGATTGCAAGCAAACGTTTCAAACCTTTGATGTGAAGGGAGACATTATATTTACTGTACTGGACAGTTAACAAATTGTCTTCTGCTGTGGAAGGAGCTGTCGTCTTTCTCTTGTAAGGATGTTCAATATACAAACATCCTTGACTGCACAGTATGTAGCAAAGGCCTCTCATGGAAATGTGGGACACCAGTGTATATATCTTCTTTGTTAAAGTGTCTGTTGAGGTTTTTTGCTCATTTTTAAATTGGGTGGTTTGTTTTCTGACATCTGAGTTTTGAGAGTTCTTTATACATTCTGGGTATGTAAGTTCTTTGCCAAATATGTGATTTGCTGCAAGTAGTTTCTCCCATTCTGTAGCTTGTCTTTTTGTTTTCTAAACAGTTATTCCCAGAGCAAAATGTTTTGTTTTGTTGCCAGATTTGGGATGCAGGTTCTGTGGGCTGTGGCTTTAATGTCAGTTCATTGTTCAGAGTTTTGTAGTGCTGTTTCCATCTGTTTCATATATGTGCTGATCTGAGACCTGCATAGTGGTCTCTCCATTAGTTCCAATTTGGAAGCCTTTGGTACGGAATAGCGTCAGATCCATGCATATGCAGCCTAGGGGTAAGCCTAGAAATTGCTTTCTTGAGTTCTCCTCAGCAATTTTTCCCACACTTTTTGTTCTCAAAGGGCTCATATTTTCTTTCTTTTGTCCAGAAAACTGTGGATTTAGTTACTCCACTCTGCCATGTCTTTCCACCACTGCCTGCACATTTGAGACCAAGGATAGAGATTGGGAAAAATTGATAGTTCTCCTGCCTCAGAGTTTGGCTCCTGCACTCTCATTTCAGCCATAGCTGCAGACAAAGCACACGATTGCTGGGCACTGTGGCTCAAGAGAAGGAGGAGATGGTAAGTGGGGGGATCCCCATATTCTCTCTGGCTGTTAGGAGTTCCCTTTCACATGGCTGGAGCCCAAACTAGAGGAGCTTTCTCTGTGCTGTGGGGCCCATTTCCAGGTTGGCTGGTGGTATTGGTTGGAAGAAAGTGGTAATCTCTTAGACAGCTGGGTGATACTTCCAATTCTGGTCTTCCCCACTTCTCCATTTTGCTTTTCAGAATCCTCAAAAATAGTGCACAGTGCATACTGTCCAGATTTGATAGCTGGATGAAATCTGTGAGGCCTCTCTCCCCAGCAACTGCAGTCGCTGTGCTCAGTTTTTCTTCCTTGTTTTCATTTATGCCTGACTTCCTTCTAGCTGTCACCCGTGTGTCTGCACACCTTAATGTTCAGCCAAAGATTGTTGTTTCAGACAAAGATTGAGATTGCGCTCAAACATCTCAATCTTTAGTTAGGCTTCCACTCTGATCAGCAGAGCATGTGCATACACAGAGGAGACACAGGAGAACCTTGTAAAAATAAGAGTGAGGTTAGAGGGGAGGGCTTGAAATTTGAGTTCATTCCTTGGCCTGGACGTAGATGCATTGCAGAAAGTGGAAGTTTTGTCCATCTTTACAGTTGCTTTTGCAGGAGAGGATTTATTTTCCTTCTCACTTAGTCATGCTAGAAGACAGAACTCTACATCTCAAGTTTTATGTCTTAAGATAGAGATCTTATCATGCTTTCCCCTTTTCAGGAGCTTTCAGTGGTGACTTTCAATCCAGACTCTGTAGCTTAGAGTTTTAAAAAGCCATCATGATTTGACTTCCCACCTAAGTTGTTTAGTTTACCTTCTGTCTGTGCTACATCATTCATATTTTACACTTGCCTTCTTGCTTCTGAGCTTTTTGTGAAAGGCATCCTTCCTGTCCAGAATGCCCTCCCTCTTTCTGTCATCCTTCCAAGACCCTTTCAACACAAGGCTCTTTAAGGTCTATCGCCAGCATCCCCAAGTGGTCTCTCTATACTCCGTAAGTGAGAATTCCTATGTCTGTTGCTCCCTAACAGTTTCCTAACACTTTCTCTTTTTCTGCGTTTTTCAGTCTGCCTGTACTTTTGGTTATGAGCTTCATGAGGGTAAGGACATGTTCTATGAGTTGCATCACCAGTGCCATCTAGCTCAATTCTCTGCACACAGTTGGCACTTAGTAAATGTTTGAGTTAAATTAATAAGATCCCCAAGATATAGGGCTTAATTTTATCTGCACATGTGAGTCTTCTTGAATGAATGGTGTGGAGTGCTGCTTTTTTTCTGTGCTTGTTTGGCAGTTTGTTTATATGGAGAAGAATGAAGACCATGTGGTTTCAGTTTGAACGGAAATTGTTGCATAGCGATTTACCATACAGCTGTGAGACTGAACAAATGAGTTTAAATATTATACAGTAGAAAAGAAAACTGACTTTGGAACTTAAGGTATTATTTCAATTTTTTTCTCTTCTCTTCTCTCTAGACAAGGCCTCGCTCTGTCACCCAGGCTGGAGTGCAGTGGTGTGATCATACCTCACTGCAGCCTCCAACTCCTGGGCTCAGGCAATCCTTCTGTCTCAGCCTCCCGATTAGCTGGGACTACAGGCATACACCATCACTCCCAGCTAGTTGTTGTGTTTTTTGTAGAGATGGGATCTTGCTGTGTTGCCCAGGCTGGTCCTGAACTCCTAGCCTCAAGTGATCCTCCCACCTTGGCCTCCCAAAGTGCTGGGATTACAGGCATGAGCCATTATGCCCAGCCTGGGTTTGTTTTTTTTTACAGTAGCCATCCTAATGGGTGTAAAGTGATATCTCATTGTGATTTTGATTTGCATTTCCCTGATGATTAGTGATGTTGAGCATTTTTCACATTTGTTGGCTGTTGGTATGTCTTTGGAGAATTGTTTATTGAAGTCCTTTTCCCATTTGTTAATCGGATTATTTGGGTTTGTTGTTGTTGTTGTTGTTGTTGTTATTGAGTTGTAGGAGTTCCTTCGTATTTTAGATATTAACCCCTTATTAGATATATGGTTTGCAGATAAGTTCTCCCATTCTGTGTGTTGTTCCTTTTTACCCTGTCAGTTGGTTCCTGTGTTTTGCAGATATTTAATTTTTAAAAATTTTTTATTTCTTTTGAGACAGAGTCTTGCTCTGTCACCCAGCCTGGAGTGCAGTGGCGTGATCTTGGCTCACTGCAGGCTCTGCCTCCCAGGTTCACGTGATTCTCCTGCCTCAGCCTCCTGAATAGCTGGGACTACAGGCGCCCGCCACCACGCCTGGCTAATTTTTTTGTATTTTTAGTAGAGACAGGGTTTCACCGTGTTAGCCAGGATACTCTCAATCTCCTGATTTTGTTATCCGCCCTCCTCAGCCTCCCAAAGGGCTGGGATTACAGGTGTGAGCCACCACACCGGCCTGTGCAGACATTTTAAAGTTTGATATAATGTATTTGTCTGATTTTGCTTTTGTTGCCTGTGCTTTTGGTGTCATATCCTAGAAGTCATTGCAAAATCCAGTGTCGGGAAGCTTTTCCCCTAAGTTTTTTTTCTAGGAGTTTTCTAGTTTGCAGCCTTTACATTTAGGTCTTTAATCTAATGTGAGTCCTTTCTTAATTTTTTATTTTTTATTTTTTATTTTGGGCAGGGAATAAGTCTTTCTTTAATATGGCTGTGTCAGGAATTTACTATATTTAACATTCTTTTTTCTTCCTTCCTCCTCTTTCTCCCTCCCTCCTTCATTCCCTCCATCCCTCTCTTAACAGCTTGAAGATAATGGAATCACTCACTTTTTGTTCATAATTGGTAAGATTTTATTTAGTAGAATGATAATTCATTTTCAACAGCACTTTCTTGTTTGTTCAGTGGTTAGCAGGAAGAAGATGAGCCTTAAGTCTGAACGCCGAGGAATTCATGTGGATCAATCGGATCTCCTGTGCAAGAAAGGATGTGGTTACTACGGCAACCCTGCCTGGCAGGGTTTCTGCTCCAAGTGCTGGAGGGAAGAGTACCACAAAGCCAGGCAGAAGCAGATTCAGGAGGACTGGGAGCTGGCGGAGCGGTAAAAGGACTTAACTAGGGGCGGTTGAACAGTGACGTGACTGGATACATAGTTCTGTCACCGTCTAAATACATTTTTTCACTTCTGCTTTGAGCTATCAGCAAGTCAGTTTAATATTAAGGAAAAGGATGTTTTCCTCTCTTCTTCTCAGTCAGCTTTTAATGAACAGCTTTCAGTAGTTTCTTCATTTTGTGTTTGTCTTCTGATTATTTTCTTTGGGTTGTGTTAGTTTTAGTTCTCAAATGTAGACAATAAGCTCCTTGGAGTGGAAGAATGGAGATAGGCATATTTCCTGGTGAAGATTAAATGAGCTAATAAATTTGACGTACCCACTGCAGGGCTTGGAAATGGCACTCATCAAGCATTATTTCCCTCATTCTTTTAATATATATTTAGCATGGCATCTAGCTCAGTGATAAAACACAGTAGTAGAAATCTGTTGACTTGTATACATAGTCATTGCATTGTAGAAATTTAACTTATATTTAAAAATTAGGTTAGCATTTGGTATTATCCGGAAATATAATGATGTTAAAAATTAAACGATGGGCCGGGCGCAGTGGCTCACGCCTGTAATCCTAGCACTTTGGGAGGGTGAGGCAGGAGGATCATCTGAGGTCAGGAGTTCGAGACCAGCCTGACCAACATGGTGAAACCCCCTCTCTACTAAAAATATTAAAAAAGTTAGCCGGGCATGGTGGTACGCATTTGTTATCCCAGCTACTTGGGAGACTGAGGCAGGAGAATTGCTTGAACCCAGGTATCGGAGGTTGCAGTGAGCTGAGATCATGCCACTGCACTCCAGCTTGGGAGACAGAGTGAGACTCTGTCTCAAAAAAAAATAAATAAATAAATAAATAAATGATGGGATGGCTAGTGAGCATAGGAACTAATAAAATGCCATGAATAATGTTAATTCTTTGCCAGAGCATTCTAGAATTCTAAAACTGCTTCAACAGAAGAAAGTCAAATGGAATTCTGCCAACTCCTCTAGCTAGTTGTTTGTTTTTTTTTTTTCATCCAGTCAGCCAATATTTGTTGAGTGACTCCTTTGCTGTCATTTGTAGTGAACTCAGAGAATTAGAAATTACACATTGCTTTCAGTGACTGTGTTCAATCAAAGAGAGAAAATTTTAGCCGAGAACATGAATGATCTCCTCAGGGTTTCCACTGCATGCCTGATGCTGTCAGTAGCAGATCCTGTTTCAAAAACAGAGTAGAGGCCACTAGGCACAAACTCCCTCAGCTTCCTCCCCTCACCACATAAAAATGTCCTAGTACCTTTATATTAACTTCTTGTCTGTCCCAGAGAAAGAGGGGTCCCGATTCCACCCTCAGACTTAGCACCTCCACCTGTGATTTTTGTTTCTATTTCTTACTGCTTTTAATTGTGACCCTGCTAAATCTCTCGGAAAGCTTGTAAAAGCAGTGATTGCTGGACCTTACCCACAGAGTCTCTGATTTTAGTGGCTTGGGAGTAAGACTAGAGAATTTGCATTTCTGACAAGTTGCCTGGTGATGCTGCGCTGCTGTCTGGGGAATCATACTTGGAAAATCATTGTCTTTTAGATAGTGCTTGTGCTTTTTGTTTGTTTGTTTGTTTTTGAGACAGGGTCTTGCTCTGTTACCCTGGCTGGAGTGCAATGGTGCAATTTCAACTTACTGCAACCTCTGCTTCCTGGGCTCAAGTGATCCTCCTGCTTCAGCCTCCCAAGTAGCTAGGACTACAGAAGTATGCCACCATGCCCAGCTAAGTTTTGTATTTTATGTAGAGACAGGGTTTCACCATGTTGCCCAGGCTGGTCTCAAATTCCTGAGCTCAAGTGATCCGGCCGCCTTGGCCTCCCAGTGTGCTGGGATTACAGGCGTGAGCCACTGCACCTGGCCTGTGTTTGGGAATTAATACAGGTGGTTCACATGCAGCTAATCCAAAGCCAAATTTATTGCTTTTATTTATTATTCTCCGCATTCTGAACATTTTCCTCCTAACCCTTCTCCTGAGTCAATTAATGGCATCACTACTTACCAAGTTAGCTAAAAAACCTTGGTTTCATTCTTGATTTCTCTTTTATCTCCCATGCTAGCTACAACTTGACCAAGTTCTATTTCTTCCAACTCAGAAAAGTCTTTTGAATTTTACCTTTTGTACTCCTATTTTCCAGGTGCTTATTTTCTTTTACTTAAACCTTTATAATATACTCTTACTTCTTGTTCCTGTCTCTAGTTTCTCTACCCTTCAAGTTGTTCACACAGCTACCTGCATGATCTTTCTAAAGTACAGATCTGACAGCGATAACTCCTTGGATTTACAGTCTTTCTTGCTTCCCTACCACATGATGAAATCCAGAATAGTGGGCTCAGCAATCAAGATTCCCTACCCTCTGGAGCCTTCCTGTATATCCAGCATCACAGTTCATCACACGCCCAGTGCTCTGGCTACATTCAGCTTGTTGTGAAGCAAACCACAGGCTTGCACATTTGTAGTTCCTTCTTTCTGGAATGTCCTTTCACTTAGAATCCTATTCAGCCTTATTAGTCAGGTGTGGTGGTGTGCGCCTGTAGTCCCAATAACTTGGGAGGCTGAGGGATGAGAATTGCTTGAACTCGGGAGGCAGAGGTTGTAGTGAGCTGATACCATGCTATTACACTCCAGCCTGGGCGATGGAGTGACACTCTGTCTCAAAAACAACCAAAAAAAGGATCCTATTTATCCTTTAAGACCTCACCCAAACATCACCGTTGTAAAGCCTCGTCAGACTCCCCCAGCAGATTGAGTTGTTCTTTCCTGTGTTCTCACAGCACTCAACTTTTACTCTCTGATGTAGCAGCTGTCCCATTCTGTAGCAGTTGTTTACTTACCTTTTTGTCTGTTCCAGCCTTGAGCTTGTTAGGGAAAAGGATTAGACTTGATTTCTTTCATGTAACCCTAGAGCAGTAGCTGAATGAGTATGAGAAGACCCCATTTGAAATCTGTAGTGCATGAAGAGCCGTCCATCCTGTAGCAATGTGAGACCTCAGACTGATTTGGCATATTTAGTCTCTAGGTCTAAAATCTTTAGATCCTCCTGAATTAATGGAGTAATAACCTTCACATACAGAGAAACCTTGGAGAATATCTAGGTCATTCTAATCCTCTCTTGAATTGCAGACTCCAGCGGGAGGAAGAAGAGGCCTTTGCCAGCAGTCAGAGCAGCCAAGGGGCCCAATCCCTCACATTCTCCAAGTTTGAAGAAAAGAAAACCAACGAGAAGACCCGCAAGGTTACCACAGTGAAGAAATTCTTCAGTGCATCTTCCAGGGTCGGATCAAAGAAGGGTAATGTTCTGATACTCTTTTTTTTCTTCTCTGCCTGAGTGAGACACAGAGGAGATCCCCAATGCTCATAAGCTCAGCTTTGTAATTTCTGTCAACTTTTTGAGAACATCAGCTCAGATTTGACACTGAAATTGGGCTTGAGGGTCAGACAGTATATGAAATCAATACTCTCTTTGGTTGAAAGACATTGTGTTTTAGAGAAATTTGTTTATAGGAGGAATCAAGAGAATTGAAATAGGTACTTTTGCTTATGAAATTCATCCCCATCCAAATGACTATCTCTTTGGATGTTTTGGTTTTTGTGCCTTTATTTGTGGATCCTGGTTTGTTCTGTGGTATAATACCCTCACTGTTCATAGCTTGTCAGAAATGGTGATTTCTAGGCTTGATAGTCATCTGAGAGAGAGATTTTCTGCCTGAGAGCTTATTTGAGAGACAGCTTGTGTCTTGAGGAAGTGTATTGAGAACATATAGGAAAAGGCCCAAGTTGGGCTCTTGGGGGGATGAAAGTGAGCCATAGTAGCTATTTTCCAGTGCATGGATTTGTATGTAGGTGATCATATTCACCCTGCTTTTTAAAATGCCATATAACCAGCAAGAGGATTGTCACTTAAGTCACAGTTGTTCTACCATTGAGCAGACTAGCTAGTTGAAGTGGCCCAACATGAAGCAAGAAAGACTCTTTGTTGTTAGGCCTCAGTCTGTCTTTGAAAATTTATGTTGGTACTCAGAGTTATGCAGTCAAAGCGAAATAATGAGGGAGACTGGGAACCAACACTGATGCTGTCAGAAGACCTGTTCTCTGGGAGCCCCCTCACTTGCTCCCCAGTTCCTACCCTGGGGTAATTGTAATGAGGTCTCCCCTGAAGGCCGGGGAATGAATAATAAGACAGTGTTACTTCTTAAGATACTTGCTGGTCTTCTAGGTTTTGTGACTTTTGCTGTTTCCTTTTGTTTTATTAAAAGGAAATATTGCTCATAACCAAAAACACACCTCTCTTTAAGACATGGATACCAGACCTGGTGCGGTAGCTCAAGCCTGTAATCTCAGCGCTTTGGGAGGCCAAGACAGATGGATTACCTGAGCTCAGGAGTTTGAGACCAGTCTGGGCAACATGGTGAAACCCCGCCTCTACAAAAAATAGAAAAATCATCCAGGCACAGTGGCATGTGCCTGTAGTTCCAGCTGAGGCCAGAAGGCTGAGGCAGGAGAATCATTTGAATCTAGGAGGAGGAGGTTGCAGTGAGCCGAAATCGTGCCATTGCACTCCAGCCTGGGTGACAGAGCAAGACCCTGTCTAAAAAAAGGAAAGAAAAGAAAAAAGATTGATTACATGATTAATTTGAAGTTGTTTCTTGGTTGGCTGCCAGTTGTAGCAATTTTATCTCTACGAAAAAGGGGGGAAAAATTAGTACCTGCCAGAGATTAAATAAGAATGTATTGGGCTCATGATTTATTTATTAGGAGGTGGAATAGCCAGGTAGTAAGGTGACTTTGGAGTCACTCCTGGTTTGAGCCCTAGCTTTGTATTTACCAGCTTTGTGACCTTGGACAGACTAACCTCTCCGAGTCCTGTCCACACTGAGGGACAATAATACCTACCAGAGGCACGTGATGAGGATTCAGTGAGTTAATGCATGTAAAGAGCTTAGCACAGTGCCTGACACACACAGTAGATCTCCAGTAAGTGTTAGCTGTTTTAAAATGCAAGTTATTCTTCTGATAGAATTATCTTGCAGGGAGCACAAGGGCATTTGCTATGAAGAATACTCATTCCTATTTAGCTTAAGGTCTGTTTCTTGATGATATGTAGTGAAATGATAAGTATTTATGATAACAGATGAAATAGTAAAACAAGTATAAAATTATCAGCTCCAATAGCCTCATTTTGCAGAGGACAGTGTGAAAGTCCATAAAGGTTAACTAATTTACCCAAGGTTGCACAATGAGTTTGTGCATGAGAACTCATGTCTCCTAATTCCTGGGTCAATATTTTTCCATTATATTCCTTTATCCAATGTGTATACTTCAGAAGCCCAGGTTAT
This sequence comes from Homo sapiens, assembly GCF_000001405.40. Taxonomy (NCBI): domain Eukaryota; kingdom Metazoa; phylum Chordata; class Mammalia; order Primates; family Hominidae; genus Homo; species Homo sapiens. Next base: position 66,777,440 of record NC_000007.14, read on the forward strand.
TTAATATATATCATAAATAATATATATATATGAAATTAAGTTTCTGTTACTTAAGTACATAATTGTCATTTATATTTGCTAACTCTCCTTGGTGGTTTTAAAAACCTGTGTCCCAAAAGCCTCTGTACAGTGTGCATTATACTATTGAAAGAAAATTTACAATTCAATGCAGAGTCTGTACTTTAAAAAGAAACATTTCTGGAGCTGGGTGCAGTGGCTTCTACCTACCTATAATCCCAGCTACTTGGAAGACTAAGGTAGGAGGATTACATGAGCCCAGGAGTTAGTGGCTGCAGTGAGCTCTGATTGTGCCACTGCACTCCAGCCTAGGCAGCAGAGTGAGACACCAACATTAAAAAAATTAATTAATTAATAAAGAATCCAGGTGAATTTTGTTTTAAAAATATGTATGCAGAATGATTTTTACCTTTGTTCTTGTCTCCCCTCATCCCCCATCTTTTTGAATGATAGATTTGTACTTTAGATTGTTTGTTCTTTAGTTGCTTTTTGTCTGTAGAAAGCTTTGGGGATAAAGACCTTAAAGTATTTTAAAAATTCATGTTAGAAAAGAAGATTCCATTGTATCTTTGTTTCACAGATCACTTAATATAACTTAGCCAGGTAAATTTTGCATTTCACACTGATTACTTTTGTTTGGCCATTGTGTTTGGATAAGATTAGCCTAAGTGCCGTTTTAATGTATTAGGTCTAGACTAGAAACAGACTTTTTGGATTCTGTATTCTTGAATCTTCCTTAGTCCATGATACCCTTGCTGTTGGTGTTTTACTTGCTTCTGTTAGTAGCATAAAGGAAAGTTTTTATGCCATACGTAGCAGCTTGGTAGCAGACAAAATACAAATAACCTTCTAAGGAATTTGAAGAATATCTTCACATTCTTTTAGAGTTGGATACGCCTTCAGAGAAAGTAAATGGAATGTCTTGACTGTAAAGACTCAGTTAAAGTGTTTTAGTCTCTACAGTCAGGGTGAGTGAGCTGTATAGAGGAAGTCATAGTGGTTGACCAAGCTGAGATACTTGCTTATACATTCCAAAGTGCCCTTTTCTTTCAGAACTCCTATAATGTTGTCATTCCAAGTAGAATCTTGTGTACCTCTTTCATGAACGGATCTGAAGACGGTGATTCTCTAAAGCATATCTTTTCATTTTTAGAGTTAAAATACCAATACCACCCAGACCTTAGAAAGTAAACCTATTATTCATTAAAGTGAATCAGGGCTTCTTGGAGAAGTGACTGATTCTGGGGCTAGAGTAGGGAAAAAAGGGCCCCTTCAATATTTTGGGGACATTTCAGAAGATCCAGAAGCCAGCTTGGAGGGGTTTCCACTGGCCAAGTCTGGGATAATTTGAATGTCAAAATAAATAAGGACAATAAGGCCAGGCACGGTGGCTCAGGCCTATAATCCCAGCACTTTGGGAGACCAAGGCAGGCAGATCACCTAAGGTTGGGAGTTTGAGACCAGCCTGACCAACGTGGCACAACCCCGTCTCTACTAAGAATACCAAATTAGTCAGGTGTGGAAGTGTGCGCCTGTAATCCCAGCTACTTGGGAGTCAGAGTCAGGAGAATCGCTTGAACCCGGGGAGTGGAGGTTGCAGTGAGCTGAGATCGTGCCACTCCAGCCTGGGCAACAAAGTGAGACTCCGTCTTAAAAAATAAATAAAATAAAATGAAGAAATCTATAAATAAGGACAATAAATGAAGTATAACTGATTGAACAAAAATCATAATCCGTGTGTTAATTTAGTAAAATAGAGAAATACGGCTGGCACAGGGGCTCACGCTTATGATCCCAGCACTTTGGGAGGCCGAGGCAGGTGGATCACCTAAGGTCGGGAGTTCGAGACCAGACTGGCCAACATGGTGAAACCCTGTCTCTACTAAAAATACAAAAATTAGCTGGGGGTGGTGGCACGTGCCTGCAATCCCAGCTGCTTGGGAGGCTGAGGCAGGAGAACTGTTTGAACCTGGGAGGTGGAGATTGCAGTGAGCCAAGATCGTGCCATTGCACTCCAGCCTGGGCAACAATGTGAGGCCCCCATCTTTAAAAAAAGAAAAAAAAATTAAAAAATTAGCTGGGCTAGTGCCTGTAGCCCCAACTACTTGGGAGGCTGAGATGGGAGGATCATTTGTGCCTGGGAGGTTGAGGCTGCAATGTGCTGTGATCATGCAACCGTACTCCAGCCTGGGTGACAGAGCGAGACCCTGATTAAAAAAAAAAAAAAAAACACCAAAAACACAAGGTGACTTTTAAGTTTAGGAGCAAGCACTTGCTGTTTGAGCCCTAGCCAAAATTATGAACTGTAACGTGGATGAGGTTGTTCTTTTCCATATTTCCTACTTCTTCACTTCTTTCATCTTACACACGGAATCCCTATTGGCTGTTCAAACATAAGTCGCCTCCTCCCTGCATACCGAACACCTGAGCTGTCTCTCACTTTCCCCTCTCTAATCCAAACTTCTGGCCTCTTAGTAGGGATTGATTTTTAGGAAGCTTGGAGAAAAACAACCAAGTGTTGATTTTAGTAACTTGTATGATCATAACTAGCTAGTAGAGTTAATCCTCATTTACATTTTAAAAGGGTTTTTTTTGTTTTAAAGCAAAAGTGTGTCTTTGGAAAAGTATGTGTGGGAGGGAGGCATGTTGTAAGCAAAGCAATAAAGGAAATGAGTAGGATTTTCCTGTGTTTTGACTGGTGTACAGACCTCCAAAGTCAGAGGAGTTGGTGTTCTTCTGAAGAGTCTTCAGTCCTCTGGCTTACTGAGGTAGTTGTACTACCTCATAGTCAGTTGTTAATAGTCAACAGCTCAGGCTTTGGATTTAAGCGCACAGACCTGGGTTCAAATTCCATTCTTTACTATGTAAGTGACTGCAACATTATTCAAGTTACTTAACATATTCAAGCCTCAGCTTCCTCATTTGTAAATATTGTAAGTGTACAACCTGATAGACTTGTGAGGATTATACAAAATAACATTGTAAAAGTACTTAGTGCATAATAGGCATTATCTATATGTAAGTTACTAACATTATTATTTTGTCAGATGGAGTGTTATGTTTTTGTTGGGTTGAGTGTTCTATCAGAGTCAGATAGGTCAAGTTGGTTGATAGCATTGTTCAAGTCTTCTGTCTTTACTGACTTTTTAAAAATCACCTCTCTGTCAATTACTAAATGAGGAATATTGAAATCTCCAAATACTGTGAATTTGTTTCTCCTTTCAGTTCTGTCAGATTTTGTTTTATGTGTTTTGAAGCAGTGTTATTAGTATATATATATTTAGGGTTGCTGTGACTTCTCGAAGAATGAACCTCTTTTTTATGATGAGATGCCCCTTTTTTGTTCTTGGTAATATGGTCCATGTTCTTAAGTTTACTTCGTCTAACATTGGTACAACCACTTAAGCTCTTTTTCATTGTTTCAGAGTATGCTTTTCCTTTCATTAGTATTTAACATATTTGTATTTTTATATTTAAAGTTAATTTCTTACAGACAGCATGAAGTGGGGTCTTGTTTTTTTAACCTAATCTGATAATCTCTGACATTTTATCAGACTGTTTATAGCACGTATATTTAATGTGATTTTTGATAAGGGAAGGTTTACCCCTGCCATCTTGCTGTTTGTATTTATCCCAACTTGTCTTAGTTCCTTTTCTCTTCTTTTCTTGCCTTCTTTATGACCACATCTTTATCTCCACTATCAGCTTGTTAGCTATACCTCTTTGTTCTGTTTTGTTTTTGTTACTGGTTGTTCTGGGGTTTACAGAATACATCTTTAACTTACCTACCTTCAAGTAGTATTATATCACTTTATAGAAAAAAGAAAAAAAAATTAAAACAGTAGTGTTATACCACTTTACATAAAATAATCTTAGACGGGAATTTTTAAATGTAATTTATTATTATTTATCTATTTTTATTATACTTTAAGTTCTGGGTTACATGTGCAGAATGCAGTTTTGTTACATAGGTATATACGTGCCCTGGTGGTTTGCTGCACCCATCAACCCATCACCTACGTTAGGTATTTCTCCTAATTAGGTTATCCCTCCCCTTGTCCCCCACCACCCAATAGGCCACGGTGTGTGATGTTCCCCTCCCTAAACAGGATTCTTATGTTTCTTCCTCCCATCCTTTGTGCTGTGGTTCTACACGTTACTTGGTGGTTTTTCTCTCATCTTGGGTAGTTTCCTCATACACATGTGCGGTAGTCAGCCACACTCAAGGGAACCCTCTGCAGATACCTGCAGCTTTTTCTATGTAGCCCTCTCCCCTCCGTAGTGTTTGCATGATATTTTGCCATGCAAATTCTGGTCACATTGGCCTCCGTGAACTCCAAATGCTATCTGCTCAATTCAGCAAGTCAGCTAGGCTCTGTTTGAGTGGCCTCTCCCTGTGCCAAGACTTTAAAACTCTCCCAGCAGTGAGCTGGGACACTCTAGGACAGACTCTGTTTGTTTCCCTTCTTTGAGGAGTTAATCTGCTGTTTGTCTGTCATCCAGTGTCTGAAAACCTTTTGTTCATATTTTTGTCTGACCTTCCAGTTGTTAAGATAGTAGAGTAAACCTGAATGCCATCAGAGTATTCCATCATGACTAGAAGCAGAATTATTAGAGAAGGATTCACTTTCAAACACTAAAGAATTTTTTTCTAATCATACCGATGTCAACACAATCTTTGGTTTTCCATTGAGATAAAAAATATTTTAGAAAAGATGTTGCATTTTTTGTTTTAAATTAGATTGTACCTGATTTATTTATGTACTTAAAACATAGTATATCCAAATGGTTCTAGCATAAGAGGTATGGTCAGAAGTTTCCTTTCTAGTTTGTCTCTTGCCCATCTAGTTCCTAAGCACCACTGCTTTGTTTCTCCCACTTTCAGACAACTTTTGTTACTAGTTTCTTGTGTATCCTTTTGTGCTTTTATTCTGAGTTATAAACACATATATTCTTATCCCACTACCCCCTATTTTACATAAAACATAGCACAGTGTACATACCTTACTTTTTTTTTTTTTTTGGAAGAGACAAGGTCTCATTCTTTCGCCCAGGCTGTGGAGTGTAGTGGGATGATCTCGTAGCTCACTGCAGCGTCAAACTCCTGGGCTCAAGCGATCCTCCTGCTTTAACCCCCACAAATAGCTGGCACTATAGGTATGCACTACCATGCCTGGCTAATGTTCTTACTTTCTGTAGAGAGAGCAGCTACTCGGAGACTTGAGTAGCTCAGTAGGAGAATCGCTTGAACCTGGGAGGTGGAGGTTGCAGTGAGCTGAGATCATGCCACTGCACTCCAGCCTGGGCGACAGAGCAAGACTTCGTCTCAAAAAAAAAATAAAACATACTTTTAAAAAAATTATTTTTTCGTTTTGGAAATCATTGGGATATGGGGAACTTAATTTCCTTATAAACATTAGAGAGCATAGTTCAAAATCAGGAGGCTTAGAATGTGGTCAAAGACCAAGTGGTAGTTCATACTTTCTGAAAGCACTTACTGCCTGTTACAACATCCTTATGTCTCTTGTGTAAATGTCCCATTTTCCTTTCAGTGTGTTTATTTGAAGAGGGGAAAGAATTGTCTGCCCAGCCGGTGGGATAGTGTAGTGCATGTTTCCCTTGTCTCTTCATTGTATGCTTTGTTGTGTTTATCATGCTATTAATACTTTGGATGCGTTCTTTCACTTTGATCAGTATGACTCACCAACGAAATGGTGGGTAAATAATTGTGAGTCTCCACATAAACACATTAACCTTTGCTTTTTTCTCAAGTAAAATGGGATTTGGAAAGGTTGTCTGACATTTATAAGTCATTTAACATGTCAGTGCTTCTATTGATTGTTATTCTATTTGTTGACTAGTTTTATAAACTCCAGCAGTCTTTGAGAAGCCTAGTGGTGCCATTTCAGTGTTCATGATTGAATATATAGATCAAAGTGTGATAGATTTTGGCAAAGAAAATACTAATAGAACAACTTTTATTTCAGTAGGAATATCTTTTAGATAATGTAGTTTTGTCTACTCATACTTCCTACTTGTAAAACAGATTTAGTTTACTTTAAGGAAAGTTGTCCAACCATTCAAACATAAAATTATTTAAATTCAAGTTTAACTTTGATGAAACATAATTTAAATAACCTTAGGTAAGATACTTAAAGTAATTCCATGCATGGATCTTTTATGTCATGAAACTTACTATGTTTAATTTTCCCAGCAGAAATTCAGGAAGCAAAAGCTCCCAGTCCTTCCATAAACCGGCAAACCAGCATTGAAACGGATAGAGTGTCTAAGGAGTTCATAGAATTTCTCAAGACCTTCCACAAGACAGGCCAAGAAATCTATAAACAGACCAAGCTGTTTTTGGAAGGAATGCATTACAAAAGGGTAGGTTGAGAATAACCACGTAGAAACATAGAGTTTTGGTTTGAGGAAAGGTCTTAGAGATAATATAGTGCAACCTTGTCATTTTATGCCTGAGAAAAATCCAGACCAAGAGATGTTAAATTACTTACCTAAGAAAAGCCTCTGAATCAAGCTAAAACCCAACTCTTAGGCTAGTACTTTTCCACTGCAACTCAGTGGTGTTTGGATCATCTTTGTGTGGAAATTCTGACCTGAAGCCACTTGAATTATGTGCTTTAGTAACAGGCCTTTTTGACTTGTGACCTTGTAAATAGTATAAACTGCGATAGTAGACCTTTAACTCTGTGCAACCATTGTTAGGCCAGTGGCAGTAATTTTAAGGGTTGTTGTTGTTGAATTCTGTTTTGTTTTTTGTATTTTGATTTTGAATTTTTTCATTCAGTTAGAGAAAGGACAGATAGAATTTAGACAATGAAAGGGACTTTAGCAACTATGGAGTTTCAGTCCCTTTATTTTATAGATGAGGAAGTTGAGAGCCAAAGAGGATAAGTGACTTGTCCAAGGTTACACAGCTAGATTTTGCCAATGTCAACCAGAACTTGTGATTTCCACACCTGTTTCTTTTACCCATAATTTCAGTGGCAATAATTAATAAGACTGCCTGTAAAGGAATTCATTTTGTAAATAGGGATTAATTCTGTTGTAACATTCTATAACCATTAAACTCAGAATTAGCTCTGAAAGTTCCTTCTATGCAGTAAGGAAGTCTTAGAAAGAAAAAGGAAATTAGAAAAGCAGCAGGGTGTTTAACTGTTTAGCTATATTCTAGCTGGGGTCAGCAATCACTAGGCTAATAAGCAGTGGACTTGTGTCAAAATAATTTTTAGATATTGAATTCAGTTTGTAAAGGAGAAAAGCTTGCTTTCTCGCCCTTCAGAAATGTAATTAGACTGTGTAAGTAAGTAGCTGTCTTTCTCTAGGTATTTTTTCTCTCTAGAGTAAAACATTTAGAGTCAAAACAAGTGAGCTGTTATTGTTTTTTTTTTAAGTTAGGAAACATGATAGATATCCTTAATATGGAACAATTCAGAGTTCATATGACACCATCTTTCATTTTTATCAGAACTAAAAACTGAGGTTTTGTATTTATTTTTTTCTTGAGCCCACATGAAATGTTCACGGGATAGCTATATTAAGTTAGTGTATGTATACTGTAGTACATATAGCATGTATGCTGTATAATATGTTTTAGAAAATTGCTCAACTCAGATTTGGTATTTTTCTTTTGCTCAGAAGTGTGATGTGTTCTTACTCTGTAATAATTTAGTAGACTTCTAAATGAGTATACTAAAGTAAAGAGGTAATTAACTGGTACAAATATCACAATGCCTATTTGTAAGGCATCACTAGTTTATATCAGAGACCTGCATATGGCCTCAGATTCCTCCTGTTTTAAGAGCCACTAAGCCACCTATTTTCCATTTCTACACTATGTGTTTCATGGTTAGGTGGCCAAGTCCTATGCATGTATCTCAGGTATCTTTAGTGTGAAGTCTGCACATACCATATATGAAAGAGATGTTTTTTAAACTGAATGTCCCTAGAGAAGCCCTTTTGGCCTTTGTCTGCAAGTTAATGTCCTTTCAAATAAATAAATAAACACTCTTTACACCTGAACTAACATAACTAGCTTCAGATCACTAATCATATAAATTTCTTGGGGCAGTTCCTCTGAAGTTGTGAAGAATGTGGTAGTATAAAATAGCCTTTGTGGCCGGGTGCGGTGGCTCACGCCTGTAATCCCAACATTTTGGGAGGCCGAGGCAGGCGGATCACAAGGTCAGGAGATAGAGACCATCCTGGCTATCACGGTGAAACCTTGTCTCTACTAAAAATACAAAAAATTAGCTGGGCGTGGTGGCAGGCGCCTGTAGTCCCAGCTACTTGGGAGGCTGAGGCAGGAGAATGGCGTGAACCTGGGAGGCGGAGCTTGCAGTGAGCGGAGATTGCACCACTGCACTCCAGCCTGGATGACAGAGCGAGACTCCATCTGGGGGGGAAAAAAAAAAAGTCTTTGTACTCAGTTCTTCAAAACTGCGCAAAACCTTTAAATTAATGTTATTACCACCAACTAAACTTTCTAGATGGTATCCTAAGGGCCTATGCAATATGAAAATCCATTCTTACCTGTTTAAAAACTGCCCAGTCAGCCTTGCCATAAATGGATAATTGTTCCTACTGCATCCCACAGTATTATTCTTTCTAAAATTTCTGAGATCCAGGAGAGTGATCTGCTCTTGCCCACATCTTTCCCACATCATTTCTGTTTTCTCCAAGCCCTGTATATGCCGGTGGTGAGCAGCCTTTTCAGCATATGGGTCAAGTCTAGAAAATTAAATCTTTTCCGAACTGCATTAAAATTTTTAAGCCATTTTATCTTTATCAAGAAACACCTTGTCTACACTAAGATGTTTTTTGTTTTTAGAATTTAAATTTCAGCACCTACGTAATTTTCATACCCACTGCAGTATGGCAGTATAATGCTTTACTATGCAACACACTTCTCTTTCTTTCCTTTCCTTTCCTTTTCTTTCTTTTTTTGAAGCAGTGTGTTGCTCTATCTCCTGGACTGGAGCACAATAGCGCAGTTGCTGCTCACTGCAGACTTGACCTCCCAGACTCAAGTGATCCTCCTGCCTTAGTCTCCTGAGTAGCTGGGACTAGTGGCACACACCACCATGTCTGGCTGAGTTTTTTATTTTTTGTAGAGACAGGGTTTCCCTATGTTGCCCAGGCTGGTCTTGAATTCCTGACCTCAGGTGATCTTCCCAACTTGGCCTCCCAAAGAGCTGGGATTATAGGTGTGAGCCACCGCGCCCAGTGCTATTCAGCAAATGTTGTTTGCTAATATTTTTCTGAAGCTTGTTTATTTTGCTCTTTTTTCTTTCTTGCTAGTCTTACTAGCCACTTAATGTTAAAACATGTATACTCTTACAGTACTTCTATACATTCTTTAAAACAAGATATTTCCATTGCAAATGAGACGGGCAGCTATGTCATTAACACAAAATCCTTTTATGTTGAAAATATAGTTGCCATCAGCTACTTTTCTGTTCTTACAAATCATCATAGCAAGAATTTAAATTGCTGAGCCAAATTAATAAAGCTTAATTTTTAAAACCTAATCTGTACAACATAACTTGAATTATTATTATTTCTTTTTGAGATAGGAGTCTTGCTCTGTTGGCCAGGCTGGAGTGCAGTGGTGTGATCTCTGCTCATTGCAGCCTTTACCTTCCAGGTTCCAGTGATCGTCCTCCCTCAGCCTCTCGAGTAGCTGGGATTACATGCATGTGCCACCATGCCCAGATAATTTTTACTTTTTTTTTTTTTTGTAGACACAGGATTTCACTATGTTGGCCAAGCTAGTCTTGAACTCCTGACCTCAAGTGGTCTGCCCGCCTTGGCCTCCCAAAATCTTGGGGTTACAGAAGTGAGCCACCATGCCTGGCCTGATTTTTTTTTTTTTTTTTTTTTTTTTAAGATAGAGTCTTGCTCTGTTGCCCAGGCTGTAGTGCAGTGGCGTGATTTCGGCTCACCCCAACCTCTGCCTCCCAGGTTCAAGCAATTTTTATGCCCCAGCCTCCCGCATAGCTGAGATTACAGGTGTGCACCACCATGCCGAGCTAATTTTTTGTATGTTTAGTAGAGATGGGGTGTTACTCTGTTAGCCAGGCTGGTCATGAACTCCTAGCCTCACATGATCCGCCCACCTTGGCCTCCCAATGTGCCGGGATTACAGGATTGAGCCACAATACCTGGCCTAACTTGAATTTAAGAATCTCACCTTAACCAAGCTTCACACAGGTCTGAGAGTGATTATGGATTCAGGAGTATATATAGTCACTTATGAAGAGGTATACATTCTCTTTGTCATCTGGACAGAGCTTCATGTGGTGAGGGCAATTTTAAGGCACTGTATAGACCCAATCAAGTGTTAACCTTTCCCATAATAACTAGAAAACCATATTACCTAACTGAATGAGATCTGTGGCTTTGTAAATAACTTTTTTCTGTAAATTATTTATATGAAAACGCTCACTGTAAGACACATGTTTAGACTGCAATTAAATAAAAGTAAATAAAACTTCTGGAAAAACTCTTTTGCTGCTCAAACTATTTAAATCCTGCCCTTGCTAAGTGTTAATAAATCCCTCAGATACATTTTTTCCCTATTCTGAAAGTGTAGCTTGTCCTGCTTTTAAAGGGGGCAGGCTCTACTTCCTCAAAGTACCTACCCTTTAATTTGTTGGGTATTGCAGTAGTGCTTTTTAATAAACTTGGGGCTGGGCGAGGTTGCTCACACCTGTAATCCCAGCACTTTGGGAGGCTGAGGTGGGTGGATCACGAGGTCAGGATTTCGAGACCAGCCTGGCCAATATGGTGAAACCCTGTCTCTACTAAAAATACAAAAATTAGCTGGGCATGGTGGCGCTCGCCTGTAGTCCCAGCTACTCGGGAGGCTGAGGGAGAAGAATCACTTGAACCCAAAAGGTGGGGTTGCAGTGAGCTGAGATCATGCCACTGCACTCCAGCCTGGGCAACAGAGCAAGACTCCATCTCAAAAAAAAACAAAAAACAAAACAAAACAAAACACCCCTCATTTTTTGGGTTTCTCAATTCAGTTATTTTTATTTTTTTAATTTGTATTAGTCCCTTAATACTCCATTCATGGCAATCAATTCAGTTTCTAAAAGACTTCTTAATAGTCATTCTGATAAGCTCTTCTTTCTAAGGAAGCAGTTAAGCACAACATAACACCTTTTGCTTGTTTCATTGTTATTTTTCTAGCCAGTCCTATAAAAATCTGATACTGAGCTGGGCACAGTGGCTCACGCTTGTAATCCTAGCACTTTGGGAAGCCAATGCGGGTGGATCACCTGGCCAACATAGTGAAATCCCGTCTCTACTAAAAATACAAAAAATTAGCTGGGCGTGGTGGCGGGTGCCTGTAATCCCAGCTACTAGGGAGGCTGAGGCAGGAGAATCACTTGAACCTGGGAGGCCAAGGTTGCAGTTAGCCAAGGTCGCGCCATTGTACTCCAGCCTGGGCAACAAGAGCAAAAAAACTCTGTCTCAAAAAAAAATAATAATAATAATCTGATACTGATTATATTATATGGACTTAAAGCTTTGTACCTGAATGAGGACAAAAAAATACACAGTTTAAGACATGGTTATATCTTCAGTCCCATGTTCTTTCCCAGAACAAGTAGAAAGATAAGTGTCCTCCTATACCTTAAAATGACTCTATTGTTGTAAACTATATATTTAATCAAGGAGTAGTTTGCCCTGCCACGTAATTTACTGTCAGAAGAACAGAAGTATGTACCCAAAACAAAGAACCTTTAACTAGCAAATAGGCTTTAATTATTGTGAGAACTTCAGCAGGGGTAGCAACCCAGGACCTAATTTTAAAACTGGAAGCACTGAGGATGAGAAGTGAGGCAGTGGAAATAGCTCTGAGCTCTCAGCATCTATAAGTCATAAGGAAAAAAAGTAGATAAAAGATGTATTTGAGGCCGGGTGCGGTGGCTTACGCCTGTAATCCCAGCACTTTGGGAGGCTGAGATGGGCGGATCACAAGGTCAGGAGATCGAGACCATCCTGGCTAACACGGTGAAACCCCGTCTCTACTAAAAAATACAAAAAATTAGCCAGGTGTGGTGGCGAGCACCTGTAGTCCCAGCTGCTTGGGAGGTTGAGGCAGGAGAATGGCGTGAACCCGGGAGGCGGAGCTTGCAGTGAGCCTAGATCACGCCACTGCACTCCAGCCTCAGCATCGGAGCGAGACTCTATCTCAAAAAAAAAAAAAAAAAAAAAAAAAAGATGTATTTGATAATTATGTTGAGTGAGTAAAAATAATTAAAAATGTTTCATAGAAGCACATAGTGATAGGCGAGGGGAAACTTAAATCATCATCCTGGGGCAGCCGTGGTGGCTCCATGCGTGAGGCTGGTGCCATGCAGTCTCCTGGTGTTGGCATTGTCTCCCAGCCTTCTCAGTTCTGCACACAGCTACAAAACAAAAGAACAGTTGCCAGCACTTGGAAGAGGATGTGGATCCAAACCAAATGGAGGACAGATACTCCCTCTACGGACAAGATACTCATGGAAGAAGTCAAGTTAGAAGAGCAGCTGAAGGAGGCTGTAGAAGAAGATAAGCAAGCATTGGCAGATACTGAGGACTTGCAGCAGATCAGCCAAAAATTGGTGGAGGAGGCAAATATGTATAGCATTCAGGGCTTCTGCAAGGACTCGTTAGAGGTTGCAGATGTTTTGGAGAAGGCAACACAGTGTGTTCCAGAAGAAGAAATTAAAGACAATAACCCTCACCTGAAGAACCTCTGTGAAACTCTCAACAATGAGTGGAGTCCAGATTCAGGAAGTGTTCAGCAAGCACTGCCAAGCTGAACCCTGTCAGAGCCAAGTTCCACCCTTATGCGCATGAGGTCTTTTTTTCGTCTTTCTTCACATGCGACAGGCAATGTGCCAGTGTTGTAACAAGGTTTGAGGGAGGCATATCTCACACATGAAAACCCAGCGTGAAAACCCAGTCATCACACTTATGAACTACAGGAAGATCTAGCATGAGGTCTTGTTCCACATGCTGGTTTAGGGGAAAGAGCTGAGCCCAGTGGTTCTAGTTACAAAAGTGAGGTTCAAGCATGGGCAGCCCCTTAGCGCCGCCCTTGTTGATGAGGTGAAGGAAGCTTAGCTGCCTCTTACAAGATTTTCTTTTCTTTAAATCACTTGCCGTAGTTCATGAAAAGCTGGTTGATGTTTTTTCATCTAAATACTTTTGACTTTCCCTAAGGCTGTTGGAAAGCAGAAGTAACCAGTAGGTAAACAGAAAAGTAAGCTGATCTCACAGTTGCATTAATGAACTCCTATTCAGGAATGTGTTCTCTGATTTTTAGTACCGCATGTTTAATAATTCCACTTACTTAGTAAAAAAGGCCAATAGGACACTACAGGTCTTCTAGAGTTCATGAATCACGCTGTATCTGCTCAGACTCTAGTGACATCAAAGTATTTTAAATGAACAAAATGTCTTTGGGAATTCTGCTTTTTGGCAATCTGGACCCTTCTGTCTGCACTGTGTGTCTCTTGTGCAACTTGTAACATGGGAGTTACTGGATTTCTTAGCCCACTACACATTTCATTCAATAAAGGGAAAGCAAGGGTTGAAACATTTCTTACGCTAAAAATAATTTCATGATGACCTTTATGAAGAACATATGCGTTCCTTAGACACTGTCTAGCTGCTAAAAATGACGGATTTCTGGCTTTTTTGTTTGTTTTTGGAGATGCAAAATGAGCATATGTATCTTAACGGTTCCCATCACCTTTATTTTGCCAGTAATTGAATTTGACACAGTTAGTTTTGCCCTGTTTTCTTCATCTAAATGTGGAAATGTTTAAGTCTGTATTCTACTAGTTACTAATGACCTCAAGATATACTCCCTGGTGAGATGGACTTTCTCAGAATATGAGGACTGCATGCTTGGCACACTTTAAATGTGTGTTTCATTTTTAAAGAGGATTAAAGCCCTCATATGGTTCTTTTCCTTTAAAAAATTATTGAAGGCAGCACAAATTGGTAATACAAAAAAATATGGACATGAAAGCTAATACCTAAATAGATTAAGCAGTTAACAGCAGTACAGACAAAACTTAATGAACCCATAAAATAGAATGTGGCAATTCACATTGAAATGATGGAAGTTCTGGATGAAATACACAGAAAACATAGGCAAGGAAAATAGTCAAAGGTTTTCAAAACTGGAAGTGGAAACAAAGATCTCAGCCAGACTGTTAAGAAAGTGTATAGAGTGCCTCTCAGCATAATGTTCAAAGATAGACATCCACTTGTCAATGTCTTAATCACAGAGTAAAAATTTATTTTAGAAAAATAAAACGACAACTTTACTCAGATGTTATAGAAAAGATGCCAGGTGCGGTGGCTCACGCCTGTAATCCCAGCTCTTTAGGAGGCCGAGGAGGATGGATCACGAGGTCAGGAGGTCAAGACCAGCCTGGCCAAGATGGTGAAACCCTGTCTCTACTAGAAATAAAAAAATTAGCTGGGCGTGGTGGCACATGCCTGTAGTCCCAGCTACTCGGGAGGCTGAGGCAGGAGAATTGCTTGAACCTGGGAGGCGTAGGTTGCAGTGAACTGAGATCACGCCACTGCACTGCAGCCTGGCGACAGAGCGAGACTCCATCTCAAAAAAAAAAAAAAAAGATTATAGAAAAGATGATCCCGTACAATGATTAGAGAGTACTTGAGGTAAAGGATTTACTCACTGCTCTACTATCTTTTTTTCTTGGAAAATTATGACAAACCTTTTGGAGTTTTGTAGAGCCTAAAAGAACTTACCAACACAAACCTGCCCTCACTTTGCCCCTTTGGCAAACACTGTGAGGGGCCTGAGAGTTACCTTATTTGCAGGCTAACAAATTAACCTGCCATGGTTTCACAGATACTGGCCAAAGACACGAGTCTCCTGGGTCAGAGACAAAGGCCAGTTTCTTACAGCAGTAGCAGTAGCCAGAGCATTTGCATTTGTGCTTATCCCCGAGTATCTGTTCCTATAGGATAATGCAGAGAAGACCAGGGAAAGCCTGTGCATGCAGTGAGTTGTATTAGAGGAGAGGAACCTTGGATTTAGGGATCCTTATTAGACAGTAAGCAGTCTACCCTTTTCTCTTGAAGGAGGCACTATCTCTGTCTCCTAAAGCTGTTTTCTATAAAGAAATCCTTGAAAAGATGTTGCAAAACAAAGGCAGTCATTGCCTTTGCTCACAGATAGGTAGAAAGAGATCTATGGAGAATTGTCTTCAGCATCTTATAAAGGGAGGAATGGTAATAAATGGCCACATTTATTCATTCAACCCATACTGAGCACTAACCCTGTGCCTGGCCTTGTTCTAGGCATGAGGATATGGTGGTGAACAGTGCCCTTGTGGAGCTAACATTTTAGTTGGGGAAATGGACAATAAGCAGATCTGTAACATAGTGTTAAGTCCTACAAGAATGGAAAGCAGGATGAGAGACAGTGGCAGGGGTGAGTTCTTTTACATTATGAAAGCAATACTGTACTGGAGCATAAACTGCAGTAGAAATAGAAAAGGAGTTTTCGGCATTGTATTGTAAAATTACAGGGGTTGTGCTGGGCTGGGGGAGGAGAATATGATCCCTTGACACCAGTAAGACAGGCCTCTCGGGTCTCTAAAAGGAGCTCAGAGAGTTTCTAGTTGGAAGCGAGCACTACAGGTTGAGTATCCCTTATCCGAGAGCCTTGGGACCAGAAGTGTTTCAGATTTTGGGGTTTTCCCAGATTTTGGAATATTTACACATATATAAGATAACTTGGGACTGGGACCCAAGTCCAAACACAGAATTCATTTGTTGAATATATGCCTTACATACATAGCCTGAAGGTAATTTTATACCACATTTTAAGCAGTTTTGTGCATGTAACAGTTTTGGCTGCTTTTTGACTCTAGCCCATCATCACATGAGGCCAGGTGTGGAATTTCCCACTTGTGGTGTCATGTCGACACTGACAAATTTGGGATTTTTGAGCATTTCAGATTTTTTATTTTTGGGTTAGGAATGCTCAAATCTGTAGTAATAATCACAAGAATGAATATAGTTTCTTCTAAGTTAAGTGCTAAAATTTGGTGCAAATGAAAGGTGTAAAACCATGTGTAAACTACCTAAAAAGATTGAATGGATAAGCTTTTGCATAAAATACTTGAAGTAGAAGGATAGATTTGAGCACTGCAGTGTGTGCATGTATATGGGTAACTAGTTGACAGTAACAAGGGCTGCAGTCAAGGTGATCACAAAGTGCCATGAGTGCTTGGCCATTTTTACTGAGGGAATGAGGTGACTGCTCCTGACCCCAAGTGTCCTGCCATCCTTTTAGAGTTAAGCCAGATGGTCAGACTGCTGTGGGCTTCCACAGGATGTATCGGCCCTTGGCGTGTGAGGTCAGTGGCCTGTGTAGATGAAGTCTGTGACAGCCCGTCCTGGGGGTTTGTTCTCGGCCTTATTCATGTTCTTCTACTGTGACATCCTTATGAGAACCGTTGGGAGAAATTTTTGATTTTGGTGTCAGAATTTCACCCGAATAATTTGTTTGCTTTCATCTTTTGAACCCTGAATTACATAACTGTTTTCATCCTAGTGATGGTTGCTAAAAAATTTAGTTAGAGACAGATGTATGGGCTGACTCTTGACTAATTTAGACATCTTCCAGGAAAACATTTCTGTCTTGTCATCTGTGGCTCTGCTTTAGGTCTCTCTCCATGTTTAATTTTTTTTTTTTTTTTTTTTTTTTTACTTATTATTGTTAAAAAAATTTTTTAATTTCTTTCTTTCTCTTTCTTTCCTTTCTCTCCTTTCTCTCCCCTTTCTTTCTTTCCTCTTCTCTTTTCTTTTCTTTCTTGAGATGGGGTCTCACTATGTTGCCCAGGCTGGCCTCAAACTCCTAGGCTCAATCGATCCTCTAGCCTCAACCTCCCAGAGCACTGGGATTACAGTTATTTGTTATTCTTTTTATTTTCTAGTCTCTTGTGCTGAACTGCATTTATCTTTTAAATAGCCTTTAAATATTCTTTGGCAGAAAGTGAGAAACAAATACATATATTACACCTATAAAATCAGTAAAACCAAATAAAAATTATCAAGCCCAATGTTGTAAGGGCCATAGGGAAGTAAGTGCATACACGTGGTTAATGACAGTGTGCACTGAGTTTCTGAGGAGTGTGGCTAGCAATAGATACTTAGTGCTATAACATTGTTTATTCATATTAAGCGGTTAATGCCACTTTTGGAAATGTATGACAGAGAACCGAAAAGAAGATAGTCCTTACAAAATTATTTATACCTACAGTGCACAACAGTGAAAGAGGGGGAGCAACTCAAATGCACAGTGGTAGAGGAGAGTCGAAGAAGTCAGTTAATATAATGCAGTGTTATAAAGCCACCAGAAATGATTCAGTGGATTAGATAAATAGAAATGTACATAAAATATGTAAATTATCAAAACATGCATTAAATCTATTTAAGAATACGTAGATTTAGCAAAAAGAATGAGATGGTCATGGTGAGACCGCTAGGTGGGAAGGGGTCCCCGGAAAAACTCCAGCCAGCCTGCCCACCGGGGTGGAGTTTTGGGAAGTTTGCACCATTTGTAGCAGGGAGGAGCCTGGCCCCTCTTCTTTCTGTGTGGAGCCCAGGATTCTAGCTGCTGGCAGGAAGCACTCTAGCAGGGACTCTGGCCTTGTGAGTGTCTCGGATTCCCCCTTTTCTTCCTTTTCACCTAATAAAACCCTGTCTTACCCACCATTCAAACCGCCTGCGAGCCTAAATTTTTGTGGCTGTGAGACGGACAAGGATCCCGTCTTTAGCTGAACTAAGGAAAAGTCCGGCAACAATGGATATTGGAAATAATATTAATGGATAGGTTTTACTCTCCTGCAGGATTAATATAACCTGTGAGTACTTTTAGGCTTACTACCAGTACAAGGAATGGCTTTTGGAAAGTTCTTAGAATGTAGAGCTGTGCTTCTGCACTTTGTTCAGCTACAAGCAGCCTCTTTGTCTCTCTGTTTCAGGATCTAAGCATTGAAGAACAGTCAGAGTGTGCTCAGGATTTCTACCACAATGTGGCCGAAAGGATGCAAACTCGTGGGAAAGGTAACACTGTTAGCCATTGAGAGATTGCGGGTATTGCACAGGGATGACTGCTCAGTCTCTTAGCAATTTCTTTCTTTCTCTGATGGTCTGGCTGGTTTGTAGACTTCATCCTGTAACCTCATGGACATTCTGGGAACTGGTCTTATACTTAGCAGTGCCTTTGAACTGTACCATGCGTATCTTTCCAGGAGCAATTGGATAATTTATTGAGTAACATTTAATAACTCCATTGGGGCAGGGCTGGAGCTGACGAAAACATCTTAGGGCCTGGCTCAGTAGCTCATGCCTGTAATCCCAGCACTTTGGGAGGCTAAAGCAGGCGGATCACGTTAGGCCAGGAGTTCGAGACCAGCCTGGCCAACATGGTGAAACCCCGCCTCTATTAAAAATACAAAAAGTAGCCGGGTGTTGTGGTGCACCTCTTATCCCAGCTACTCGGGAGGCCGAGGCACAAGAATTGCTTGAACCCGGAAGGCGGAGGTTGCAGTGAGCTGAGACTGTGCCACTGCACTCCAGCCTGGGCAACAGATCGAGACTCTGTCTTCAAAAAAGAGAGAGAGAAAGAGAAAAACTTATTGGAAGGCTTTGCTAAATGAATTTTCCATCTTGGAATCACCATTTTGGTGAGTTATTGTATTAATAGTTTAAAAAAAAAAGAGCTTCAAGTTTTTAGGGATTCTTTATGGATTCAACCTTCACTGATACTAGACTTTAGGATATACTTAGCACATGTGTGTGTCAGAGAAATCTCCATTTGTATACCTCAGAGAGCTCTACGATGTTATGGTAAACCTCAGAAAAATGAAAGGATAAGTTTCATCAGCATTCATCAGTCTTGGGAGTTGCAAATGCCTTTGTAATGTAGGACAGGGAGTGACCTTGCTGAAGTCTCCCCATTTGGCAGGGTGTACACTGTTAGGTCCTGTCAGACAACTTCAGTTAGAACTGAGGTTGCTGTGGAAGGCAGCCCAACAGTTGGAAGAAGATTTTTTTGTTTGTTTGTTTGTTTGTTTTTGTCGAGACAGAATATCACTCTGTCGTCCAAGCTGGAGTACAGTGGTGTGACCTCGGCTCACTGCAACTCTGCCTCCCAGGTTCAAGTGATTCTCCTGTCTCAGCCCCCGAGTGGCTGGGATTACAGGTGCGTGCCACCACACCCAGCTAATTTTTGTATTTTTATTAGAGAGGAGATTTCACCATGTTGGCCAGGCTGGTCTTGAACTCCTGACCTCAGGCGATCCACCTGCCTCAGCCTCCCAAAGTGCTGGGAATACAGGAGTAGAGCCACCGCACCCAGCTGGTAAGTTTTTTTTTTAAGCGTATTTTTAAATATAACATTCTTATACTTTTGTTCTGAGTGTGTTTAATTTATTTCTAGTAAATTAGTTTTTTGCTGTGTAGACAGTGCTATGAAAATATACTCTTGGCCGGGCATTCTGGCTCACACCTATAAACCTAGTACTTTGGGAGGCTGAGGCAGGTAGATTGCTTGAGCCCAGGAGTTCGAGACCAGCCTGGGCAACATGGTAAAACCCCATCTCCACAGAAAAAACCTACAAAAATTATTCAGGCATGGTGGCGTGTGCCTGTGATCCCAGCTACTTGGGAGGCTGAGGTAGGAGAATGGCTCGAGCCCAGGAGGTGGAGGTTTCAGTGAGCCAAGGTCATGCTGCTGCACTCCAACCTGGGCGACAGAGCCAGACTCTTTGTTTGCAAAAAAAAAAAAAAAGAGAGAGAAAAAATATATATATCTTGATCTTTTCTCTGTCTGGTTATTTCAGTGCCTCCAGAAAGAGTCGAGAAGATAATGGATCAGATTGAAAAGTACATCATGACTCGTCTCTATAAATATGTATTCTGTCCAGAAACTACTGATGATGAGAAGAAAGATCTTGCCATTCAAAAGAGAATCAGGTAGTTGCTTATTTTGTTTTGCTTTGTAGTTACTACCTTCTAATGGAAGAACACACTGGGGGGAAAATAATGCACCTGTGTTTCAAACCTTAAGGGAAAGCAATAGCTCATGTTCCTGCTTCCTTAGAGTGGAAGCAGCTCTGTTGTGTAAGAAAGACGAGGAATGTGGTGACCTCACCTATCCATCTCCCTCAAGGCAGCTTTTGGTAAGAGTTGTGTTTGGTGTTTGAGATTGTTTTCAATCCCTGAAATCTCCAAGGAATAGGGGGACTGTGTTCTTGGTCCATTACCATCTCCTCAAGTGGGAAGCTGTGAATATCGGTATCAAGGCAGGGGATGTCGGCTGGGCCCGGTGGCTCATACCTGTAATCCCAGCACTTTGGGAGGATCACTTGAGGCCAGGAGTTCAAGAGTAGCCCAGGCAACGTGGTAAAACCCCGTCTCTACTAAAAATACAAAAATTAGCCAGGCATGGTGGCGCACGCCTGTGATCCCAGCTACTTGGGAGGCTAAGGCACGAGAATGGCTTGAATCCAGGTGGCAGAGGTTGCAGTGAGCTGAGATCATGCTACCACACTCCAGCCTGGGCAACAGAGCAAGACTCCTTCTCAAAAAAATAACAAGTCAGTAGATGTCCTCTTTCCTCATTCCTCCCAGGGGTGTGCATTTTTCAGCATTCCCTAGTCACATCTTTCACTGGCATTGGATTGATGACATTTCCCACAGCACCCAGTCTTCCAGGCTCACTGGGGTGAGCCCCAGCACTGTGTACTCCAGTTGCGGTGGACACTGAGGAAGAGACCACCCAAGTGTGGGAACAGGGCCAAGGCTGAGCTGATGAGGTGTTTTAAGGGGAGAAGGGACTCGGAGTCCCAGGTTCCAGACAAGGGGCTGGTACTTGCTAGATCTGTATTGGAAGTTTCATAGCTGAAGTGAGGAGTTGATACTGGGCAGGCTGAAGATGTGGAGCCCAAGGTCAGGAGCCAGAAGTAACTAGAGGGGCCCTGGACCAAGATGCAGAACAGAAGCAGTAACCAAGCAAGAGGGCAGGCCTGCTGCAGGGTAGTTGGAGTGCAGTTAGGGTGGGACCAGGAAACACACAGTGATTCAGGCATGGTGGTCCTGCCCGTGGCCTCCTATACAAGCTCCAGTGTGCCTCAGAAGTTGAGGGTTGAGGCCAGGTGTGGTGGCTCGCACCTGTAATCCCAGCACTTTGGGAGGCCAAGGCAGGCAGATCACCTGAGGTCAGGAGTTTGAGACCAGCCTGGCCAGCAGGGTGAAACCCTGTCTCGTAAAAGTACAGAAATTAGCTGGGCATGGAGGTGGGCGCCTGTAGTCCCGGCTGCTTGGGAGCCTGAGGCAGGAGAATTGCTTGAACCCAGGATGCAGAGGCTGCAGTGAGCCAAGATTGGCACTCCAGCCTGGGCAAGAGTGAGACTCCATCTCAAAAAAGAAAGAAGTTGAGGACTGAGTGTAAAAGGACATTAACGCAGTAGGCAGCGAGGACAGGCAGCAGCCAATTCTCAAATGGTCACTTTCAGATACTGAGTGCATTTCAGTCTTGGTAGCACTGCGTAATGTCATTTCAGTCAGCAAGATGGCCTTCCATTCTTGTGATAAATGCAGAAGTCTCATTTTAGGATCCTAGCTGCTTCATCACGTCATTAGAGCTCGTAGTACTTGCAGGGGTGATGTGTGTGGGCCTGGGATTGAGTGGTCAGTGATGCCTCAGGCTTTCCCTAAACTGAAGGAGGTGACAAGACAAATGGCCACAGTTTATCCTTGGAGCTCTTGTTTACTGTCTCTCTCTCTTTAGAGCCCTGCGCTGGGTTACGCCTCAGATGCTGTGTGTCCCTGTTAATGAAGACATCCCAGAAGTGTCTGATATGGTGGTGAAGGCGATCACAGGTCAGTGAAACCAAGAGCCTTTTTATTGGGATGTTTTCCCCTTAAAGTTAACATTTTACTGTAATATTCATCTATACATTTGTAAAATGCAGATTGTCGAAGGTACATTGGAATGTAGTAAAAGTGATTTGTAAGATTGTTTTATGAATTTGATGGCATTCAGAAGAGCAGGTTCTCTTTTACCCCTTTATTTTCAGGGATTATGGTCTCGTTTCTTGGGCATTAAACTAAACTAAGGTCAAATGCAGATAGAATAAATTTTTTTTCTTTTTTTTGTACTTCTTTTTTTATTTAGTTTTTATTCAGCTGACTGTTCCATGATAGAATAAATTTCTTAGGATTCAGTTGCATTTATATATTCAAAATAATTTTGGATAGAGGAAGGGAACTGGTAAGGCAAGGTAATCCCCACGCTGGAGTAACGTAGTAAAATGATGCCTCTGACTGGTTGTTAGAGAAGCGCTATGAGTTATTTTTCTGGTTTGATCAGGAAATAAATGAAGTTCCCCAAATTGATGTGACACTGCCGTTCTAGACAGGTCCAGCCTCCTAATAAGGTTTGTTTCTCATTCATGGGAATGAACCAGCAAGAGTGCAACACAAACGTTTAAATTACAAAAAAAAATCTTAATGGAGAGATGGTCATCTTTGGCCAGTGTCTCCTTTATTAGAAAGAGGCCTTGGAAAGGCTTGTTCATGTAGACATTGTTAATGAAATTCTATTGGAAAGGAAGTGGGTTAACTGATATTAGTAGTGTTGGAGGCTGGCCATCGAGTAGGCTCCTTTTGTTACAGGAACCAGAGACTCACCCAAGCTACAGAAGAAATGGAGGTTTGCTTAAGGTATTATCAGGGTTATAAAGGAGGTGGAGTCTTTCAGGACCCTAGCCCCAAGGGTCATCCAGGGAGTGGGCTATCTTACTGCCTCTACAACGGCAAGAGGGTCTGCTCCAGGCATTCTCTGCTGATGTGATTCTTCCACTTTCTCGGGTTCTGCTTCTCTTTATCTTCCCGTGTCAACTCCTGTTGTTAAGTAAATTACTAGTTTCTGTAATTTCTTGTGCAAGTTCTGAAGGTAGAATCCAAGTGGCCCAGATCAATACTATTGTTTTTTTTTCTTGCAAGCTTTTCTGCTAGGCTATGGCGTAGGTCATGACTACTCTGCCCCCCGCACCTTTTGCTCGGGGAACCCCATAAGAGGTTGAAGGTGGAGGCCTTCTAAAAGCCTGAATATGGACCTGGGACTTGTGTTTTTCCTGACTCTTACTAGAAAGTTCAAGATCAGCTGGTTTACATTTAGAGTGTTCTATGAGAGTTTTGTCCAAGCCACCGTAGCCTTTACGGCCTGTTGCTAATAGGGAAGTCCCCAGCCTTCCTGGCCTCTTTCACCCAAGTAGGGCATGGTTCACTGGGCGACAGCTGGTAGCGAGTGTTTGTGTGACCCATCAGTGGTGAAAGTAGAGGTGGGTGGCCCAAGGGATCAGGAAAGCATAGCTGTGTTCCATGAATAGTGGGACTCGATAGGAGAGGCTGCCCGTTAAGTTACACAGTGTGGGTCACGTTCTTCTAGGGCAGGAGGCTCATGTTCTGGGCTGACAAGTAACAAATACGAGGTCTGTTGAAGAGAACTGCATAAAATTTTGAAAGTCATCAAGTCCTCTGCCCTGAGGTCGAACACTCTTTAGGACTTCTGAAAGGAAGAGTGTGCCACCCCAGGAAGGGGATCAGAGAGTCCATCATCAGCTCCTCTTAGCTCCAAGAGTTTAGGACAAGGAGAGTGTCAGGGCCTGTGGCTGATGGTGGAAGTTTCCCTTTCTTTCTGTTTTGTTTAATTTTTAATTTTTATGTGTACATAATAGGTGTATTTATTTATGAGTTCCGTGAGCTATTTTGATCCAGGCGGATAATGAGTGGTAATTACCTTAGGGGAAATGGGGTCCATCCTCTGAAGCATTTAGCTTTTGTATTACAGAGAATCCTGTTATATTCTCTTAATTACTTTTTAATGTACAATTAAATTACTTTTGACTATAGTTCCCCTGTCGTGCTAGCAAATACTAGGTCTTATTCATTCTTTCTAACTTTTCTGGTACCCCTTGGCCATCCCCACTATCCCCCATGCCCTGCATTACCCTTCCCAGCCTCTGGTAACCATCCTTCTGGTAAAACATCCTTCAGTTTTAAGTGTTTAGCTCCCACCAATGAGTGAGAACATGTGATGGTTATCTTTCTGTGCCTGGCTTATTTCACTTAACATAATATCCTCCTGTTTCATCCATGTTGTTGCAAATGACTGGATCCCATTCTGAATAGTACTCCACTGTGTATGTGTGCCATGTTTTCTTTATCCATTCATCTGTTGACAGACACCCTTTCCCATTTGGCTCCACCTGCATGACTTCTGTGTGGCTATGGGGGCAGTGGTTCTTAGCCAGGCACCAGTGGTCCCCCGGAGACATTGGACAACATCTGGAGACTTATTTATTTAGTTAGTTAGTTAGTTAGTTATTTTTGAGACAGGATCTCTCTGTCACCCAGGCTGGAGTGCAAGTGGCAACGATCATGGCTCACTGCAGCCTTGACCTCACAGGCTCAAGCGATCCGTCCGCCTCAGCCTCCTGAGTAGCTGAGACCACAGGCACGTGCCACCACACCCAGCTAATTTTTGTTTACATTCTGTAGAGACAGAGTTTCATCATGTTGCCTTGGCTGCTCTTGAACTCCTAGACTCACCTCCCTAAGTTACTAGGATTACAGGTGTGAGCCACTGAGCCAGGCCTGGAGACATTTTTAAATGTCACAGCTGTGGGAGTACTACTAACACCTAGTGGGTAGAGGCCAAGGATTCTACTAAACATTCTGTGATGAACAGGATGGTTCCCTACAACAAAGAATTATTCAACCCCAAATGTCAGGAGTGTCCATGTTGAGAAGCCATGACCTGGAGGTACAGCCTTTGTTTTCACAACTCCATTAAAGATAAGCCTGGACACCTGGATCCAGCAGAGATGGAGCGTATACTTAGCTCTGTGTTTCCTATTCATGTGAAGGCAGAGCCCTGGGAGAAGACATAGAGCAATTATGCAGGGCTCTGAAGAGTAAATCATAGCAGGCAGGCTGGGGAGGGAAATTATTAGACAGCAGTGAGTTTCCTGTGTGTTGCTTTCTCCTCACATGTCTCCTAGTTGAGACTTTGAAGCAGTGCAAATCATGGAATTGCACACATGGGAAAATCCAAAGAGTTCCACGAAGAATTCCTTCAGGCCAGAGGATGCTAGGAACGGGTCTCTGCAGGATGAAGCATGTGGAAGAGATCCCTGGGGGTGTTTGTCTTTCTTTATTCTCCTTTTCCTTCCCTTCTCTCCCTTTTTCCACCCCAGCCCTGCCTTATGGCAATAGCAGCCACACATCCAGATAAAACATAATTCACTTTTTACTCGCTTTCAAAATGTCAACAGTAAAGATGAACAGGATGCAAGATGAAAGAACATTGAAAAATAAAGATTAACAAGAAAGTAGTTTAAATAAAAGAGAGAAAAAAAAATCACCAATAAAAGGTAGAAGGCTAAAGATAAATGAAGGTAGTAAAAATGGCTTTAAAAAATCTTACCCAATCTTACCCAATTCTTATTTAGAATAAGTTCCATATAAGTAGAAAAAGAAAAATAAATAGATCAATGTAACAATAATTATAACCCAGGATTAAAGGATTAAAGGAAGCAAACAATAAAACAGCAAAAATTATGTAATTCACACAGTAGCCTCATAAGTAAGGGAATAAAAGCACTCAAAAGTTAAAATAATGCCTGTGCACTGCCTAGCACATCTGTCCCCCACACGTTGTCTTTCATGGCAGATGGGCCTAGGAGGGTTCCCCAGGAAGCTGACCTCAGGGATGATCTAAAAGCTGAAAGAACCCTTTGGTATACCCCACCGCCTGGCCAGAGTCTGAAACGTTTATTCCTGCTAGTGGCAAGAATTTGGTGTAAAATTAAGCTGCCTTGGCTCTTTTCTTTTGTGATGTCCCAAGTTGCTGGCCGATGTGCAACCCCAGAGGTACGCTGCCTCTCCAGCGGTGCTGTCACCACGTGCTTCAGCACCCTTCGCTGTCCCCCAGGCTTGTTGGAAAAGGGTGGGCATTCATGAGAGCCCACTGCTTGGACTTAGTGATAGTTGTGGGTAGTGAAATTTTTCTGCCGGGAGCAGTGAGTCACACCTGTAATCCCAGCATTTTGGGAGGCTGAGGTGGGCGGATCACGAGGTCAGGAGTTCGAGACCAGCCTGGCCAATATGGTGAAACCCCATCTCTACTATAAATACAAAAATTAGCCGGGCGTGGTGGTGCGTGCCTGTAGTCCCAGCTACTCAGGAGGCTGAAGCAGGAGAATCGCTTGAACCCGGGAGGCGGAGGTTGCAGTGAGCCGAGATCGTGCCACTGTACTCTAGCCGGGGCAACAGAGTGAGATGCTGTCTCAAAAAAAAAAAAAAAGAAAGAAAGAAATTTTTCCCTGGGAGAAGTAAAATGTTATTTTGAGATTAAGTTTATTCCCTTGCTTGATCCCCTCTGCCAATCAGCAGGTGTGAATGTTGTGATTTCTGTAGCTAGTGGAGATCCACATGCTGGAGAGTTTGGCCACTGTTGAACTAAGTGTGTCGGATTCCAGTAGCTGGATTTTTTTTTTTTTTTTTAACAAGATTTTGCTCTGTTGCCCAGGCTGGAGTGCTGTGGTATGATCGTAGCTCACTGCAGCCTCAACCTCTTGGGCTCAAGCCATCCTTCTGCCTCAGCCTTTCCAGTAGTTGGGGCTATAGGCACACATTACCACACTCGGCTAATTTTTGTATTCTCACATTCAATACAAAGATGCTTTGTGTAGTAGCCACATTTCTAAAAAGCAGTATGCAAATTGGGACTGTCGAAAAACATTCTAAAATGTAACAGAGGCACAGAAGCAGTAAAAAGACTCTTCATCAGACAACTTCTTCCTTCTCCATGGAGCTCAGAGGCAGCTTACATTGTGATTAGAAGTGTGGGCTTGGCCAGGCACGGTGGCTCACGCCTGTAATCCCAGCATTTTGGGAGGCCAAGGTGGGCGGATCACCTGAGGTCAAGAGTTCGAGACCAGCCTGGCCAACATGGTGAAACCCCGTTTCTACTAAAAATACAAAAAGTAGCTGGGTGTGGTGGCGGGCATCTGTAATCTCAGCTACTTTAAAGGCTGAGGCAAGAGAATCGCTTGAACCCAGGAGGCGGAGGTTGCAGTGAGCAGAGATCACACCACTGCACTCTCCAGCCTGGGCAACAAAGAGTGAAACTCAGTCTGAAAAAAAAAAAAAAAAAAGTGTGGGCTTTACAGTCAGGTAGACATGGTTTCAAATTCCCACCCTGCTACATACTGTCTGTATGATCTTGGGCAAATCATTTAACCTCTCTGAACTTCAGCCCCCTCATCCCTAAAATGGATAATATTAATAAGAGTATCCATTGCATAATATGAGGATTAGAGAAATGTGCTTGTAGGGTACACTGTGTATTACCTGGCTCTTGGTTCTGTTTTCCATGAGTATGAGATCATATTTACTAAGTTATTATATACTAAGTTAACTGCTGGAAAAGGGGTTAATAAGGATTCCTTCATAACTTTAGAGATAAAACATGATTTTCCTATTGCTTCTTTTTTGTGATTCTTTTCTCCTGGGAAATATTGTCTTTTCTGCTTTGTAGATATCATTGAAATGGATTCCAAGCGTGTGCCTCGAGACAAGCTGGCCTGCATCACCAAGTGCAGCAAGCACATCTTCAATGCCATCAAGATCACCAAGAATGAGCCGGCGTCAGCGGATGACTTCCTCCCCACCCTCATCTACATTGTTTTGAAGGGCAACCCCCCACGCCTTCAGTCTAATATCCAGTATATCACGCGCTTCTGCAATCCAAGCCGACTGATGACTGGAGAGGATGGCTACTATTTCACCAATCTGGTGAGTAAGTGAGTTCTTGGTGTTGTGGAGAAGGACTAGGAAGGTGGTGGTTTTGGGGATGTGACAGGTCACTTAGGCCCGTGACAGGTGAATGCTTCTGTGTGAGAAGGCAGCATGGCTGAGGAAGCTCACTTTGCATCAGGGAGCACAAGGACCAGGCCATACAGACACTCCGCCTCCCAGCACTTGATCAGAGATTGTGTTTATCCTACGGAAACAGATGACATGTGTTGGGCATCACTCCCCACGGTCCTGGGTAGAAGAGTCCTTCACTTGGCAGGGCTTTTTCAACCATGAATAAGGCAAATTATGTATAAGTTAATAAGGCTGAATATTTGCCCCCTCATTCATTCACTCATTCATTCTACTACAGGGTCTCACTCTATCACCCAGGCTGGAGTGCAGTGGTACAATCATAGCTCACTGCAGCCTTGACCTCCTGGGCTCAAGCAATCCTCTCACCTCAGCCTGCTGTGAAGCTGGTACCACAGGCATGCACCATCACACCGGGCCAATTTTTTTTTTTTTTTGAGAGATGGGGTCTCGCTGTGTTGCCCAGGCTGGTCTCATACTCCTGGACTCAAGCAGTCCTCCCACCTTGACCTCCCTAAGAGTTGGAACTGCAGGCATGAGCCACCACTCCTGACCTGAATTCTTCCTTTTTCTTCCTACTAAACTCTGCTTATTTGCTTTAGAGGGAATGTACTGTAAAGCTAATGAATTTGGAGACTTGGGGCAGCGTATGGACTTGGTTTTCTGTGTTGAGAGCCTGGGAACTAAGAGGTGGGGAGGGGAAGCCAGGATGCATTGCGAGTATTTCTGATAAATTGCCAAAAAAGTCTCACAGGTACGTGAATCTCTCAGTCTCTAAAAATATGTCATGATTTATTTCTAGGTTCTAAGTATGTATTCACATTTATACCTACTTTTGTATTTGTCACTCTTCTTCCTTTTCCTGTAAGTAGGTTCCCAAAATTGTATAAGCTTCAGGTTCCTCCAAACTTGGACCTGCCCCCATCACTCATCACCCTCCAGCATTGTGTTCAGCTACATGTTACTGTAGTCACCAGCATCTTGGGAGTGTGATTTATAGGTGGAGGGACTTGGTGCTCTTGATCAGAATGATGCTTTTACCTTTATTCACACTGTTTTCCATCCTCCCAGGCACATGGTGGTTTAATCTGTAGTACTGAAAAAAGTTTAAGTGGCCCATATAGAATGAGATTAGAAGTACTCATATATCCTTTTTTTTTTTTTTTTTTTTTGAGATGGAGTCTCCCTCTGTCATCCAGGCTGGAATGCAGTGGTGTGATCTCAGCTCACTGCAACCTCCGTCTCCTGGGTTCAAGTGATTCTCATGCCTTAGCCTCCCAAGTAGCTGGGATTACAGATGTGTGTCACCATGCCCGGCTAATGTTTGTATTTTTAGTAAAGACGGGGTTTCACCTTGTTGGCCAGGCTGGTCTCGAACTCCTGACC
Organism: Homo sapiens; assembly: GCF_000001405.40. Taxonomy (NCBI): domain Eukaryota; kingdom Metazoa; phylum Chordata; class Mammalia; order Primates; family Hominidae; genus Homo; species Homo sapiens. The sequence goes on from NC_000007.14 coordinate 66,806,876, forward strand.
TCAAGCAATCCACCCACCTCAGTTTCCCACAGTGTTGGGATTACAGGCATGAGCCACCGCACCTGGCCTCATATTTCTTAATATAAATGAAACATACACTTGCCTACGAGGGAAGAGCGTTTTGGATTCAGTTCTTTATCCAAAGCGAGTCAGACAACCTGGAAGTCCCTGAGAAGTGTGAAGGTGGAGACATGGCAGGTATTGAGAGAAGTGGAGGAGGACCAGGACGTGTTTGAGCGTAGCCACGGTCACTGACAGTAGAGGTGGCTGGCTTGCACACACTTAGCAGCTTCTAGTGCCCTTGGCCTGCAGCCTTAAGTACATTTGTGCCTTCTCTCTTTGTCCTCTTCTTGCCTGACTCAGAGTCTGTCTCCTACACCCATTGCTCCAATGAAACTGCTCTGGCAAAAGTAAAAAGTTTCCAGCTGACGAACCCCACGGGCACTCACAGTCTTCATCTTCCTTCGCTTCTCATAGCACTCTCCAAGAGTCCTTTGTTCTGCAACTTCTGTTGTTCCTTGGCTTCCACAATTCCACTACTTCCTTGTCTCTTTGTAAAGTCTGTGTCTTCTACTTCCACCTTGAATTGTGTCATTCCATGGGACTCCATTGTCTCTGCATCTCTCTTCCTGCACCATCTTCTCTGTCACAGAGCTGTCACTCACTGTGCAGTGATGGCCTGCAGCTCTGGGTCACCTGTCTTGACCTTACACTTGTATTGCACCTCAAATATAATTTGTTCAGAGCTACTTCCCCTTCAGATGTTTGTTTCTTTTCCAGTATTCTCTATTCCTTTTAGTGGCAATGCCATGTCTCCATTCACCTAAGTGAGGAGTTAGAATCACCTCCTCTTTCCAGGTCACAGAGGGGCCACAGCAACTCCACACACACCATGAGCCAGATGGTGTTCCGTTCTACTCAGATGAATCAGATTTTTCTTTTTCTTTATTCCTTTTTTCTAGAGATGGTTTCTACCCCGACTGTTTCCCAGGCTGGTCTGAACTCCTGGTCTCAAGCAATCCTCCCACCTCGGCCTCCCAAAGTGCTAGGATTACAAGCACGAGCCAACACGCCTGGCTCAGATGTCTGTTGAATTGGGCATTTGCAGTGCCATGTCTGTACTAATAATTGCTACCGTGTATTCATTGCTCGCTGCAGGCCTCTCGGAAGCACGTGACATGTTATGTTGTTTAATTCTCACAATAAATCTAGGTGGTATTTCCCCCCATTTACAGGTACAGAAACCTCAGAGAGCTTAAGTAACTTTCCCACGGTCACTCACTGTTGTTGTTAAGTGAAAGAGGTGACAGTGAACTCAGGTTCAGTCACTTCAGAGTTGTTCCTTTTTTTTTTTTTTCCTGAGACAGTCTTGCTCTGTCACCCAGGCTGGAGTGCAGTGGCGTGATCTTGGCTCACTGCAACCTCCGCCTCCCAGGTTCAAGCAATTCTCCTGCCTCAGTCTCCCAGGTAGCGGGGATTACAGGCGCCCACAACTGCGCCCAGCTAATTTTTGTATTTTTAGTAGAGATGGGGTTTCACCATGTTGGCCAGGCTGGTCTCAAACTCCTGACCTCATGATCCACACGTCCCAGCCTCCCAAAGTGCTGGGATTACAGGCTTGAGGCACCGGGCCCGGTCTGGAGCTGTTCTTTTAACCACTTGATGTTAAAATATTCATTTGAGGATCAGAGGTCTGTGTGCCACACCTACTTGGGGACTATATCCTGGGTGGGGATAGCAGGTCTGGGAAGACTCAGACAGAATGGCTTCATGGTGCACCTGGGGAGGCTGCACCCAGACATCGGCCCTGGAGCTCCTGGGAGTGTATAGGAAGCACGACCGGGGATAGGAGTAGGTAATTTTTGAGGCTGAAATACACAGAAGTTCATGAGTTTGTTTTGTTTACTTTAGCTTCTGTTTTAAATGGTCTGTGATCAAAAGATTTTTACAAATCGACTCGAGTATGCATAGCTTTCCTAATATGACTGTATTAACGTCCTCTTCTTGTAGTGCTGTGCTGTGGCTTTCATTGAGAAGCTAGACGCCCAGTCTTTGAATCTAAGTCAGGAGGATTTTGATCGCTACATGTCTGGCCAGACCTCTCCCAGGAAGCAAGAAGCTGAGAGTTGGTCTCCTGATGCTTGCTTAGGCGTCAAGCAAATGTATAAGAACTTGGATCTCTTGTCTCAGTTGAATGAACGACAAGAAAGGATCATGAATGAAGCCAAGAAACTGGAAAAAGACCTCATAGATTGGACAGATGGAATTGCAAGAGAAGTTCAAGACATCGTTGAGAAATACCCACTGGAAATTAAGCCTCCGAATCAACCGTTAGCAGCTATTGACTCTGAAAACGTTGAAAATGATAAACTTCCTCCACCACTGCAACCTCAAGTTTATGCAGGATGATCACAATTTAGTGGAGAGTATTTATTTGAGCCTAAATTGTAGGTAGCCCTTACTACACTCAACTGATTGGGATCTAGAATGTAACTAAATTGCTTATAAATGTCAGCATTTTTTAAAGGTACAGTATATGGGGATTGTTTCGTTTTTCCTAGCAGGGGAACCTTAGTTAATAATAAAATACTACTTATTTGAGTTACTGATACAGATTCATTTAAGGCTTGTGTGCAAATTTTGTCTCAATCTTTTTTCCCTCCATGATTTTCCTATGTGCTTCCTCTGGCATTCACTGTGGTTTTGGTAAATAATTGCCTTTTAAAGGATTAAACAAATGAATGCTACAAAGTGTATGTTCAAGAAAATTAAATGGTACCACTCTTCCACAGTTTGGAATAATTTTATAATTGTAAAGATAGAAATTATATTGATAAGTAAATATGTAAAATTGTAAATATGTAAAAAAAAGAATGGTGTCTGCTGTGCATGGCATTTTATATGTTAATTTTTTAGTTTAAAATGAAGTATATTGAATGTTTGCCTTTAGCACCATTTTATTTGGTTTGTCCCACTAAAATGACTCGAGAAGTGTTTAGACAAACTCCCCTTAAGATGTGCACTCCATCTTTAAGAACGTGTTAGCCTTAACTTTGAGGTTCTATATAGTCAGAGACTATGACACCACTAAGGTTCAGAATAAAGTTTAGGCCACATAAAATTGCTGTTTAATGTAGTCGATGGAAGACTTTAAACTATGCTTCTAGCTTATTTTTCCCTCATTCATTCAGCAAATCTCTATTGAGTTCTTCAGTGAGAAGGAGCAGGCACTGGGCCTGGAATGGAAGGCGGGAATGAATGGGCCTCTGATGGTGAGAGGTGACGGGGTCCCTCAGCTGTGAGATGCAAGGGGCGCCTTGCAGCCTCCATAATATACATTTGACTTTGCAAACGTCTAGACATGTTTTCTGAACCTTTTTCAGGACATTTCAACCTCGGGACTATTCATATTAGTGGCCTGAGAGGTGTTTGTTGTGGGGCCACCCTGTGCATGGTAGAATGTTCAGCAGCATTCCTGCCATCCATATCCATTAGGTGCCAGTAGCACCCCCGCTAGAGCTGTGAAAAATTCTCTCCAGACATAGTCAGATGTCTCCTGGGGCCATATCACCCCTCCGTTAAGAACCACTGATGTCTTTTACAAACCAGGAGTTATCCTCCTGGTGGTTAATATGGTGTAACCAAAGAATCTTGCACTCAATGCACAGTGTGATGTTAACTAAAACGAGTTAAATATTTAGGAGGCTTGACAGCTACCTGCATTGTAGAACCTTTTCTTATCTCAGTGGAACCTTCTATAACCTAAATATACCATTGATGATTCTTCTTCCATTCAGTGACATCCACAGATTATGCAGCTATACTTGTGAAATCGTGCATGAGGCCCCAGGGCACCGTTCTAGAACAACGTCACTTCACACAGGCAGCTGAGAAAGGTTCTCTTGCTTTTCCAGTATCTTCCTAAGGATGGAGCCCAAAATTGCAGAGCAGTAACTTTGGAATAAAACCAGGGTGGGTATAAAACTTCTTATTCTTAAATTTACATATAAGATCTATTAAGCTTGACACATCTGTGTCATCACGCACTGAAGACAGGAAGCAGTTCACTGAGTCAGCTGGTTCCCAAGCTCGCACAGAAGGTGATAAGTTACTATCAAATGCCAGTGAGAATCTTCTTATAGAATAACCTGGGCCCAAGTGATTTTAGTACAAAACTTGCCCTTCTTTGGTTTAATTTTCTATGTGCTTTTAGGTGTGAATCCAGATATGCGGTCTTAATTCCTTTGGAAATACACAGTTCGTTTAGTTACTGTACACTCTGTTTGTTCAATAAACTGCATATCAACTTCCCACAAAAGCTGACTTTTTTGGGTCTCTTACATATAAAGTAGGTTATTGAGTTGATTTTTTTGGAGGTATCTCATATTGGTCGAATTCTTCTGGTATGGACTCTTGCCTTATATAGAGGCTTCTATTTCTCTTAAGTCAGCATCAATACAACGGCCGGAGTTTCTGTTTTTGCAATAAGAAGATGTTGGTATTTTATGTAGGGTAAATGTGACTGGAATACACCTTTGGAACGGAATTCTTTATCAATAAAGTTTCACAATCCGTCCCTCTTCCAAAAATTGATTTGGTTCTTTCTTAGGAAAATATACATTATTATTAATATTCTCATGCTACAGAGGTTTTCTGGTTAAGCTATACCTAAAAATGAAACATTAGAGACATTTGTCAGTTAAAATTAAGAAGACAAGAATATTTGCTGTCACCACAATCAATCAACCTTGTTCTTGCAGTTCTACCAAGGTACTCAGTCTTCAAACAGACATAAAAGTAGAGAAAAAAGGAGTTAATGTAATCAATATAGAGCTATTATTGTCTGTTGGTGAGGACATGAACTCTGAAGCTGGAAGGCTTGGATTTGGTTTTGAATTTTATTCTGCTACTTATTAGCTCATTGGCCCTGAACAAATCTCTTGTTTCAGATCCCTCAGCTGTGAAATGGGGTTAATAATATTACTGCTTCATGGGGTTGTTGTCTGAACTTAGAACAAATGATAGCTATTATTTGTAGATGGTTATTTTATGTAGAAAACCCAAGAGAAGGCTGGGTGTTGTGGCTCACGCCTGTAATCGCTTTTGGAGGCAAGGCAGGAGGAATGCTTGAGGCCAGGAGTTTGAGAGCAATGTCAGCAACATAGTGAGACCCACATCTCTACAAAAAAAAAAAACACTAGCTGGGCATGGTGGTGTGTACCTGTAGTCCCAGCTACTGGGGAGGCTAAGGTGGGAAGATCACCTAAGCCCAGGAATTTGAGGTGGCAGTGAGCTGTGATCTCACCATTGCATGCTAGCCTGAGTGAGACCCTGTCTTGAAAAACAGAAATGTAAAAAAAGAAAACCCAAGAGAATTTATATTGAAACTATAGAATTTCATCTCTATATTAGTGAAAGATGAAAATTCTAAAATAGCGATAAAAGCTAACTGTACAAAATGATTTTCCTATATACCATTACTAACCACTTAGCAAACATTGTGGAGAAAAAAATCAATTTACAATAGAAACAAATATAAATCACCTACAGAGAACAAGAGCTTTCAGGATCGATACGAAAAACAGAAAATTGAGTGAGAAGCACAAAGGTGTGACTGCAAAGGGCCCTGTGCTTGGACTTTAGGGCTCTGTAGCTGCCATCGTGAAATTCTTCTTTTTTGTTTTTGTTTTTCTTTGGGCTGGGGGGTATAGGGTCTGGCTCCGTAACCCAGGCTGTGGAGTGCAGTGGTGTGAACATGACTTACTGCAGCCTGGACCTCCTGGGCTCAAGCTAGCCTCTCGTCTCAGCCACCTGAGTAGCTGGGACTACATGTGTGTGCCACTGTACCCAGCTAATATTTAAATTTTTTATGGAGACGAATCTCACTATGTTGTCCTGGCTGATCTTTTTTTTTTTTTTTTTTGAGATGGAGCCTTGCTCTGTCACTCAGGCTGGAGTGCAGTCGTGTGATCTTGGCTCACTGCAATCTCCACCTTCTGGGTTCAAGTGATTTTCCTGTCTCAGCCTCCCAAGTAGCTGGGACTACAGGTGCGTGCCACCATGCCCAGCTAATTTTTTGTATTTTTAGTAGAGATGGGGTTTCACTGTGTTAGCCAGGATGGTCTTGATCTCCTGACCTCGTGATCCACCTGCCTCGGCCTCCTGAAGCGCTGGGAATACAGGCGTGAGCCACCGCGCCCAGCTGTCCAGGCTTGTTTTAAACTCTTGGGCTCAAGCAATTCTCCCACCTTGGCTTCCTAATGTGCTGGGATTACCAGCATGAGCCTCCGTGCCCCACCCCACCGAAAAAAGAAATTTATACTTAAGTTTTTGCCCACAGGTTCCTCAGTGTGTTAAAAAGGTTGAATGGGGAACCTGAAACTCCTCCCCCTGCTTTTGGAAGTGTAGGGCACTTCCCTTTCTCCACAGTGTCAGTAGAGGATGGGTGGAGACTGAACTTCCAGCCCTGCCAGGTGAGAATGAAGTGTTTGTTCCTGTCCTCTCCACCCTCTTCTGTGGTGTTGGTGGGGGCTGAGGGGGGAGCCTGGATTTCTACCTCCACCCATGATAATGAGGTCACAACTCACTTTCTTCACCAGTGTGACATTGGCTAAAGAATATTTAAATTAGATTGAGAGCCTCCTAACATAACAACACCCCAAACCTTCAAGACACAATAAAAAAAATCACTGACCATCTGGGGGCAGTGGCTCCTGCCTGTAATCCCAGCACCTTGGGAGGCCCAATGTAGGCGGATCACCTGAGGTCAGGAGTTCGTGACCAACATAGCTGAACGTCATCTCTACTAAAAATACAAAAATTAGCTGGGCGTGGTGTTGGATGCCTGTAATCCCAGCTACTCAGGAGGCTAAGGCAGGAGAATCACTTGAACCCGGGAGGTGGAGGTTGCAGTGAGTCGAGATTGTGCCACTGCACTCCAGTCTGGGAGACAGAGTGAGACTCTGCCAAAAAAAAAAAAAAAAGAAAAAAAGGCCGGGCACAATACCTCACACCTGTAATCCTAGCACTTTGGGAGGCTGAGGCGGGTGGATCACCTGAGGTCAGGAGTTCCAGACCAGCCTGGCGAACATGACAAAACCTCGTCTTTACTAAAAGTACAAAAATTAGCCAGGTGTGGTGGGAGCCTGTAGTCCTAGCTACTCAGGAGGCTGAGGCAGGAGAATAGCTTGAACCCGGGAGGCGAAGGTTGCTGTGAGCCGAGATCACACCACTGCACTCCAGCCTGGGAGACAAGAGTGAGATTGTGTCTCAAAAAAAAAAAATCACTTATCATATCTGAACCAAATGACACATGTGTTGGAATTATCTGACAAAGATTTTAAAGAAGGCATCATAAAAATTCAATAACTAAAGACAAACATGCTTGAAACAAATGAAAAACCCCAGCAAAACCACTGAAGACATGAAGCAAATGGAAATTTTTGAATTTAAAATGACAATAACTGAAAGTTTTTAAATTTCATATTAGAGGGCTGGGCGTGGTGGCTCACACCTGTAATCTCAGCACTTTGGGAGGCTGAGGTGAGTGGATCACCTGAGGTTAGGAGTTCGAGACCAGCCTGGCCAACATGGTGAAACCCTGTCTCTACTAAAAACACAAAATATTAGCCGGGCATGCTGGTGCATGCCTGTAATCCCAGCTACTCAGGAGGCTGAGGCACGAGAATTACTACTTGAACTGGAAGTGGAGGTTGCAGTGAGCCAAGATCATGCCACTGCACTCCAGCCTAGGCGACAAAGCGACACTCCATCTGAAAAAAAAAAAAAAATTCATATTAGAATTGCAGTGATCGAAGAATGGATTAACTGGGATATAGATCAATAGAAATTCCCAATGTGAACAACAGAGCAAAAATTGAACTTTTAAAATGTAGGCTCAGGGACCCGTGGGATGGTTAAAAGAAAAAAGAGATCTATCATTGTCACTGGAGTAACAGAAGGAGAGGAGAAAAATGCATATGGCTAAAAAATATTAAATAGCAACTGAAAATCTCCCCGAAATTTTCATGCCTGTAATCCCAGCAATTTGGGAGGCCGAGGCAGGAGGATCACCTGAGGGCAGGAGTTGGAGACCACCAGCCTGGTCAACATGGTGAAACCCCATCTCTACTAAAAAAATACAAAAATTAGCCAGTTGTGGTGGCATGAGCCTGTAACTCAGCTACTCAGGAGGCTTAGGCAGGAGAATCACTTGAATTCAGGAGGCGGAGGTTGCATTGGGCTGAGATCACGCCATTGTGTTCCAGCCTGGGCAACAAGAATAAAACTCCATCTCAAAACAAACGAAGACAAGTGCTAGCATGTGCCAAAGGGATCCCAGACCACCATCTCTCTCTCTCTCTCTCTCTTTTTTTGAAACAGAGTCTTGCTCTGTCACCCAGGCTGGAGTGCGGTGGCACCATCTTGGCTCACTGCGACCTCCGCCTCCCAGGTTCAAGCAATTCTCCCGCCTCAGCCTCCCGAGTAGCTGGGATCACAGGTGCACGCCACCTCACCCGACTTAATTCTTGCATTTTTTTGGTAGACGTGGAGTTTCGCCATGTTGCCCAGGCTGGTCTCGAACTCCTGGCCTCAAGCCATCCTCCCTCCTTGACCTCCCCAAATGCTGGGATTACAGGCGTGAGGTGCCGCACCTGGCTCCTATTCTGATTTCAAAGCACTAAGACCACAGCTGATTGCTGAATAAGGAGTGGGCGTGTCAGCTACCTTCCCGGAGGGGGGCAGGCAGGCTCCTGGGCCCTGTACCCTCCCACCCCCTAGGTCCCCCCACCATCCACCTGTAGGCACCTCCTCTCCCCTGGAGTCTCTAACACAGAGCTGGCAGGGTACAGTCGGGCCTGGATTGCTAACCTGGCTTGCCTGGTCCCTTAGGCCCTGAAGTTGGGGGCCAGCTCCTCCCCACTTCCAGCCTGGCCCTCCAATCCCAAACCAGGTCAGGGTCATGGTGCTGGGACAACAGACCTCCCCCTGAGCTCAACCTTACCTTGAAAGCCCTGTCTCTTCAGGCTCTCGCCCACCAGAGGGTCCCTGGAATCCCTCTCTGGGGGCAGGGCAGGGGGAGAGAAACCAAGTGAGGAGGCAGTTCCTGGGACCCAAGATGGCATCATTAGGGGAAACCCAGTGCGGGGGTGTGGGGAGAATGCCAGGGCCAAGATGAGAGCAGGACAGAGCCAGCAGGAGGAGGGGCTGGTGGCAGAGGCTCCTGGGCCCCTCCCTTGCCCGCCCACACCATGTCCCACGACCCCGCGCTGGGTACCTTGACTGTCAATGATGGGCTCTTTGACTCCCTCAGTGAGCAGCTCAGGCCTGGAAAACACAAGTGGGGCCATCACAGAGGTCCCTCCAAGCATCTCTGGGACTGCCCAGCCCTCCCCTCTGGGCCTCGGTCTGCACATCCCTGCAATGGACCCTCCTGGCTCCGCACAGTTAGGCCTGGAGTCCCTGCTGCCCCATGTGTGGAATCTGGGGGGCTGCCCTGGGCTTGAAGGATCCAGCTGGGAGTGAGACCCACCCAGTCCTGAACAGGTCCGTCTGATATCTCACTCCTGCTCCAGGGACATTGCACGATTGTCACTACCTGGGATTGGAGCAGGCGGCCTCAGGGGGCCTCCTGTGGAGCTGGTTTAAAGTGTAGAAACAAGGTCTAGTGCAGTAGCTCACGCCTGTAATCCCTGCACTTTGGGAGGTCGAGGAAGGCAGATCACTTGAGGTCAGGAGTCTGAGACCAGCCTGGCCAACATGGTGAAACTCGTCTCTACTAAAAATACAAAAATTAGCTGGGTGCGGTGGCAGGCTCCTATAATCCCAGCTACTCGGGAGGCTGAGGGAGGGGAATCGCTGAGGAGGCGGAGGTTGCAGTGAGCTGAGATAGCGCCACTGCACTCCAACCTGGATGACAGAGCAAGACTCCATCTCTAAATAAATAAATAAAATAAATAAATAAATAAATAAATAAATAAATAAATAAATAAATAAAGTGTAGAAACAGTCGGGGTCCACTACATAGCAAGAACTCTGAGCTTCTGGAAAGGTCTCAGATCTGTGGCTCACATCTGAGAGCTGCTGTGTAAATGCAGTCGGGAGTGCCAGTGAGCAAGCCCAGCTTTGTATTATAATAATGTCTTTAGCTCCACAGACTCCAGAAAGCCCTGTCCAGACATGAATCAACCTTCTTTATCATACCACACTGCTTCTAAAGTCTCCATCTTCAGCACAACTTGTCCTGTTAGAGCAAGCCTGTTGGGGGGCTGGGGTTTGTGGTGGGTAGAGGACACTGGGAAAATCATGCTGGCCAGAAGGGGGCTGTCGGGGGATGGCAGGGTAGGCCATGGAGTGGAGAGGTAATGAGCTCTCTGTCACAGGGGTAATCAAGCAGCAGCACTGAGGAGTCTCTGCCTGAGAGTGAGCCCAAAGGCCAAACTCTCAAGGAGGGCACCCCTTGGGTCCCCAGTAGATGAGGATTTGGTGCCTGCTCTGGCGGTGGGCATCTCTTAAGCTTCTGAACAGTGCCAGGCACAGAGCTGGGGTCACAGGGCCAGGGCTGGGAGGGGGAAGCATAACCCTGCCTTGAACCACAGTCTCAGGAGCTAGAAAAGGCTTCGGACTGCATTTGGGCCCCTCCTCTTTATGGGAGAACTCAGGTTCTGAAAGGGGAAGTGACTTCCCAGCAGTAAACTTAGAGAGGCAGAAGCTGGGCAGAGCCCCTGAGTCCCAGGCCAGAGTAGCGACAGTGCTTCCCCTTAAATAGCACAGCCGGCTGCCAAGGCCACAGGGAGTAACAGGAGGAGCTGGCCTCAAACCCACCAGACAGCCTCTCCCGTCGGCCACTGCGCTGATCTGCCTCCTTTTCCAAATGACAGGTGTAGAAAGCCATCGTGACTTTAAAAAGTGCTCAAGGCTGGGCATGGTGGCTCAACCTGTAATCCCAGCACTTTGGGAGGCTGAGGCAGGGGGATCGCTTTGAGCCCAGGAGTTTGAGACCAGCTTGGGCAACATAGCGAGACCCCTTCTCTACAAAAAATGTAAAAATTAGCCAGGTGTGGTGGCGTGCTCCTGCAGTCCCAGCTACTCAGGAGGCTGAGGCAGGATTGCTTGAGCCCAGGAGTTTAAGGCTGCAGTGAGTTATGATTGTGCCACTACACTCCAGCCTGGGCTTCAGAAAGACCTGTCTCTTAAAACAAATGCTCATGGCCAGGCATGGTGGCTCATGCTTGTAATCCCAGCTACTCAGGAGGCTTAGGCAGGAGAGTTGCTTAAACCTGGAAGGTGGAGGCTGCAGTGAGCCGAGATGGAACCACTGTACTCCAGCCTGGGTGACAGAGCGAGACTCTGTCTCAAAAAAACCCGCAAAAGGCTGGGCATGGTGGCTCACGCCTCTAATCTCAGCACTTTGGGAGGCCAAGGCGAACGGATCACTTGAGGCCAGCCTGACCAACATGGTGAAACCCCGTCTCTACTAAAAATACAAAATTTAGCCAGGCATAGTGACATGCGCCTGTTATTACAGCTACTCAGGAGGCTGAGGCAGGGGGATTGCTTGAACCGGGAGGCAGATGTTGTAAGTCGAGATCGCACCACTCCACTCCAGCCTGGGCAACAGAATGAGACTGTCTCAAAAAATAGAAAACAACAACAACAACAAAACCCACAAAAAACAAAAAAACAATGCTCATGAGCACAAGGTGTCTCTGCACAAAACCATAAAAAATGTCATTCATGAGGACTTGCTGTTGAATTGGCACCTAACCTCAAGCTGCCCGGGTGCCCCTGGTTTATGGTTTGAGGGAGTGGGCGTTGAAAGCAAAAACAAAAACAAAAACAAACGAGAATGAGACCCTGTCTCTAAGAATTTTTTAAAAATAAAATTCAAACTCTTTAAGCTGGCCCCAAACCCATGCGATCTGGCCCCTGCTACCTTTTTCTTTTTTTTTTTTTTTTGAGACAGAGTTTTGCTCTTATTGCTCAGGCTGGAGTGCAGTGGCACTATCTCAGCTCTCTGCAACCTCTGCCTCCCAGGTTCAAGCAGTTCTCCTGCCTCAGTCTCCCGAGGAGCTGGGATTACAGATTACAGGACCCCGACCCCGAACAACACACCTGGCTAATTTTTGTATTTTTTTTCTGTTTCTTTTGTTTTTTTTAATTATACTTTAAGTTCTAGGGCACATGTGCACAACGTGCAGGTTTGTTACATAGGTATACATGTGCCATGTTGGTGTGCTGCACCCATTAACTCGTCATTGACATTAGGTATATCTCCTAATGCTATCCCTCCCCGCTCCCCTCACCCCATGACAGTATTTTTAGAGATGGGTTTGCACCATGTTGGCCAGGCTGGTCTTGGACTTCCGACCTCAGGTGATCCACCCTCCTCGACCTCCCAAAGTGCTGAGATTACAGGCGTGAGCCACCGCTCCTGACCTATTTTTCTTTTTTTTTATAGAGATAGGGTCTAACTATGTTGCCTAGGCTGGTCTCAAACTCCTGAGCTCAAGCAATCCTCCCACCTCAGTCTCCCAAAGTGCTAGGATTACAGGCATGGGCCACTGCGCCTGGTCCCTTGCTACTTCTTGGGCCTCAACCTCACCATCCTTCCCTCATTCACCCCGTACCAGCTACAAGGGCACCTTGCGAGCCTTCAAACACACAAGCACGTTGTTGCCTCTGAGACTTGGCATGACTTTTTCTCTATCCCCACAGTCTTTTTTTTTTTTTTTAGACAGAGTCTCCCTTTGTCACCCAGGCTGGAGTGTAATGGCATGATCTCGGCTCACTGCAACCTCCACCTCCTGGGTTCAAGCGATTCTCCTGCCTCAGCCTCCTGAGTAGCTGGGATTACAGGCACGCACCACCACACCTGGCTAATTTTTGTACTTTTTGTAGAGGCAGGGTTTCACCATGTTCGTCAGGCTAGTGTCGAACTCCTGACCTTGTGATCTGCCTGCCTTAGCCTCCCAAAGTGCTGGGATTACAGGCATGAGCCACTGCGCCTGGCCTGCTCCCACACTCTTTATGCACCTGGCTGGCCCTCTCACTTCATTGGGTCGCTGCTCCAATGTCACCTCCTTTTCCAGGTTCCTCCTGTCCCTCTCTCCCCCTCACTCTGAATTATATCCTGTCACAGCAGTTATCTCTACGTGACATGATGTTGTGATTTTGTCTGGGTGACATCGGCAACTCCAGGGCAACTTGGTGGCATTTACCGCTGGGCTGCAAGCCCAGGACCTGGCAGGCATCCAGGATGGTTTTTTAGTTTGTTTGTCTCTTTGTGTTTTATTTATTTATATATATATTTTTTTATTTATTTTGAGAAGGAGTCTCGCTCTGTCGCCCAGGCTGGAGTGCAGTAATGCGATCTCAGCTCACTGTGACCTCCACCTCCCAGGTTCAAGTGATTCTTGAGCCTCAGCCTCCCGAGGAGCTGGGACTACAGGTGAGCACCACCACGCCCAGCTAATTTTTGGTATTTTTAGTAGAGATGGGGTTTCACCATGTTAGCCAGGCTGGCTTCGAACTCTCGACCTCAATTGATGCATCTGCCTCGGCCTCCCAAAGTGCTGGGATTACAGGCGTGAGCCACCACGCCCGGCCTCTCTTTGTATTTTTTTTTTTTTTTTTGAGACGGAGTCTCGCTCTGTCGCCCAGGCTGGAGTGCAGTGGCGGGATCTCGGCTCACTGCAAGCTCCGCCTCCCGGGTTCACGCCATTCTCCTGCCTCAGCCTCCCAAGTAGCTGGGACTACAGGCGCCCGCCACTACGCCCGGCTAATTTTTTGTATTTTTAGTAGAGACGGGGTTTCACCGTTTTAGCCGGGATGGTCTCGATCTCCTGACCTCGTGATCCGCCCGCCTCGGCCTCCCAAAGTGCTGGGATTACAGGCGTGAGCCACCACGCCCGGCCCTCTCTTTGTATTTTTAAAGGGACGAGGTCTTGCTCTGTCACCCAGGCTAGAGTGCAGTGATGCCATCATAGCTCACTGCAGCCTGGACCTTCTGTGCTTAAGCGATTCTTCTGCCTTCCGCCTCAGCCTCCCAAGTATCTGGGACTACTGGCACATACCACTGCACCTGGCTAATTTTTTAATTCTAAAAATCAAATAGAGATGGGGTCGCTATGTTGACCAGGCTGGTCTCAAACTCCTGGCCTCAAGCGACCCTCCCATTTTGTCCTCCCAAAGTGCTGGGATTACAGGTGTGAGAATTTTAAAAATTTTTTGTAGAGATGGGGTCTCCATACAGTGCCCAGGCTGGTCTCAAACTCCTGGGCTCAAGCGATCCTCCTTTCTGGGCCTCCCAAGGTGTTGGGATTACAGGCATGAGCCATCACGCCTGGCCAGAATGTATTTACATTTTTTTTTTTTCAGATGGGGCCTTACTCTGTCACCCAGACTGGAGTGCAGTGGTGCAATCATGGCTCACTGCAGCCTCGAACTCCTGGCTCAAGCAATCCTCCCACCTCAGCCTCCCAAGTAGCTGGGACTTCAGGTGCACACCACCAAGCCTGGCTAATTTTTTTTTTTTTTTTTTGAGATGGAGTTTTGGTCTTGTTGCCCAGGCTGTAGTGCAATGGCATGATCTTGGCTCACTGCAACTTCTGCCTCCTGGGTTCAAGCAATTCTTCTGCCTCAGCTTCCCGAGTAGCTGGGATTACAGGCACCCACCACCACACCTGGCTAATTTTGTATTTTTTAGTAGAGATAGGGTTTCTCCAGATTGGTCAGGCTGGTCTCGAACTCCCAACCTCAGGTGACCCGCCCACCTCGGCCTTTCAAAGGGCTGGGATTACAGGTGTGAGCCACCGTGCCCGGCCTTAATTTTTGTATTTTTAGTAGTCCTGATCTCAAGTGATCTGCCCACCTCAGCCTCCCATGCTGGGATTACAGGCATGAGCCACTGTGCCCAGCTCAATCTTCCTTTTAATATGCCCAGACACACCAGGTATGTGGCTGCATTTCATCCTGGCCTGCTGAAGCCTTTGATTCTACTGCATGAATCACGACTCTTGCTCTCCAGCCCTTTTGCATAGCTTTTTGCTATCTGCTCTTTGTGTGTCATGGAGCAGCAGCCTCCCTCCTGGCATAGAGCAGGCCCTGCAGAAGAGCTCCCTGTCCCAGCAGATCTCCTCGCCACTTTATGCAAAAATGACACTGTGAGTCTCCCAGTTTGAGAACCATCTATTCCCCTGGATGAACAAACCCTTAAGAGTCTCTTCTTTCTTGCTGCTTTCAACCAAACCAAGCCTAATTTTTTTTTTTTTTTTGAGACAGAGTCTCACCGTGTCGCCCAGGCTGGAGTGTTGTGGTGCCATCTCAGCTCAATGCAGCCTCCACCTCCCGGGTTCAACTGATTCTTCTGCCTCAGTCTCCTGATGACAGGGAGATTACAGCTGGGATTACAGGCATGAGCCACCACGCCTGGCTAATTTTTGTATTTTTAGTAGAGATGGGATCTCGCCATGTTGGCCAGGCTGGTCTTGAACTCCTGACCTCAAGTGATCTGCCTGCCTTGGCCTCCCAAAGTGCTGGGATTACAGGCATGAGCCATCGTGCCCAACCATAAACCAAGCCTAAATGTATGCTATTACAGTAACACAGAAGTAACAAACACAAAATGGAAATAGGATCCTCCCATTCCCTGTTTTGTTTTTTTATTTTTTTGAGGAGGGGTCTTGCTCTGTTACCCAGGCTGGAGTGCAGTGGTGCAATCATAGCTCACTGGAGCCTCCAAACCCCTCCTGGGCTTAAGTGATCCTCCCACCTCAGCCTCCTGAGTAGCTGAGATTACAGGTGTGCACCACCATGCCCAGCTAATTTAAAAGTTTTTTGTAGAGATGGGGTCTTGTTATGTTGCCCATGCTAGTCTTGAACTCCTGGCCTCAAGTGATTCTTCTGCTTCAGCCTCCTGAGTAGCTGAGACTACAGGCATGTGCTGCTACACTAGAGCTTATAAAATTTTTTTTGTAGTGACACAGTCTTGCTATGTTGCCCGGGCTGGTCTTGAACTCCTGGGCTTAAGCAATCCTCCCACCTCAGCTTCCCAAAGTGCTGGGATTACAGGCATGAACCACTGTTCCTGAAATCCCCCGACCACATTTTTACTCAATAACTGCCACCGCCTTCTCCAAAGGGACATTTTATCCTAGCTGGGCACACAGAGTGTATCCATGGGTGCTGCCCTGGGACCTCACTGGCAAAAACACAACATGCTCAAGGAAACAGAAAGAGCCTGGAGAAGCCACTGCCAGACTTTCCCATCCTGGGACAATGGGGCATTGCCACCAGCCCCTGGCCCAGGACACCAACACACCAGCCTGGAGAACCTGTGAGCTGATGGGACATTCCCATTCTGCATCTGGGCAAACTGAACACTGCTCTCCTGAGACTGTGAGAGGGGTCAGCTCGGTGGCTTTGGGTCTGACAGGCCTGAGAAGCCTCACATCTGCCAACTGCAGCCAAACCCATCTAACACCTTGCTGTCAAAGAAAAAAAAAAAAAGAGAGAGAGAGAAAAGAAAGGCCTGGTGTGGTGGCTCATGCCTATAATCCCAGCAATTTGGGAAGCTGAGGTGGCAGGATCACTTGAGGTCAGTAGTTCAAGACCAGCCTGGCCAATATGGTGAAACCCTATCTCAGCTAAAAATACAAAAATTAGCTGGGAGTGGTGGTGGGCACCTGTAGTCTCAGCTACTCGAGAGGCTGAGTCAGGAGAATCACTTGAACCCAGGAGGCTGTGGTTGCAGTGAGCCAAGATCGTACCACTGCACTCCAGCCTGGGAGACAGAGTGACACTCTGTCTAAAGGAAAAAAGAAATAGTGGCCAGGCGCGGTGGCTCACGCCTGTAATCACTTTGGGAGGCCCAGGCAGGAGATGGCTTGAGTCCAGGAGTTTGAGAACAGTCTGGGCAATGTGGCCAGACCCTATCTCTAAAAAAATAAAATCAATCAATCAATTAATCAAAAAATTAGCTGGGTATGGTGGCACACACCTGTGGTCCCAGCTATTCGGGTGGCTGAGGCACAAGAATCGCTTGATGGTGATTTGGTGCTGCTCCTGCCCCGGGTGCTGAGCAGTCCTGGTGCTGTCTCCCATGGACCTAGCTGGGCCTTACCTCTTGATGACAAACTGGATGCTGTTGCTGGCCTCCAGAATCTTCCAGAGCTTGGCGATCCCGAAGCAGTTGGGCCTGCGGAGGGAGATGCCTTCAGACAACCCCACCACAAACAGCTCCTCCGGGTGCATCAGAAACTTGGAGTACGGCATCTTGACTGGTTCCAAGATGCCAATGGCCTTGGCTGCAGAGACATGGCTGCAGAGACATGGCCACCCGGTGCCATGGGGCCAGGAGCCTCAACCCCTGTGTCCCATGCCTGTGTAGGGGGCAAAGCTGCCAGAGCCCTTTTGAGGGCCTGCCAGCCTTCCTGGGAGGTGGAAAGAGTAGCTCCCCAGCCTGCAGGAAAGGAACCTGGAGCTCAGAGGGGACATGACTTGTCTGAGGTCACAGAGCCACTGAACGACAGAGCCAGGGGATAAGAACTCAACCCAGGGTTACCCCAAGGCCCACACTGGGTCCATGCCCTCATGCCCAGGCAGCACAGAAGCCACCGCTAATGGCTGCTGAGATTCGGCATTGCTTCCCCCTGAGTCCCTTCAGCCTCACCCTTCCAGTAAGGCCCCCCGAGTGTTCCTCCTGCCACCATAAGCAACCCCACACGCTGGTGTGGCCCAACACCACACCTTGAAATGAGCCTGATCTCTGCCACTGAGTAGTGTGGGGCCTTGGACGAGTCACACCCTTTACCAAGCCTCAGTTCTCCTCAGCTGTAAAGTGGGTCTTAGGACACGGGGATTTTGTGAGATGGGATACAAGAACACGGGGGCTGGACACGGTGGCTCATGCCTGTCATCCCTGCACTTTGGGAGGCCGAGGTGGTGGATCACTTAAGGTCAGGAGTTCAAGACCAGCCTGGCAACACAGTGAAGCCCTGTCTCTATTAAAAATACAAAAATTAGCCAGGCATGGTGGCGGGTACCTGTAATCCCAGCTACTCGGGAGGGTGAGGCAGGATAATTGCTTGAACCTGGGAGGCAGAGGTTGCAGTGATCCGACACTGTGCCACTGCATTCCAGCCTGGGTGATACAGTGAGACTTGGTGTCAAAAAAAAAAAAAAAAAAAGTGGGGAAGCACCTAGCCCCATGCCCAGCAGCAACCACTGAGGTTATCTTATCTTATTCTTTTTTTTTAAGGAGGGCCCCAGCTCCTCCCTTCCCTTGTCCCTGCCCTTGTCCCTGCCCAGAGAGCAGCTGGGATGGGAGCTGGCAAGGGGATGGGTCCAAAGCCCTTCTGCAAACAGGGCAGCTGGAGGGGGGCTGGGATGCCCCCAGACCCTGTCCCACTTCTTGCTCACCATATCATCTGTTGAAGAGCAGCTCCACCTGCTTCCGCAGGGGCTGGATCACGTCACCTTGACTGTCTGGAAGGCAAAAGGCAGTCTGTTGAGGCTCTTTGGTGGCAGCTTCTAGGCTGATGTTCCTGCTCTGCTGGTACCAAGATTGGCCCTGTGGTGGGATCTTGGAATGGGGGAAGGCTGGGGTGGTGGCGGTGGGCAACTTGAATTTCCTCAGAAATGGCACACGCAGACAGGTCCACAATTCCTGGGCTCACATCCTTGTTTGTGAAATCAAATCTAGGGCATCACCAGCCTGAATGAAGATTTGGAAGGTTCTGTGGACTAGGAGTGACCATGGGTCTTTCTAGGTATGTGACTGAGTATAGTATGTGACTGAGAACTACTGGGTACACACTAAGCCTGCAAATTGAGTACGCCGCCACCAGGTGGCAGTGGAACTGTGTTAAGACTTCATGGTTTCTCCTGCCAGGCTGGTTTTGGGGAAGTGACAGTTCTCTCCTCTGACACTCACTCATTCCATTCCAGGATACTCCAGAGGTAAGACAGACTCACCCTCATGCTGGCCTCCCTCTCTCTCTGTCCTACTTCCATTCTCAGCAGGGAGGGAATTCTCACCTTCCTGAGAATGGGTGTGTCTGCTGGACACAAAGCCAATTTTGTGCTTTCAGGCCTCTATTCTACTTGTTCAGATAGAGGAGGCTCAGTTCCCAGTCTTAAAACCTTTGTGGAAAGCAGCAGGGTGTGTAATAAAAACAAAGCCTTGTAATTTCCCTTAGCAGTGGGAACTGCTCCTAGCTCTGACCAGGTACCTCATGTATACAACACCAACACCCATGCCCTGGAATGAGCCTGATCTCCCACTGAGTGGTGTGGGGCCTTGGATGAGTCACACCCCTTTATCAGGCCTCAGTACTCCTCATCTGTAAAGTAGGTCTTAGGACATGGGGATTTTGTGAGATGGGATACAAGAACATGGGGGGCTGGGCATGGTGGCTCATGCCTATAATCCCTGTACTTTGGGAGGCCGAGGTGGGCGAATCGCTTGAGGTCAGGAGTTCAAGACCAGCCTGGCCAACACGGTGAAGCCCTGTTTCTATTAGACATACAAAAATTAGGCAGGCGTGGTGGCAGGCGCCTGTAATCCCAGCTACTTGGGAAGCTGAGACAGGAGAATCGCCAGAACCTGGGAGGTGGAGGTTGCAGCGAGGTCGTGCCACTGCACTCCAGCCGGGGCAACAGGGTGAGATTCTGTCTAAAAAAAAAACACAGTTGAGAACACGGGACAATTTGTTTAAAATAGTCATCACATGAGTTAGCACATAGAAAAAAACATACAAAGGATAGGTACTAGGAATATTAGTGGTTGCCTTAGGAGGATGTGATTGGAGCTTTCCTTCATGTGTTACATAGTTGTTGGTTTTGTTTTGTTTCAAGAGACAGGGTCTTGCTCTGCTGCCCAGGCTGGAGTGCAGTGGTGCAATCACAGCCCACTGCAGCCTCAACCTCTTGGGCTCAAGCGATTCTCCCACCTCAACCTCCTGGAGAGCTGGGACTATAGGTATGTACCACCACATCCAGTTAATTGTTTTATTTTTTGTAGAGATGGGGTCTTGCTATGCTGCCCAGGCTGATTGTAAACTCCTGGGATCAAGCGATCCACCCACCTCAGTCTCCTCAGTAGCTGGAACTAGAGGCATGCACCACCACGGTTGGCTACTTTTTAAAATTTTTTGTAGAGAAAGGGTTTTGCCATGTTGCCCAAGCTGGTCTCGAACTCCTAGGCTCAAGAGATCGTCCCATGTTGGCCTCCCAAAGTGCTAGGATTACAGACATGAGCCACTGCACCTGCTCAATGTGTTACACAGTTCTATATCATTTAACTGTTTCATATCATACATGTGTAAACAGAAAAAGCATACACATGCAAAATCCTTTAATCCACGGTGGTCCTGGACATCTCAGAATTTTCTTTTTTGTTGTTTTGTTCTTTTTGAAACAGAGTCTCACTCTATCACCCAGGCTGGAGTGCAGTGGTGCAGTCTGAGCTCACTGCTCCCTCTGCCTCCTGGGTTCAAGCGATTCTCCAGCCTCAGCCTCTCGATTACCTGGGATTACAGGCGTGCACCACCAACAGAATTTTCTTTTTCTTTTTTCTAGATGGAGTTTCGCTCTTGTCACCCGGGCTGGAGTGCAATGGTGCGATCTTGGCTCACTGCAACCTCCGCCTCCTGTGTTCAAATGATTCTCCTGCCTCAGCCTCCTAAACAGCTGGGATTACAGGTGCGCACCACCATGCCTGGTTAATTTTGTATTTTTAGTAGAGATGGGGGTTTTGCCATGTTGGCAAGGCTGGTCTCGAACTCCTAACCTCAGGTAATCCACCTACGTCAGCCTCGCAAAGTGCTGGGATTATAGGCATGAGCTACCAAGCCCAGCCAGAATTTTCTTAATTCATCAGGTTTGACTGGGGTGTCTGGGAAGGAGCTCTGCATGGGAAACATGTGTTCCAGCCCAAGGCTGTATGACCTTGGGGAGGTGGCTGAGTCTGAACCTGGCTAAGCCTGTGTTCTGCTCTGTGAAACAAACAGCAGTGGTGCTATGCTCATCCAAGACCCCCAGCCCCTGCAGTGCCACCCAGCCTCTGGCTGTTGAGTGCTGCATGGAGGCTTTCACGGTGTTTTCTTTTTCTTTCTTTTTTTTTTTTTTGAGACGGAGTCTCGCTCTGTTGCCCAGGCTGAGGTGCAGTGGCGCGATCTCGGCTAACTGCAAGCTCCACCTCCCGGGTTCACACCATTCTCCTGCCTCAGCCTCCCAAGTACCTGGGACTACAGGTGCTCGCCTCCACGGCTGGCTAAGTTTTTGTATTTTTAGTAGAGATGGGGTTTCACCGGGTTAGCCAGGATGGTCTCGATCTCCTGACCTCATGATCCGCCCACCTCGTCCTCCCAAAGTGCTGGGATTACAGGTGTGAGCCACCGCGCCTGGCTTCCACGGTGTTTTCTAACGCCGCAGCGAAACCCATCCGTGTGCCACGTCAATTCCTTAGCCGCCATGCCATGCTGTCATCTCAGCCTGAGCTTGGCGTCAACCAAACTCTCTGGATAGCTACACCACAGACTGCTGTCAAGTCTAGTCATGCCCAGTGTGTGCTGGACAAAGCATATTTTTTTCTTCATTACCAAAGTATTAGAAGTGCATCATAACTGATTTAGAAAATAAAAAACACAAATCATTTTGCCTAACACTGCTACTGTTTTGCTATACCGTTGTTCTTCCCCAGTGATTATGTTTGCAACACAGTTGTAAGAAAAGCACAATCAATTTTTCTTCTTTTTCTTAATGTTACATCCTAAGCATCCTTCCTTGTTGCCTATTTTTGTTTGTTTCTTTCTTTGTTTTTGAGATAGAGTTT
This sequence comes from Homo sapiens, assembly GCF_000001405.40. Taxonomy (NCBI): domain Eukaryota; kingdom Metazoa; phylum Chordata; class Mammalia; order Primates; family Hominidae; genus Homo; species Homo sapiens. Next base: position 66,828,711 of record NC_000007.14, read on the forward strand.
CACTCTGTTGACCTGGCTGGAGTGCAGTGGCGCGATCTTGGCTGCAAACTCCGCCTCCCAAGGTTCAAGAGGTTTTCCTGCCTCAGTGTCCCAAGTAGCTGGGACTGCAGGTGCCTGCCACCATGCCTAGCTAATGTTTTTGGTCTTTTTAGCAGAGATGGGGTTTCAATAGGTTGGCCAGGCTGATCTTGAACTCCTGGACTCAGGTGATCTGCCCGCTTCGGCCTCCCAAAGTGCTGGGATTACGCAGTCTTCAGTCTTCATGCCCAGCCTATTTTTGTTTTTTTGAGATGGTGTCTTGCTGTGGCTCCCAGACTGGAGTGCAGTGGCACCATCATAGCTGACTGCAGGCTCCAACTCCTGGGCTCAATGGATCCTCCTGCCTCAGCCTCCTGAGTAGATGGGACTAAACATAGGTCCCACCGTGCCTGTCTAATTTTTATCTATCTATGTATCTAGTATCTATCTCTCTATCTGTTAATTTTGAGGCAGAGTTTCACTCTGTCGTCCAGGCTGTAGTGCAATGGCAAAATCTTGGCTCACTGCAACCTCTGCCTCCTGGGTTCAAGTGATTCTCCTGCCTCAGCCTCCTGAGTAGCTGGGATTACAGGCATGTGCCACCACGCCCAGCTAATTTTTGTATTTTTAATAGAGACGGGGTTTCACCATGCTGGCCAGGCTGTTTTTCAACTCCTGACCTCAAGCGATCTGCCCGCCTCAGCCTTCCAAAGTGGTGAATTACAGGTGTGAGCCAATGCGCCTGACCTACTTATTTATTTTAAGACAGGGTCTTGCTCAGTGGCACCATCACAGCTCACCACAGCCTTAACCTCCTGGGCTCAATCAATCCTCCCACCTCAGCCTCCCAAGTAGCTGGGACTACAGATACGGACCATCACGCCCAACTAATTTTTGTACTTTTTGTGGAGATAGGGTTTCACCATGTTGCCCAGGCTAGCCTCAAGCTCCTGGGCTGAAGTGATCCTCCTGCTTTGGCCTCCCAAAGTGTTGAGATTATAGGTGCGAGCCACTGCATCAGCCAATTAAAAAAAATTCTTCAGTAGAGATAGGGACTTGCTATGTTGCTGACTGGTCTTGAACTCCTGGCCTCAAGCAGTCCCCTCGCCTTGGCCTCCCAAAGTGTTGGAATTACAGGCATGAGCCACCTTGCCCTGCCTATTTTACTTATTTGCTTACTGCTTATCTCTCCACACGAGGATGTGTACCCCAGGAGGTGGGGACATCTGTTTGGTCTACTGCTTTTTCCCCAGCCCCTTACACAGGACCTAGTACACAGTAGGTGCTCAATAAATATTTGTTGAGGCAGGGCATGGTGGCTCACGCCTGTAATCCCAGCACTTTGGGAGGCTGAGGCAGGAGGATTATTTGAGGTCAGGAGTTTGAGACCTGTCTGGTCATCATGGTGAAACCCCATGTCTACTAAAAATACAAAAAAATCAGCCAGCTGTGGTGGCGGGCACCTGTAATCCTAGCTACTCAGGAGATTGAGGTAGGAGAACTGGTGGAACCCAGGAGGCGGAGGTTGCAGTGAGCTGAGATTGCGCCACTGCACTCCAGCCTGGGCGACAGAGTGAGGATCCATGTCAAAAAATTTAAGAGATGGGTCTCTGTATGTTCCCCAGGCTGATCTTGAACTCCCTGCCTCAAATAATCCCCTCGCCTTGGCTTCCCAAAGTGTTGGGATTACAAGCATGAGCCACCTTAGCCTGCCTATTTTACTTATTTGCTTACGATCCATCTATCTTTTCACATGAGGATGTGAACTCCAGGAGATGGGGACTTCTGCTTGCTTCACTGCTTCGTCTCCAGCCCCTTACATGGGACCAGGTACACAATAGACGCTCAATAAATAGTTGTTGGATAAATGGACAAATTAATCCCAATAGGTGGCTCCTGGGAAGGATGCTGGGCCTTGTTATAAATGGAGCCTATGGTCGGGCGTAGTGGCTCGGGCCTGCAATCCCAGCACTTTGGGAGGCTGAGGCAGGTGGATCACCTGAGGTCAGGAGGTCGAGACCAGCCTGACTGACATGGCGAAAGCCCCTCTCTACTAAAAATACAAAATTAGCCATGCGTGGTGGCATGTGCCTGTAATCCCAGCTACTCAGGAGGCTGAGGCAGGAGAATCGCTTGAACACAGGAGGCAGAAGGTGCGGTAAGCCGAGATCGTGCCCCTGCACTCCAGCCTGGGCAGCAAGAGTGAAACTCCATCTCAAACAAAAAAAAAATAGGGAAACACACAAAGACGAAATGAAATGCCCAAGGTCTCTAAATAAATAAATAGAGCCTACTTGAGGTTTCCAAAAGGAACCCAGCCTTGGACTGGGGTCAGGCATATATTGGGTTTCCTCTACTAGAGGCGGTCAACACCAAGAAAAGCCTGAGGCCTGCCTGGCCCACCCCTTTCCCTTTGCTCCCTGGGGAGACGGGTCCCAAGAACCACCAGCCCAGCTCCATTTCTTACGTGTCAGCATCTCCATCCCACAATCAGAATCCTCAGATGGCAGGTGCCCAGGCATCGAGTCTGTCATTTCCTCAGAGGTTGGCGAGGGGTCTGAAGACAAAACTCCAAATGACATGGGTGTCTTCTGCCTGTCATACTCCTGTCACAGTCCCTCAGGGACCACCCAGCCCAGTCTCCCCAGAGACAAGGGTCCTTTTCTTTCTCTTTTTTTATTTTTGTTCGAGATGGAGTCTCACTCTGTCGCCCAGGCTGGAGTGCAGTGGTGCCACCTCGGTTCACTGTAACCTCCGCCTCCCAGGTTCAAGCGATTCTCCTGCCTCAGCCTCCTGAGTAGCTGGGATTACAGGCATGAGCCATCATACCTGGCTAATTTTTGTATTTTTAGTAGAGATGGGGTTTCACCATGTTGGCCAGGCTGGTCTCGAACTCTTGACCTCAGGTGATCCGCCCGCCTCAGCCTCCGAAAGTGCTGGGATTATAGGCGTGAGCCACTGCACCTGGCCATTTCTTTTTTTTGAGACAGGGTCTTCCTCTGGTTGCCCAGGCTGCAGTGCAGTGGTGTGATCACAGCTCACTGCAGCCTCCAACTCTTGGGCTCAAGTGATTCTCCTGCCTCAGCCTCCTGAGAAGCTGCACTGACAGTCACACACCACCACATTTGGCTAATGTTTTGTATTTTTTGTAGAGATGGGGGGTCTTTTTATGTTGCCCAGTCTGGTCTTGAACTCCTGGCCTCAAGCAATCCTCCCATGTCAGCCACCCAAAATGCCGGGATTACAAGTATGAGCCACTGCGTCCGGCACCCTCTTGGCTTCTGACAGTCACCCCATACTGAGGCTCCAGTGCCCAAATCTACCCTCTCCTCTGAAGATGTGGAAAATGAGGCTTGGCAGGGGGTAGGGTCCAACTTGGAGCCTCTCAGGCTTATGCCTTTTTCTTCTCTCCAGCCTCACAAATCCCAGGGAAGCCAAGCCAGGGAGGTGATGTTTGAGGGGATCTTCTGGAACGTCAGAGCTAAGAACACTGGTTCACAATGCAGGGGGCAGATGTGGCCAGAGAAAGAATTCACAATACCCAGGTGGGCCTCAGAATCCATGGAGAGAAACAGTGGCCTGGAGGCCTCTTCTTCACCAGGGCAGACCCTCAGGAGGCTTATGTTACGGTCCTCATTTCTGCAGGGGGTGGTCAGATGTCCGTCGCTTACTTGGGACAGTGACCGCAATGATGTCCAGATCCTCTGGCTCAATTTTGATTGGCTTCAGCCAACCCAGCTCCCCGGAGGTTCCTGCAAGGAGGAAAAGAAGGATCTGGTCAAGTCTGGCAAGAGCCTGACCAGGCAGAGTGAGTCTTTCCAGAACATTCTGGTGTCTGTAACTTGTTAGTGAGGACCTACCTAGGACAAGTCATGTCACTCCCCTGGCTTCTGCCCAGACCGGAACTGGAGGTCAGGGGGCCCTCAGGCCAGGCTTAGGGGCTCCAATTTACAGACCCGGTAACTGAGGCCCCCCAGAGGGGAGGCTGCTGGTTCAAGAGCCTGCAGCCTGGGTCTGGGCATTGACAGGAGGCAGTGGTGATGCCAGCACCTAGCTCTCCATGTCCCCACCCCAGTAAGCTCCCAGTATGCCTTGCACCTCGGCGCTGCAAGGCCTGGGAGATGCAGGTGGGCAGAGGAGGCTCATTAGCACTCCAGGCTCATGGGCTGAGTTGAGCTCCTCCTCAAAGCTGCGGGTAGGGCTGGTGATTGCCCTCCCGGCCCATGACACACACAGTGGGCCCTGGTCCTTCTCACCTGGCCCACAGTCTTCAGACATGCCGCCCTTGTCTGACCTATGAAGGGAAGCAGGAAATGACACCTGTCAGCCAAGTCCAGGGCCACCCTGCCCCAGCCTTGCCCCTCCAGGCCGTCGGGGCCCCCCGCGGTTGCCACTGCAGAAGGCATCCCTGCCCTCATCACCCCCTGGCCCTCCAGGATGGTGCTCCCCACCTCCACCAGGGAGAGAGATTCCCCGTGCCCTGTCTCCAGGGACCACAATCTCCAGGGGTGGCCAAGCCAGGCATCTGCTCACTGTCCTGGGGTGAGCATCTGGGGATCCCCCTTCCTCACCATCTGTGAGCTCTGGGGCTCCTGGCTTGGCACAGTAGGGGTGTGATCACTGCTTATGGGGGACTGAGACCTGCAGGGCCTGGAAAGTGTTAAGAATCTGGGGAGGGGGCTGGGGAATGAAGGTGGCAGGAACCCTGAGACAGATGATTTGGTTAATTCCCTCCCTCCCAGAGAACTGCAGGGAGAGGCCTGATATGATGTGGGGATTCTGGGATGAACAGCCCACCTCTGCCTTAAGAGGTCACAATGTGCTTGGGGGGTGTTGGTGGATGGTAGCCAAGCTGACTGCTGGGGGCGGGGTCTGGTGGGCACTCAGGTCAGGCATCGAACCTGGTGTTGGTATGTATGTATGCATGTATGTATATATGTATATGTATATATGCATCCATGTATTTTTTTTTTTTGGGGACAGAATCTTGCTCTGTTGCCCAGGCAGGAGTGCAGTGGCACGATCTTGGCTCACTGCAACCTCCGATTCTGGGGATCAAGCGATTCTCCTGCCTCAACCTCCTGAGTGGCTGGGACTACAGGCATGCGCCATCATACCCAGCTAATTATTTTTGTATTTTTAGTAGAGACGGGGTTTCGTCATGTTGGCCAGGTTGGTTTCGAATTCCTGACCTCAGGTGATCTGCGTGCCTCAGCCTCCCAAAGTGCTGGGATTACAGGCGTGAGCCATCGTGCCCGGCCACATGTTTGTATTTTTGAGACAAGGTCTTACTCTGTTGTCCAGGCTGGAGTGCAGTAGTGCGATCACAGCTCACTGCAGCCTTGACCTCCCAGGCTCAAGCAATCCTCCCACCTCAGCCTCCCAAGTAGCTGGGATCACAGGTAGCAGCCACCACGCCCAGCTAACTTTTTATGTTTTGTAGAGACAAGGGTCTCACTGTGTTGCCTAGGCTGGTCTCAAACTCCAGGGGTCAAGAGATCCACCCACCTTGGCCTCCCAAAGTGCTGGGATTACAGGAATGAGCCACCAAGCCCAGCCTGGTGTGGGCATGTATTTATTTTGAGACAGAGTCTCGCTCTGTCACCCACCCAGGCTGGAGTGCAGTGGCACAATCTCAGCTCACTGCAACCTCTGCCTCTTGGGTTCAAGCGATTCTCCTGCCTCAGCCACCTGAGAAGCTGGGATTACAGGTGCCTGCCACCATGCCCAGCTAATTTTTTATATTTTTAGTAGAGATGGGGTTTCACCATGTTGGTCAGGCTGGTCTCAAACTCCTGAACTCAGGTGATCCACCCACCTCAAACTCCCAAAGGGCTGGCATTACAGGTATAAGCCACCGTGCCTGGCCTTTATTTTCATTTAATGAGAACCTCAGCCAGGCGCAGTGGCTCAGTCCTGTTATCCCAGCCTTTTGGGAGGCCGAGGCAGGAGGATCACTTGAGGCCACGAGTTCAAGACCAACCTGGACAACACAGTGAGACCTCTGTCTCTGTTAAAAAAAAAAAATAGAGACAATCACATTGAGGGCATACAGGAAATGGAACTAAGATATATTTTGGCTTTGTAAATCAGTGTTTTCACATGCTGGTTTTGTTAGATTTATTTTTCCACCAGTGAAAACATTTTTTGAACACAAATTTCTTTTCCAACTAAACAATTTGTAAGTAAAGTTCATTCAAATGTGTGTTGAAACATTTAATGTTTGTCTTCTGAAGTTTATCTTTATGTACATCAAGATATTGGTTGTCTTGTTTTAAATGTATCATTGGATATCACACATTATATTAGTTGTTTAATAAGGGTAATGCCCATCTAGGAATGAATAGTTTTTTTAAATCAAAAACAAGAAGACAAATGACAAACTCCATGTGGCAGATAAAAGGTTAATGAGCTTCACATATAAAGAACTTCTTCAAATAAGTAAAGAAAAAAACATTTAGGCCAGGCGCGGAGGCTCATGCCTGTAATCCCAGCACTTCGGGAGGCCGAGGTGGGCGGATCATGAGGGCAGGATATCAAGACCATCCTGGCTAACACGGTGAAACCCTGTCTCTACTAAAAATACATAAAATTAGCCAGGCGTGGTGGCAGGCACCTGTAGTCCCAGCTACTCAGGAAACTGAGGCAAGAGAATGGCGTGAACCCAGGAGGCAGAGCTTGCGGTGAGCCGAGATCGTGCCACTGCACTACAGCCTGGGCGACAGAGTGAGACTCCATCTCAAGAAAAAAAAGAAGAAGAAACATTTAAAACATTAAATAATGCACCAAGGACATGAATGAACAATTCACCATTTAGACATACAAAGGGCCAACAAGGGATGACAAATATTCATCTTCATTAGTAATAAATGTCACTTGAAATTTGTCAAGTTGTCAAAAATGAAAAATTTAGTTTTGGGGTTATTTTTGGAAATCAGGTCTCACTATGTTGCCCAGGCTGGTCTCAAACTCCTGAGCTCAAACAATACTCCCACCTTGGCCTCCCAAAGTGCTGGGATTATAGATGTGAGCCACCACACATGGCCAAGATAAAAATTTAGGATTGCATTTTTGCATTTTATGCCTATGAGCGTACAGAAAGATGTACCTCCCTGAGAAGCAAAAATTGTAACATTTCCAGAGAGCAACTCAGTACAGTGTGTCATGAGCCTTAAAAACCTTTTTAGGCTGGGAGCAGTGGTGGCTCATGCCTGTAATCCCAGCACTTTGGGAGGCTGAGGCAGGAGGACCACTTGAGCTCAGGAGTTCAAGACCAGCCTGGGCAATATAGCAAGACCTCATCTCTACAACACCAACACCCACACCTTGGAATGAGCCTGATCTCTGCCACTGAGTGGGGTGGGGCCTTGGATGAGTCACACTCCTTTACGAGGCCTCAGTGCTCCTCACCTGTAAAGTGGGTCTTAGGACATGGGGATTTTGTGAGGTGGGATAGAAGAATACAGGGGGCTGGGCACGGTGGCTCATGCCTGTCATCCCTGCACTTTGGGAGGCAGAGGTGGGAGGATCGCTTAAGGTCAGGAGTTCAAGACCAGCCTGGCCGACATGGTGAAGCCCTGTCTCTATTAAACATACAAAAATTAGCCGGGTGTGGTGGCAAGCGCCTGCAATCCCAGCTACTCGGGAGGGTGAGGCAGGAGAATCACTGGAACCTGGGAGGCGGAGGTTGCAGTGAGCCGACATTGTGCTACTGCACTCCAGTCTGGGCCACAGAGTCAGACTCTGTCTAAAAAAAACAAAACAAAACAAAACAAAAAAACACGGGGAAGCACCTAGCCTCATGCCTGGCACACCACTAAGGTTATCTTATCTTATTCTCTTTTTTTAAAGGAGGGTCCCAGCTCCTCCCTTCCCTCCCTCCCTTGTCCCTGCCCAGAGAGCAGCTGGGATGGGAGCTGGCAAGGGGATGGGTCCAAAGCCCTTCTGCAAACAGGGCCACTGGAGGGGGCTGGGATGCCCCCAACCCTGTCCCACTTCTTGCTCACCGTATCTTGTGTTGAAGAGCAGCTCCACCTGCTTCCACAGGGGCCGGATCACGTCACCTTGACTGTCTGGAAGGCAAAAGGCAGTCTGTTGAGGCTCTTTGGTGGCAGCTTCTCGGCTGATGTTCCTGCTCTGCTGGTACCAAGATTGGCCTTGTGGTGGGATCTTGGAATGGGGGAAGGCTGGGGCTGGGGTGGTGGCAGTGGGCAACTTATTTCCTCAGAAATGGCACACGCAGACAGGTCCACAATTCCTGTGAGCCAGACAGTGCTCACATTCCTGTTAGTGAAATCAAATCTAGGGCATCACCAGCCTGAATGAAGATTTGGAAGGTTCTGTGGACTACGAGTGACCATGCATCTTTCTAGGTATGTGACTGAGTATAGTATGTGACTGAGAACTACTGGGTACACACTAAGCCTGCAAATTGAGCACACCGCCACCAGGTGGCAGTGGAACTGTGTTAAGACTTCATGGTTCCTCCTGCCGGGCTGGGTTTGGGAAGTGACAATTCTGTCCTCTGACACTCACTCATTCTATTCCAGGATACTCCAGAGGTGAAACAGACCCACCCTCACGCTGGCCTCCCTCTCTCTCTGTCCTACTTCCACTCTCAGCAGGGAGGGAATTCTCACGTTCCTGAGAATGGGTGTGTCTGCTGGACACAAAGCCAATTTTGTGCTTTCAGGCCTCTATTCTACTTGTTCAGATAGAGGAGGCTCAGTTCCCAGTCTTAAAACCTTTGTGGAAAGCAGCAAACAAAGTCTTGTAATTTCCCTTAGCAGTGGGAACCGCTTGCAGCTCTGACCAGGTACCTCCTGGTTCTAGAAGACATGTCCTTAAATCTCCTCCCACCTCAGGCAGCCCACAGGACTCCCACCCCCAAACCAGGGTGCTGGAGAGAGATGGGATGGAGAGAAGGAAGAGACCCAGAGGCCAAGGGTAGGTGGAGGGCAGGGGAGGAGACATGGGGTGGCGGTGGGCGTAAAACGTGGGGGATAGACAGTGCCTCACCCTCCACGGGCCTCTCCTCAGGCCGTGGGTCCTCACTCAGGCCTTTGTCTAAAAGAGAACAGAGGATGCCGGGAAGCCATGTTCATCATCTCCTAAGCCTTGCACTGCTGACGTCAGACCAGATAGCTGGGGAATGGAGGGCCAGGGGACCCCAACTCTGAAGCACGGCACCCACTCCAATGGGATCAGGGATCCAGATTCCATACAGGTGCCCACCCTGGCCTTCACACAGAAGCAGGCTGAGATCATTTTGCATGTACCTCCCAAGCTAGTCTGTTGTAGACACCGAGGACACATGGGAACAAGACAAAGTCCTCGGCCAGGCACGGTGGCTCATACTTGTCATCCCAGCACTTTGGGAGGCTGAGGCAGGAGGATCATTAGAGGTCAGGAGTTCGAGACCTGCCTGGTCATCATGGTGAAACCACATGTCTACTAAAAATACAAAAAAATTAGCCAGGCATGGTGGTGGGCACCTGTAATCCCAGCTACTCAGGAGGTTGAGGCAGGAGAACTGCTTGAACCCAGGAGGTGGAGGTTGCAGTGAGCTGAGATTGCGCCACTGCACTCCAGCCTGGGCGACAGAGTGAGGATCCATGTCAAAAAATTTAAGAGATGGGTCTCTGTATGTTGCCCAGGCTGATCTTGAACTCCCGGCCTCAAATAATCCCCTCGCCTTGGTTTCCCAAAGTGCTAGGATTACAAGCATGAGCCACCTTAACTTGCCTATTTTACTTATTTGCTTACTATCCATCTATCTCTTCACATGAGGATGTGAACTCCAGGAGGTGGGGACTTCAGGTTCACTGCTTTGTCTCCAGCCCCTTATATGGGACCAGGTACACAATAGATGCTCAATAAATAGTTGTTGGATAAATGGACAAATTAATCCCAATAGGTGGCTCCTGGGAAGGATGCTGAGCCTTGTTATAAATGGAGCCTACAGTCGTGTGTGGTGGCTCACACCTGCAATCCCAGCACTTTGGGAGGCTGAGGCAGGTGGATCACCTGAGGTCAGGAGGTCGAGATCAGCCTGAACAACATGGCGAAAGCCCGTCTATACGAAAACTAAAAAATTAGCCAGGCGTGATGGCGTGTGCCAGTAATCCCAGCTACTTAGGAGACTGAGGCAGGAGAATCGCTTGAACCAGGGAGGCACAGGTTGTGGTGAGCCAAGATCGCACCACTGCACTCCAACCTGGGCAACGAGAGTGAAACTCTGTCTCAAAATGTGTGTGTGTATATATATATGTGTGTGTATGTGTATATATATATATACGTATATATATGTATATATATGTATATATATGTATATATGTATATATATGTATATATATGTATATATATGTGTGTGTGTATATATATACGTATATATATGTATATATGTGTGTGTATATATGTGTATATATGTGTGTATATATGTGTGTATATATAATGTGTGTATATATATGTGTGTATATATATGTGTATGTATATATATGGGTATATATATGTGTGTGTATATATATGGGTACATATCTATATATCTATATATCTATATCTATATCTATATATAAACACACAAAGATGACGTGAAATGCCCAAGGTCTCTAAATAAATAAATAGAGCCTACTTGCCTACTTGAGGTTTCCAAAAGGAACCCAGCCTTGGATTGGGGTCAGGCATATATTGGATTACATCTACTAGAGCCGGTCAACACCAAGAAAAGCCTGAGGCCTGTCTGGCCCACCCCTTTCCCTTTGCTCCCTGGGGAGATGAGTCCCAAGCACCACCAGCCCAGCTCCATTTCTTACCTGTCAGCATCTCCATCCCACAATCAGAATCCTCCGATGGCAGGTGCCCAGCCATTGAGTCTGTCATTTCCTCAGAGGTTGGTGACGGGTCTGAAGACAAAACTCCAAATGACATGGGTGTCTTCTGCCTGTTGTACTCCTGTCACAGTCCCTCAGGGACCACCCAGCCCAGTCTCCCCACAGACAAGGGTCCTTTTCTTTCCCTTTTTTTTTTTTCATTTGAGATGGAGTCTCACTCTATTGCCCAGAGGAGGCTCATTAGCACTCCACTCTCATAGGCTGAGTTGAGCTCCTCCCCAAGGCTGGTGGTTGCCCTCCCTGCCCACGATACACACAGCGGGCCCTGTTCCTTCTCACCTGGCCCGCAGTCTTCACACATGCTGCCCTTGTCTGACCTGTGAAGGGAAGCAGCAAATGACACCTGTCAGCCAAGTCCAGGGCCACCCTGCCCCAGCCTTGCCCCTCCAGGCGGTCGGGGCCCACCGCGGTCGCCACAGCAGAAGGCATCCCTGTCCCCATCAGTCCCTGGCCCTCCAGGATGGTGCTCCCCACCTCCACCAGGGAGACAGATTCCCTGTGCTTTATCTCCAGGGACCACAATCTCCAGGGGTGGCCAAGCCAGGCACCTGCTCACTGTCCTGGGGTGAACCATCTGGGGATCCCCCTTCCTCACCATCTGTGAGCTCTGGGGCTCCTGGCTTGGCACAGTAGGGGTTTGATCACTGCTTGTGGGGGACTGAGACCTGCAGGGCCTGGAAAGTGTTAAGAATCTGGGGAGGGGGCTGGGGAATGAAGGTGGCAGGAACCCTGGGACAGATGATTTGGTTAATTCCCACCCACCCAGGGAGCTGCAGGGAGAGGCCTGATATGATGTGGGGATTCTGGGATAAACAGCCCACCTCTGCCCCTAAGAGGTCAGAACACATGCTTGGGGGGTGTTGGTGGATGGTAACCAAGCTGACTGCTGGGGGCAAGGTCTGGTGGGCACTCGGGACAGGCATCGAACCTGGTGTTGGTATGTGTTTACGCATGTAAGTGTATATATATATGCATTCATGTTTTTTTGTGTGTGTGTGGCACAATCTTGGCTCAATGCAACCTCTGCTCCGGGGTTCAAGCGATTCTCCTGCCTCAACCTCCTGAGTGGCTGGGACTGCAGGCATATGCCACCATACCCGGCTAATTATTTTTGTATTTTTAGTAGAGACGGGCTTTCGTCATGTTGGCCAGGTTGGTTTCAAACTCCTGACCTCAGGTGATCTGCGTGCCTCAGCCTCCCAAAGTGTTGGGATTACAGGCGTGAGCCATCGTGCCTGGCCACGTTTGTATTTTTGAGACAAGGTCTTAATCTGTTGTCCAGGCTGGAGTGCAGTGGTGCGATCATAGCTCACTGCAGCCTTGACCTCCCAGGCTCAAGCAATCCTCCCACCTCAGCCTCCTGAGTAGCTGGGACCACAGGTACCAGCCACCATGCCCAGCTAACTTTTTATGTTTTGTATAGACAAGGGTCTCACTATGTTGCCCAGGCTGGTCTCAAACTCCAGGGGTCAAGAGATCCACCCACCTCACCTTCCCAAAGTGCTGGGATTACAGGAATGAGCCACCAAGCCCAGCCTCGTGTGGGCGTGTATTTATTTTGAGACAGAGTCTCGCTCTGTCACCCACCCAGGCTGTAGTGCAGTGGCACAATCTCAGCTCACTGCAACCTCTGCCTCCTGGGTTCAAGCGATTCTCCTGCCTCAGCCTCCCGAGTAGCTGGGATTACAGGTGCCTGCCACCACGCCCAGCTAATTTTTTGTATTTTTAGTAGAGACGGTGTTTCACCATGTTGGTCAGGCTGGTCTCAAACTCCTGAACTCAGGTGATCCACCCACCTCAGACTCCCAAAGGGCTGGGATTACAGGTATAAGCCACTGCACCTGGCCTTTATTTTCATTTAATGAGAACCTCAGCCAGGCGCAGTGGCTCAGCCCTGTTATCCCAGCCTTTTGGGAGGCCAAGGCAGGAGGATCACTTGAGGCCAGGAGTTCAAGACCAATCTGAACAACATAGTGAGACCTTGGTCTCTGTTAAAAAAAAAAAAAAAATAGAGACGACCTCATTGAGGGCATACAGGAAATAAAACTAAGATATATTTTGGCTTTGTAAATCAGTGTTTTCACATACGGAATCGGCTGAACCTGGTAGGTGGAGGTTGGAGCGAAGTTGTGCTACTGCACTCCAGCCTGGGCAACAGGGTGAGATTCCGTCTCAAAAAAACAAACAAAAAAAATCCAGGTGAGAACACAGGACAATTTGTTTAAAATAGTCATCACATGAGTTAGCACATAGAAAAAAACATACAAAGGGTAGATACTAGGAATACTAGTGGTTGCCTGAGGAAGATGTGATTGCAGCTTTCCTTCATGTGTTACATAGTTTTTGGTATGTTTTGTTTTAAGAGACAGGGTCTTGCTCTGTTGCCCAGTGCAGTGGTGCAATCACAGCCCACTGCAGCCTCAACCTCTTGGGCTCAAGCAATTCTCCCGAATAGCTGGGACTACAGGTATATACCACCAAATCCAGTTAATTGTTTTATTTTTTGTAGAGATGGGGTCTTGCTATGCTGCCCAGGCTGGTTGTAAACTCCTGGGATCAAGCGATCCACCTGCCTCAGTCTCCTCAGTAGCTGGAACTAGAGGCGTGCACCACCACGGCTGGCTACTTTTTAAAATTTTTTGTAGAGAAAGGGTTTCGCCATGTTGCCCAAGCTGGTCTCGAATTCCTGGGCTCGAGTGATCCTCCCACATTGGCCTCCCAAAGTGCTAGGATTACAGACATGAGCCACTGCACCTGCTCCATGTGTTACACAGTTCTCTATCATTTAACTGTTTCATATCATACATGTGTAAACAGAAAAAGCACACACATGCAAAATCCTCTAATGTTTGCATTTTCTGTAGAGATGGAGTCTCACTATGTTGCCCAGGCTGATCTTAAACTGCTGGACTCAAGTGATCTGCCCACCTCGGCCTCCCAAAGTGTTGGGATTACAGGTATGAGCCACTGTGCCTGGCCCTAAGTATTTATTTTAAGCCACTAGGTCTGGAGTAATTTGTTACATAGCAGCAGATAAATAATACACATATTTTCTATAGTGATCACATTTATAATTCAAATTGAGTTTAAAAGGCTGGGAGCAGTGGCTCATGCCTGTAATCCTAGCACTTTAGGAGCTGTGTCATCTTTGGAAAGGTACTTGAACTCTCTGTGCCTTAGAATCCGTTTTCTAAAATGTGGGCGGGGCACAGTGGCTCATGCCTGTAATCCCAGCACTTTGGGAGGCCGAGTCGGGTGGATCATCTGAGGTCAGGAGTTCAAGACCAGCCTGGTCAACAAAGTGAAACCTGGTCTCTAGTAAAAACACAAAAATTAGCTGGGTGTGGTAGTGGGCACCTGTAATCCCAGCTACTGGGGAGGCTGAGGTTGGAGAATTGCTTGAACCCAGGAGGCAGAGGTTGCAGTGAGCCATGATCACGCCACTGCACTCCAGCCTGGATGACAGAGCAAGAATCTGTCTCGAAAACAAACAACAAAAAAGTGGATAGCAGCATCTACCTGGAAGAATTGTTGTGGGATCAACAGTGCAGAGAATCTAGCAAGTATAAAAGAAAAAAAAGTATCAGGACCCTCTATAAATTTATCATGCCAAGAGGGAAGTTACACCCTGACCGAGTCACATAGCATGTTTGTAACTTCTGCTTCTTAAATTATAATTTATTCCTTCCTTATTATTTTCATTCTGCAAATGACTATGAGAGACCAGAGACTAGTCGTCCTCTCCTTACAATCACTTATCTTTGTTACAGATTAACTGCCTCCTTTATTGTTCTGTACCTAACTCACACCAGATGGCACAAAAGACCCCATGACTTACATCTTCAGTGTAGAAGGTAAAATACACCTTTCCCGGAAAAAAGACCACCTCGTCTGGGTGCAGTCGCTCATGCCTGTAATCCCAGTACTTTGGGAGGCCGAAGTGAGAGGACTGCTTATGCCCAGGAATTTGAGACTGGCCTGGGCAATGTGGTGAAACCCTGTCTCTACAAAAAATACAAAAATTAGTCAGGTGTGTTGGTGCACGCCTGTAGTCCCAGCTCCTAGGGATGCCCAGGTGGGAGGATCGCTTGAGCCAGGGAGGCTGAGGCTGTAATGAGTTGCGATTGCACTACTGCACTCCAGCCTGGGTGACAGAGTGAAAGAAAGACCACCTGGACCAATCAGATTGTTTTAACTATGTATTAAGCCTTAAACGGAGAGATGCTGAAATTCTGCTAAGCTTCCCTAAACTTTGTCTATGCAAGTGATCCCAAACTTCTAAGCCTTGGAACACTGTCTTCCACTCTTGGGTATCTGTGCTTCCCAGGTGGCCCTCCTTAAACTCTGCATGAATAAACTCCCTTTAGATTCTGACCCTGTTGATTATTTGAGGTTGACACACTGTGCAATATACATCAGAATACCAATTTTTTTTTTTTTTAGACGGAGTCTCTCTCTCTGTCGCCCAGGCTGGAGTGCAGTGGCGCGATCTCGCCTCACTGCAACCTCCGCCTCCCGGGTTCAAGCAATTCTCTGCCTCTGCCTCAGTCTCCCAAGTAGCTGGTATTACAGGTGCCCGCTACCACGCCAGGCTAATTTTTGTATTTTTGGTAGAGACGGGGTTTCACCATGCTAGCCAGGATGGTCTTGAATTCCTGACCTCGTGATCCACCCGCCTCGGCCTCCCAAAGTGCTGGATTACAGGCGTGAACCACTGCGCCCGGCCCGATCGCTTATATTTTTAAAAAGATGTTTTCTGCGTTTCCTAGCCCCTTGTACCCCCGCTACAAAGTTCCAAAGGCTTTAATGTTGTTGCAACGGCCATCAGCTGTCAAGATGGGGGGTTCAGCTCCCTAAAGCGGGGCAGCCTCAGAGGGAGCCGAGCCTGCCCAGGATGAGCGGCGCCGGGCGGCGGGGGACGCTGCGGGGTCCCCGGTCCCTGGCTGGAGGAGGTGTTGGGGGGCGCACGTACCCAGCCTCAGGTGAGGCGAGTGTGCGGCAACGGCTGCAGCCGGAGCTAGCCGGCTTGCAGTGGCCATTAAGGAGCTTCTGCCCGACCTTCTGTTTGTGCCCGCCAGGCGACAACCGCTTGGTGTGCAGCGCCTGCTCGCTCAGCGTCAGGCCCTTGCTGCGCCCTACGCTGCAGGCTGGGAAGTCGCGCCGGTAGTAGTAGCACAGGCAGTGGGAAAGCTCCTCCTTGTAGCTTACTGGTGTTGGCCGCCGGGTCGGAGCCTGCGAACACTGACCGGCCGGCTGTGGCCACGCGTCTGCGCATGCGCGCTTCTGGACGACCCGGCAGCCGCTCCTCGAGTTCCGATTGGTTCCACATGAGGGGCGTGGCTCTCTGTCGTCACTGGGGAGCGCCTTCGCTGACGTCACAGGCGCGGGCCCTCGGCGACGCAATAGCGCCAGGCCTTCCGCGTCGTCAGAGTGACGGTACAGTGCCTGGAGCTGGGCTGTTTTGTCTTCAGAGTGGTGCCTGGTAACCGCGACTTCCCCGCCATGTTCTGTGTGTTGCTGGCTGGAGAAGGGTGGTTGACAAACTCTGACCCAGCACGGTGTTTCTGTGGGTCAAAACTAGAAAACTATATCCGGGCGCCGAGGTGAAAGGATCCCTTCAGGCCAGGAGTTAAAGAGCAGCCTAGGCAACGTGGCGCGACCCCATCTCTGTAGTCCCACCTCAGCTTCCCAGATACTTGAACCCCAAAGTTCAAGGCTGCAGTGAGCTATGATCCCATCACAGCACTCCAGCCTGCGAGACTGAGGTAAACCCTGTCTAAAAAAGTAAAAAAACTATCCAAGTGTGCAACAGGGAGGGACTGCTTAAAGAAAACAGAATTGTATGTTCAAATACTTTTAACAAGTGCAAAATGTATAGGCTGAAATAAATAGAGCTGGCCGAGCGCGTTTGCTCACGCCTGTAATGCCAACATTTTCGGTGCCCTAGGCAGGCCATCACTTGAAGTCAGGAACTCGAGGCCAGCCTGGCCAACATGGTGAAACCCCATGTCTACTAAAAATATAAAAATTAGGCCGGGCACCTTGCATCGTTTCAGGGGGCTGACACCTCCCTAAGGGCCCGGTAATTGAATCCCTCGGATTTGAGAGTGAGAAACCTTGGCTCAGTTCTTCCCAGGGGGATCAGCCCAGGGGTAAGCGAGGAGAGGCCAGAAAGCAGGACCCATGAGAAGGACCCCCTCCTGGAGTTTGAGGCCCATTCCTTCCTGCCCCTGCGTCTCCTCTTTCCAGGACTCCTCCCTGCTCTGCCGCACTCCTGGGGCCATGGCCATGGGGGGCTGCATTTGGGTACAGGCCCCAGCGGCAACCCTGGGCCCAAAATGGGCGGGCTCACCTGGAGGGGATCAGAGTAACATGGCAAGAAGCAGGAAAAGCCGCGCTGGAACCGCACCTCTCTGCCCCCTGATGTCAGTGGGTGCACTCTTCCCTCACCTCACTCAGGCAGCGGCATGAGTTCCATGGGAGCACTGTCCTGCTCCCTCTGCTGCCTCTTTTTAGTCTTGGGGCTACCATAACACTTTCCCTTCCCCAGCCCTGCCAACCTGGTGGCACATTGGGCTTCCCTCTTACACGGTCCTGGGGACAGGCCCGTCTTGTATCATACCTGCAGCGAGACCCTTTTTTTCTCCAGGGCCTGGGGAGCAGCCAGGCTTCCTGAGCCAAATACAGATCTGAACCATACCAAGCTGGGATTGGGGTACACACTCTCCTCCTCTGAAAACTAGCTAGGGGTTCGAACTTGGTGAGAGGGAGAGTGTGACAGAGCCAGACCAGACAAGGACTGATCACCTGGAAAAACCTGCCATCAAAGACCTTGACGAGTGCTGGGTGCGGTGGCTCACGCCTGTAATCCCAGCACTTTGGGAGGCTGAGAGAGGTGGATCACTTGAGGCCAGGAGTTCAAGTCCAGCCTGGGCAACATGGCAAAACCATTATCTCTACTAAAAAAATTAGCTAGGTATGCTACGCTCCTATAATCCCTGCTATTCGGGAGGCTGAGGCAGGAGAATCGTTTGAACTGGAGAGGTAGAGGTTGAAGTGAGCCAAGATCGTGGCACTGTACTCCAGCCTGGGAGACAGAGTGAAACTGTGTCTCAAAAAAAAGAAAAAAGAAAATGGCTTTGGCAGAGGGGCTGGCCTGGCAGTGCCTTACCTTGGGTTTCTCCTGGGTAGGCCTCTGCCATGAGGAGGCACTTCCTTCTGCCTGTCCATGGCCCACAGCAAAGGAATGTCTGCTTCTGGGGGTTGGGTGGGGGACTGCTGGCAGAACTGGAAACCTTCTTCAGGTGGGTTTTTTTTTTTTTTTTTTTTTTGAGACGGAGTCTCACTCTGTCACCCAGGCTGGAGGGCAGTGGCACAATCTCAGCTCACTGCAACCTTCACCCCCTCCCCGCCCCCCTGCCGTGTTTAAGTGATTCCCATGTCTCAGCTTCCTGAGTAGCTGAGATTGCAGGCATGCGCCACCACACCTGTCTAATTTTTGTAGAGACGGGGTTTCACCATGTTGGCCAGGCTGGTCTGGAACTCCTGATCTGAAGTGATCTGCCCACCTCGGCTTCCCAAAGTGCTGGGATTACAGGCGTGAGCCACTGCGCCTGGCCCCTTCAGGTGGGTATTGAGGCTTCACTACAATACTAGTTCCCCGTTGCTGCCGCAATAAATTACCACACACTTAGTGGCTTAAAACAGCACAGAGGTATTCCTTTACATTTCTGAAGGCCAGAATTCTAAAGTCAGTCCCACTGAGTCAACGTGGGAGCAGGGTCAGTGCCTTCCCAGGCTCTGCGGGAGAATCTGTTTCCTGGCCCTGGAGGCGGCCTGTACTCCTCAGCTTGTGCTGCCCTTCTCGAATGACTCGCGTTTCCTGCTTTCATCACTACACCTCCCACCGCTCTCCATCACCTGCTCTGCTCTTATAAGGATCCAGGTGAGTACATAAACCCTGTGGGGACAAGCTGGCCAAAGACTCTTAACTTCATTATACTTGCAAAGCCCCTTTTGCCATATAAGGTCATGTTCACCGGTTCCAGGGATTATGATGTGGGCATCTTGGGGGCATCAGCCTACTACAGCTAGGCTGCAAAACTATTACACCCTCCTGGTGTTTCAATGATTGGGAGAAAAAGGGTTGGGATTTTTTGCTTTGGGGTCCCTGTTAAACTTGTATCTGTAAGGTCTGGGGTCTCTCTTAACCTTATGTTTTTGTTTTTTCTTTTTTGAGACAGAGTCTTGTTCTGTCATCCAGGCTGGCAGTGGCGCAGTCTCAGCCCACTGCAACATCCACCTCCTGGGTTCAAGGAATTCTCCTGCCTTAGCCTCCCGAGTAGCTGAGACTACCGGCGCCTGCCACTAAGCCTGGCTAGGTTTTGTATTTTTGGTAGAGACGGGGTGGGACTGGGGGGTGGGGGAGGGGAGGGGGTTTTCCACTGTATTGCCCTTAGCTCAAAGCGGTCTGCCCAGCCTCTGCTCCTGAAATGCTAGGATTACAGGCCTGCACCACCACCACTGTAAAATATTACTTCCATACAGCTGAGACATGTTTTAGGAAGTTTGCTAAAAGACCCCTGGAGACCTCCTCATTGTGGCCTCCCTGTTGTCATGTTTAATTTGATTGATCTTTTCTGCACTCCTGCTTTTCATAAATTAAAAGGCTGAAAAGAGGTACTAAACTTTAAAACTTCTCTTATAGTCTCCCATTAAACTAATTCTAAGAACCACCAAAAAGGGGAACAATTTTTTTGAAAGCAGTAAAATGATATGATCTGTTAGGATGTAAAATACAGGAAATAAGTCATTATATGTTATTGCTGCTGTGGTATAGGGATGTATTATTGAGAATCAACTTCTGGTCAGTTTTCAGAAAAATGGAATAGTCGTATCACTGATCTACGTAAACAAGTTGAAGAATTGTCTGAAAGAAAATACAGTGTGTCTAAACTGGAAAAGTCCTGTAATAGTTTGTTCATGAGCATTTACACAATGGAGTTGCTGTTTCATCATGGGGGTACTGTGGACAAACCCAGGGCTGCTGGTGAGTCATGCCATCCTTACACGTCTTTCCTTGTAAGGTACTTTGTAGTGTCTGTCTAAATATTAGAAAGTTTCTTTGTTTCTAGATTACTTGAAAGCTAAGGAAAAGTTGTAGTTCTCTAATTATCAATTAGCATTTCTTTTATACTTTCAGTGTGGATATTTGGGATTTCTTTATATATTTATTGCAAAGCCCTAGATCTTAGGGATTTGACTGAAAAAAATATATATATATGCGTGTATATACACACGCGTATATATATACGCGCGTATATACACACGTGTGTATATACGCGTATATATATACACATGTGTATATATATATGTGTGTGTGTATATATATATATATATATATATATATATTTTTTTTTTTTTTTTTTTTTTTTTTTTTTCTTTTTGAGATGGAGTCTCGCCCTGTCACCGCGGCTGGAGTGCAGTGGCATGATCTCAGTTCACTGCAGCCTCCGTCTGCCAGGTTCAAGCAATTCTCTGCCTCAGCCTACCGAGCAGGTGGGATTACAGGCGCCTGCCACCATGCCCCACTAATTTTTGTATTTTTAGGTGAGCCAAGGTTTCACGATCTTGGCCAGGCTGGTCTTAAACTCTAGACATTGTGACCCACCCACCTCTGCCTCCCAAAGTGCTGGGATTATAGGCGTGAGCCACCGTGCCTGGCCAAATAATATTTTTTTAAACTAATTGTTTCTCTCAATCTGCTATGTTAAATTCGTTATTCGGCTGGGCGCAGTGGCTCACACCTGTAATCCCAGCACTTTGGGAGGCCGAGGCAGGCAGATCACCTGAGGTGGGAGTTCGAGACTAGCCTGACCTACTAAAAATACAAAATTATCTGGGCGTGGTGGCGCATGCCTTTAGTCCCAGCTACTTGGGAGGCTGAGGCAGGAGCATTGCTTGAACCCGGGAGGTGGAGGTTGCAGTGAGGCAAGATGGCACCACTGCACTCTAGCCTGGGCAGCAAGAGCAAAATTCTATCTGAAGAAAAAATTCGGTATTCACCAAGATGCCGCTATTGTTTCTGCCTTTGTCTTGATGCATCGCTGAGTTGACATTAGATTTCAAATTCTTCTTTTCCCTTATCCTATTCTATCCTAAAGCCACCTTTATATAATGATGAAAGAAATTAGCAATTTGTTATTATCATCTCTCTGATGGTATATAGTAAATGCTCACCTAAAAATAGCAACAACCAGTGAAAAACATCATGTGTTATGCCGTTTTTATTTGGATGACTATTTATTTTGCAATCTACTAGCAAGCTGTAGAATTGTATGACATGCAGAATTTTAACTGAAGTGATTTAAGTGAATATTTAAACGTGATAAACCATATCGATGGTGTTTATGTTAATATACTTGAACATTTTTTCTTCATCATGAGTAATATAACCTATCCCTCAATGAAAGTCTAGAATTAGAGTAAATTTACTAATGAATTAAATAAGTTTTCCATAATATTTTTAGTTATGAGCTTAAGGTTCTTTTAGTGTTTCTTCCACGTTTTAATAGTGTACGCCTTTTTTGCCTTTGTTTTTTATTGGTTCGTTTTAAAGCAAAAACCTCATAAGATGTGCTATTTGGAAGCACTGTAACCTAATGGTAACGTCTTAGGCTCTGGGGACACAGCCTGGCCACATCTCTTCTCCTTTCTGAGCCTTAATATCCTCTTTTGTGTTCATGAGAACTGAATATCCCGAAGATTTGATAAAGTAGTAAAGTGCTTCACATAATACCAGGCATATAAATACATAGTAAATGTTTCCTTCTTATGTTTTTATTGGTTGATTGATTGAGACAGAATCTCGCTCTGTTACCCAGGCTGGAGTGCAGTGGTACTATCTCGGCTCACTGCAACCTCTGCCTCCCGGGTTCAAGAAATTTTGCTGCTTCAGCCTCCAAAGTAGCTGGGATTACAGGCGTGCACCACCATGCCCAGCTAATTTTTGTATTTTTAGTAGGGACAGAGTTTTTTGTCTTGTAGGCCAGGCAGGTCTCGAACTCCTGACCTCAAGTGATCCACCTGCCTCCCAAAGTGCTGGGATTACAGGCGTGAGCCACCACACCTGGCCTATGTTTTTGTTATATTGTTAGTACTATTCTGAATAAAAATAATTTGCTATTACAGTTTTATAAATTGACTATGACCATTTTATAAATGTCAGTGCTTTTTATAAGGTGAAACAGATTATGTTGTGGGGCTTTTATTGTGATGCTGATTTATTAGATTATTTTGTTTAAAGACAATAATGTTCAGCTGTTGTGAAATTATAAAAACGATCTTCACATTTCATAATTTTAATGCAATATTAATGGTAATTACCTTAGGGAAAGATAGTTTTGTTGCGATATATAATACTGAAGTTTAGTGTACAGCAAAGGATATTAAACCTAAGTCAGCACTAATGTGTTATATGGTACACTTGAAACTTTAGTACAAATATCAATGTTTAGCAAGTAGACATTAACACAATGATAGCAAAAAAATGGAGCTGTTCTGATGGGAGACCATTGATTATGTTTGATTTTAATACTTCCCATGCTCTTGACTTTTTTTTTCTTTGAGAGAGAGTCTTGCTCTGTCACCCAGGCTGGAGTGCAGTGGCACCATCTCAGCTCACTGCAACCTCCACCTCTCAGGTTCAAGCGATCCTCTCGCCTCAGCCTCCCCAGTAGCTGGAACTACAGGCGAGTGCCACCTCGCCCTGCTAATTTTTGTATTTTTAGTAGATACGGGGTTTCACCATGTTGGCCATGCTGATCTGGAACTCCTGACCTCAGGTGATCAACCTTCCTCAGCCTCACAAAGTGCTGGGGTTACAGGCGTGAGCCACCAGGCCTGGCCAGCTCTTGACTTTTTATAGCTGTTGTATTATTTTAATCTTGAGTAAATAAATGCTTGCTGAAATGTTGCAGTTCACAAGAATCTTCTGCTTCTGTTATGTAAAAAATTATTTGTAAAAGTCCAATAAGGTTACACTAATGTTTATGTTTTGAAAATATTACCTCTTCCATTTAGTACTATATGTATTAAATAAAATTAGATGGTGATTTTTTTTGGCTTTATAATGTGGTTCAGATTTTTGTAGAAAGTCTGGCTGTGTCTACATTGCCTTAAAGCAATGGGATATTTCTCTCTTTTTTTTTTTTTTGAGCTAGAGTTTTGCTCTTATTGCCCATGGTGGAGTACAATGGTATGATCTCGGCTCACTGCAACATCTGCCTCCCAGGTTCAAGCAATTCTCCTAGCTCAGCCTCCTGAGTAGCTGTGATTACAGGCACCCACCACCACGCCCGCCTAATTTTTGTATTTTTAGTAGAGTTAGGGTTTCACCATGTTGGCCAGGCGGGTCTCAAACTCCTGACCTCAGGTGATCCTCCCGCTTTAGCCTCCCAAAGTGCTGAGATTACAGGCGTGAACCACCTCGCCCCACCAGGAATCTTTTTTAAGAAGGCTATCTACTTATGGAATTCCTTGCAAAGGAAAGGATTCATTTTGTGATTAAAAAGTAAGACTCTTGGGTTCTTGTTGGACTCCTATCTCTGTTCTTAGTAATATATCTTTGTTATTGTTGACAAATATTCATTCACCACTAGGGTTATATTTAATTGTTTGAGTTATTTTATGTTTTTTGTTGTTGTTGTTTTGAGACGGAGTCTTGCTCTGTAGCCCAGGCTGGAGGGCAGTGGCTCAATCTTGGCTCACTGCAACCTCTACCTCCCAGCTTTAAGCAATTCTCCTGCCTCAGCCTCCCGAGTAGCTGGGAGTACAGGTGCCTACCAACATGCCCAGCTGATTTTTGTATTTTTAGCAGAGACGGGGTTTTACCATTATTGGCTAGGCTGGTCTTGAACTCCTGAGCTTGTGATCCACCTGCCTCGGACTCTCAAAGTGCTGGGATTACAGACTTGAGCCACCGCGCCCGGCGTATTATATGTATTTTTATCTACCATTTTTTAATTTGTCTGGGTCCAACATTGAGTCAGTCATGCCAGTGTTAGCTTTTGAAACATGAACACTGCCCGCACCTGACTGGCATGCAACTGACATTTTCTTTCACAATTTTCTGCTACTTTTGCTAAAAATAATAGTATCCATGTCTTGCTTTTAGACCTGAGATTTTTATACCATATATGGGAATACATGATTGTTCTTCTAGATGTGTAGAGGAAGATAGTCTTGAATGCAATGTGATATTAAAGGATCCCATTTAAGATTTTTGTAATATGCTTCAAAGACCTGTAGGTTGTAAAGTAGGTCACTTGTGAGGACACATGCTCCATGAAGCACCTTATGAGACATTTTACAATTATTATTTTGTTTTGTTACTCTGTAGAAACCTCAAATGAAGGTTTAGTTGCACTCAAGCATCCAGATTGTCTTTTCTTAATTTTTTTTTTCCCTGAGATGGACTCTTGCTCTGTCACCCAGGTTGAAGTGCAGTGGCATGACCTTGGCTCACTGTAGCCTCCACCTCCTGAGTTCAAGCAATTCTCTTGCTTCAGCCTCCCGAGTAGTTGGGATTACAGGCACCTGCCACCACACACAGCTAATTTTTGTATTTTTAGTAGAGACAGTGTTTCACCATGTTGGCCAGGCTGGTCTACAACTCCTGACCTTGTGATCTGCCAGTCTCGGCCTCCCAAAGTGCTGGGATTACAGGTGAGCGATCATGCCCAGCCTGTCTTGTCTTTTCAAAACCATCCTTGGTGATTCAATGTTAAATATGTACTAGTGGATGTTACTTCGCTGAATATTGCCTAGTGAATATTAAGTAGTCTCACCTTTCAGACATGAACTTATGGATTTAAGACATGAAGATTTACAGCTTGATAAACCAGCTTCAGGAGGTAGGTCTTCAGTCTTGAGTCAGATTAGAAGATTATGTGCAGGCTGGCCGTGGTGGCTCACACCTGTGATCCCAGCACTCTGGGAGGCCGAGGTGGGTGGATCATGAGGTCGGGAGATCGAGACAATCCTGACTAACAGGATGAAACCCCATCTCTACTAAAAGTACAAAAACTTAGACGGGTATCGTAGTGGGCACCTGTAGTCCCAGCTACTCGGGAGGCTAAGGCAGGAGAATGGCATGAGCCTGGGAGGCGGAGCTTGCAGTGAGCCGAGATCCCGCCACTGCACTCCAGCCTGGGTGACAGAGTGAGACTCCATCTCAAAAAAAAAAAAAAAAAAGATTATGTGCAATAATTATTTAATGCTTGACATTGTTTTTTTAAAATGGTACCTTCCACATGAAATAATATGCTTGTAACTATTAATTATGTTCCAGGACAGGAGAATTCATGTTGTCAAAATTCTTTTTTTTTTTTTAATTTTTTTTTTTCTTTTTGAGACGGAGTTTTGCTCTTGTTGCCCAGGCTAGAGTGCAGTGGCACAATCTAGGCTCATGCAACCTCTGCCTCCTGGGTTCAAGCAATTCTCCTGCCTCAGCTTACTGAGTAGCTGAGATTACAGGCATGCGCTGCCACACCCGGATATTTTTAATAGAGTTGGGGTTTCTCCATGTTTGTCAGGCTAGTCTCATACTCCCAACCTAAGATGATCCACCCATCTCGGCCTCCCAAAGTACTGGGATTACAGGTCAGAGCTACCCCGCCCGGCCTCATTTGTTAAAATTCTAATACTCTCTAAAACAGTGAACTCATTTTCTTTTTTTAACCCATTATAAATACATGTAAATGTTGCATTTATGGGTAGACAGAACTAAAAGAACAAAATTTGGCCTACTTTTGAGATGCAAGATTTATCTGGCATAATGCATTGAACAGGTTATTATTGAAGTCTACACCAGTCACTTGAACAAGCATTCATGAAATGTCCATGATACCCAGGACACAAGAATGTTTCCTTTTAGAGTATAGAGCCATGCATATCATCTCTTAATTGTTTAGATGTGTTTCGAAAGAAATAGAAATAGAATTGGTTTTCTTACTTGTTTTGCCTCTGGAGTGAAATGGGGACAAAACAGAATGGAATCACACTGTTAAGATTTACTAAAATGGAAGGATTGCAGCAAGATCATATCCCTAGTCTCCCCATAGCAAATGGCACCTGCTAGCTGTTTTCTTTTCTTTTTTTTTTTGAGATGGAGTCTTGCTCTGTCACCCACACTGGAGTGCAGTGGCGTGATCTCAGCTCACTGCAACATCCATCTCCCAGGTTCAGGCAATTCTCCCTGGCTCAGCCTCCCAAGTAGCTGGCATCACAGGCACCTGCCAAAAGGTCTGCGTAATTTTTGCATTTGTAGTAGAGTTGGGGTTTCACCATGTTGGCCAGGCTGGTCTCAAACTCCTGACCTTAGGTGAGCCTCCCACCTTGGCCTCCCAAAGTGTTGGGATTACAGGCATGAGCCACTGCGCCTGGTCATATGTTTTTTTATAATGTTGTTTTATTTTAGGAAAGTAAATACAATGAGTAGGACTCAGCTCCATCAGCTCCACAATTCTCTTACTGTTTTTTTTTTGTTTGTTTTTTTTTTGAGATTGAGTTTTGCTCTTGTTGCCTAGGCTGGAGTACAATGCTGTGATCTCAGCTCACTGCAGCCTCTGCCTCCTGGGTTCAAGCAGTTCTCCTGCCTCAGCCTCCTGAGTAGCTGGGATTACAGGTGCCTGCCACCTTGCCTGGCTACGTTTTTATTTTTAGTAGAGACGTGGATTCACCATGTTTGCTAGTCTGGTCTCGAACTCCTGACCTCAGTTGATTCACCTTTCTTGGCCTCCCAAAGTGCTGGGATTACAGGTGTGAGTCACTGCACTTATCTGTAATGGGATATTTCACTGCAGACTTTGATGAACAGAACATTAGCATTTTTGGTGGTGTTTTTATTTTACTCATAATATTTTTCTTTGGACTCAATTACAGTAACAGAAGTAAAGATCAAATTATAAAAATTAAAGAGCAATACAGATTCAATAATTATTCTTTTCTACATATTGTGTTTAAATGATACGCTTTTTTCTTTTTGTCTTTATAGCTCAAGCTGTAAAAGCCAAAGGTCCACCCCTTTTTTCCAGTCTCAAGCTGAAGATCTTTATGTAGAAGGCCTTCCCCACAGGAATTTTTTTTTTTTTTTTTTTTTTGTGACAGAGTTTTTACTCTTGTCGCCTAGGCTGGAGTGCAATGGCATGATCTAGGCTGCAGTACAATGCTGTGATCTCAGCTCACTGCAGCCTCTGCCTCCTGGGTTCAAGCGATTCTCTTGCCTCAGTCTCCTGAGTACCTGGGATTACAGGCGCCCGCCACTACACCAGGCTAATTTTGTATTTTTAATAGAGATGGGGTTTCACCATGTTGGCCAGGCTGGTCTGGAACTGCTGAACTCAGGTGATCCTCCTGCTTCAGCCTCCCAGAGTGCTGGGATTACAGGCATGAACCACTACGCTAGGCCAGGAATTTTTGTTGTTGTTGTTTTTGTTTTTGTTTTTGAGACACAGTCTTGCTCTGTGCCCAGACTGGAGTGCAGTGGAGCAATCTCGGCTCACTGCAACCTCCGCCTCTTGGATTCAAGTGATTCACTTGCCTCAGTCTCCTGAGTAGCTGGGACTACAGGCGCAAGTCACCATGCCTGGTTAATTTTTTTGTATTTTTAGTAGAGATGGGGTTTCTTTTTTTTGAGACGGAGTCTCGCTCTGTTGCCCAGGCTGGAGTGCAGTGGCACGATCTCGGCTCACTGCAAGCTCCGCTTCCCGGGTTCACGCCATTCTCCTGCCTCAGCCTCCCAAGTAGCTGGGACGATAGGCGCCCGCCACCACACCCGGCTAATTTTTTGTACTTTTAGTAGACATGGGGTTTCACCGTGTTAGCCAGGATGGTCTCGATCTCTTGACCTCGTGATCCACCTGCCTCAGCCTCCCAAAGTGCTGGGATTACAGGTGTGAGCCACCGTGCCTGGCCAAGACAGGGTTTCACTATGTTAGCCAGGCTTGTCTGGTAATCCTGACTTCATCATCCACCCGCCTTGGCCTCCCAAATTGCTGGGATTCAGGCATGAGCCACTTTGCCCCACCAGAAATTTTTTTAGGAAGGCTATCCACTTACAGAATTCCTGGCTTTGAGAGGATATTACTTGCAATGGAAAGGATTTGTTTTGTGATTAAAAAGTAAGACTCCTGGATTCTTATTTGACTCTTATCTCTCTTGTGAGTAATACATCTTTTTTATTGTTGACAAATATTTACCACTACGGTTATATTTACTTAAGTTTGACTTATATTATGGGGTTTTTTTTTTTTTTGATGGAGTTTCTCTCTGGTTGCCCAGGCTAAAGTGCAATGGTGTGATCTCGGCTCACTGCAACCTCTGCCTCCCAGGTTCAAGTGATTCTGCCTCAGCCTCCTGAGTAGCTGGGATTACAGGCATGTCCCACCAAGCCCAGGTAATTTTGTATTTTTACTAGAGACAGGGTTTCTCCATGTTGGTCAGGTCTCAAACTCCTGACCTCAGGTGATCCACCTACCTCAGCCTCCCAATGTGCTGGGATTACAGATGTGAGCCACTGCACCCGGCCTATTTTAAGTATTTTTATCTTCCACTTTTTAATATATCTGGGTCCAACATTGAGTCAGTCGTGCCAGTGTTAGCTTTTGAAACATGAACACTGCCCACACCTGACTAGCATGCAACTGACATTTTCTTTCACAGTTTTCTGCTACTTTTGCTAAAGAAAATAGTATCCGTGTCTTGTTTTTAGGCCTGAGATTTTTGTGGCATATGTGGGAATATATGATTGTTTTTCTAGTTGTGTAGAGGAAGATAGTCTTGAATGCAATGTGATATTAAAGGATCCCATTTAAGATTTTTGTAATATGCTTCAAAGACCTGTGGGTTGCAGAGTTACCACTTTACTTGTGAGAACACATGCTCCATGAAGCAGCTTATGAGACAATTTACAATATTATTTTGTTTCGTTACTCTGTAGAAACCTCAAATGAAGATTTAGTTGTGCTCAATCATCCAGATTGTCTTTTCTTAATTTTTTTTTTTTCCAAGATGGAGTCTCTTTCTATTACCCAGGCTGGAGTGCAGTGGCATGATTTCGACTCACTGCAACTTCCACCTCCTGGGTTCGGGCAATTATCCTGTCTCAGCCTCCTGAGTAGCTGGGATTACAGGCACCTACCACCACGCCCAGCTGAGTTTTGTGATTTTAGTACAGATGGGGTGCCACCATGTTGGCCAGGCTTGTCTCAAACTGCTGACCTCGTGATCTGCCTGCCTCTGCCTTCCAAAGTGTTGGGATTTCAGGCATAAGCCACCATGCCCAGCCTGCCTTGTCTTTTCAAAACCACCCTTGGTGATTAAATGTGAAATATGTACTAGTGGATATTACTTTGCTGAATATTGCCTAGTGAATATTAAGTATTTATTCTTACCTTTCAGACATGAACTTATGAATTCAACACATGAAGATTTACAGCTTGACAAACCAGCTTCAGGAGGTAGGCATTCAGTCTTAAGTCAGATTAAAAGATTATGTGCAATAATTACCTAATGCTTAACATTTTTTAATGATGCCTTCCATATTAAATAATATGCCTCTAACAATTATGTGCTAGGACAGGAGAATTCATATTTTCAAAATTCTAATACTCTCTAGAACAGTAAACTCATTTTCTTTTTATTAACCCATTATAAATACATGTAAATATTGCATTTATGGGTAGACAGAACTAAAAGAACAATGTTTGTCCTACTTTTGAGATGCAAGATTTTATCTGGCATAATGCATTGAACGGGTTATTATTGAAGTCTACACCAGTCACCTGAACAAACATTCATCAAATGTCTATGATACCCAGGACATAAGTTTTTCTTTTATAGTATGGAGCTGTGCATATCATCTCTTATTGTTAGATGTGTTTTGAAAGAAATAGAAATAGAATTGATTTTCTTACTAGTTTTGGCTCTGGAGTGGAGTGGGGACAAAACAGAATGGAATTACACTCTTTAGATTTACTAAAATGGAAGGATTGCAGCAAGATCATATCCCTAGTCTCCCCATAGCAAATGGCACCTTCTGTTTTTTTGTTTGTTTGTTTGTTTGTTTTTGAGATGGAGTCTTGCTCTGTCACCCACACTGGAGTGCACTGGCATCATCTCAGCTCACTGCAACCTCTTTCTCCCAGGTTCGAGCAATTCTCCCTGGCTCAGCCTCCCAAGTAGCTGGGATTACAGGCAGCTGCCACCAGGCCTGCCTAATTTTTGTATTTTTAGTAGAGATGGGGTTTCACCACGTTGGTCAGGCTAGTCTCGAACTCCTGATCTCAGGTGATCCACCTGCCTCGACCCACTGAAGTGGTGGGATTATAGTCGTGAGCTGCCATGCCCGGCCGTCTTACTGTTTTTAATGTGCACTCATTATTAAAGTTTTAGTCATAACAGGAGAGAGAGTCAGGTAATGGAAACCCATATGCTTTTTACTGAGTACATTTTTCTGTACAGTCAAGGGTTTTATGCACGAAGAGTGAGACTGTTGGGAATCCTTTTTATTGGGCTGTACTTGTGCCTGGGTGCCGCTCTGCGGTAACAGAGAGAGCTTTGACAGCAGCCACCACTGCATTTGAAGATGAAGCCTCAGCGAAGCTCTCTTTTCTGTCTTGCTCCTTAGACACTTCATCAACACCTCAAATACTTAGTTTTGATATTTCCTACAACATCTTTTGCCTCCCAAAGTCACTGTCTGCCCCACTTTTATTCTGCTTCTCAGCAGAATTCTAGGTTGTTGTCACCTGCTCCCCAATACTCTTTTAAAAACTATTTTTATGGAAATTTTCAAACCTTGTGGGCTCTTGCTTGGCTCCTCCCTGTCTCATTTTCAGTCTCTTGAGGCCCCTGCCCTTATCCTCTCTACACTGGGGAGTGCCAGCCAGCAGCTTCACCCTGAGCCCTCTTTCTTTTTTCTTACTGTGTCTTCTTTACAGACAATCCCACCCTGCCCACTTCTTAAAAATATTATATTGTCTGTGTCATTGAGACTCTCATTTCTGGCCCTGAAGATGCCCCTCGTACTAGACCTTTGTATTTGCCTACCTGTTTGATTCCTCCTCAGACCTCATGTGTCCCAGGCAGAGTCTCCATTCCCCTTTTCAGGAGCTCCTCTCAGGGTCTACCAGCTGCCCAAGCCAGATGCCCAGGAGTTACGCTGAGGTGTGATTTCCTGCCTTCCCACATCCAGCCTAGCAAGGCCTCCTGACTCCGCCCTGAACAGAAAGCTCAGATCCTACCCCATCCTCCTTCACTGCCCTCCAGCTCTCAGTGGGAGTCATGCCACAGCGCAGCCAGGTCAGTTCATTGAAAGTAGGAGGTGGAGCCTGTCATTCTCTGGACTGTCATCTGTAGTGGCTTTCACTATACTTGGAGTAAACCTCACAGCCCCTGATGGGTTCTGCAGGGGCGTGGGGGAGCTGCTTCCTGCCATTTCTCTGCTTTCCTGCATCCCCTCTGTGGATCACTTGCTCTGTGCCAGCCACCATGGTCATTTGTGTGCCTTTCTTCCTCTCAGGTCACAGCCTCCTGGCGCTGTCGGGCTGAGGCCTGGTGTTTGTGGAATGCTCTTACTTGAGGGCTTTCTGTGCCTCTCATTTCTATTTGTGTCACAGTTTAAATGTCACCATGTTGGAGAGGTCTTCACTGAGCACCGTCTCACCTCAGCTGTGAGGCTCACTGACTCATCCTCCTTTCATTTTTCACAAAGCCCTGCTGGCTGACTTTTTCCTCCCACTGTAGTACAGTAGTGCTGACAGCGCAGATCATGCCTGTCCTGTTTACTTCTCAAGCAGGTGCTCAACAAATACTCACAGAGTGAATCCATGGCAATAAACTGTTCTCTAAGCTGGCAGAAATGTCTGTGGCTTTTGGCCATGTAGCATGCATTGTGACACTTAAGGGCGCAGGAGGGACTGCAGGCACCACATCTGGAAGGGCCGCAAGCTGTCCTGAGCAAGGAAGGCTGCAGTGGGGATCCATGTTCCCATGACCCTGGGGCCCTCATCTTCTCCTGAAACAGACCCTTTGAGTTTTAGTGCACAGAAGCCAAGTCTCCTGGGTTAGGAGTCCTGCCCTCCCTATGGATTTGAAGCGGGGTGCATGGCACTCACTGAGTCTTCAGAGACCAGCTTCTAGGTGCTACTCAGTTGGCAACTACAAACTTAGGTCACTAATTGTATGTTATTTGCAGAATTTGTGTACTTAGTTTTTGAACTACTTATCCTATTTTACGTCTCTAAGAACTTAATGTATTGAACAAAGTCAAAATGTTAAGTTTCTTCTCATCAGCATTTTTTGTGATATTTTATCTCTCCTTATATCTGACTGTAAATCAGCCAGTGATCCATAAACTAAATAATCTTTCCCACTCTTTAAGTCATTATGTTTCCAAGTGATGTAATAAAATAGATCAGGTGGTGAAAATTGTTTATCATTAGCGATGCCACCATAATGTTACTAAGATTCATGACACCTGAGAAGGAGGATGTCACTAGGAGATGACGCCTGAGAAGGAGGATCTGCATGAGAGGCCCCACCTCTGCCCTCCTGTGTTTTTTGGAAATTGAGCATGGTAAAAGAATCAGCTAAACTTGACCGGGCACAATGGCTCATGCCTGGAATTCCAGCACTTTGAGAGGCTGAGGCAGGAAGATGGCTTCAGGCCAGGAGTTTGAGACCAGCCTGGGCAACAGAGTGAGACCCCATTTCTGCAAAAAAATTTAGCAATTAGCCAGGTATGGTGGCATGTACCTGTAGTCTCAGCTACTTAGGAGGCTGAGGTAGGAGGATTGCCTGAGCCCAGGAGGTTGAGGCTACTACACTTTACCCAGGGGCATCGACAATGACCCTGCGATGTGTGGAAAATCCCAAAGGTTGACCACTGTGAATAGGAACTACCCTAGATGTGTCAGGAGCACCGCAGGCATACTCACTCCTCTGTTTGCTGGAGCCGTGTAGGGTGGAAGGAAACCCAAATCAAGACCATTTGCTGCTTCAGTTCTTTTATTGCATGTGACAGTCCAATATATCTCCATTTAAATTCAGATTTTTTGATGAATGGTCAGACCAGCTGCAGGCCCTTTGGGCCAGAAGTCTTGATCTTGCCAACTGTTCATTTTCCTGAGGGGACTGCCTTACTTCAGGCATTTGTGTGTAGCCGGTCTATTGTGGAGTTCAGAGGGGTGTAGAGCCCTCTCTTTTTGGGACAGTCAGTTCTCCCCATGCAGCATGTCCTGAAGCTGGCCTGTCTCTATCCTGTTTGTAAGTGTGTGAGGTCTTTTATTAAGCAGGGTAAAGTGAGAGAGGACTCCTAAAGAGAGAAAAACTCCTCCAGCATTTGCTGAAACATGTTTGTGAACTGATTAAGATGTGATTGGGATGGCATGAAAACAACTAAAATTTATCTAATTTCTTGCCATCTGGTTTGTGATATATGGTGCCCCAAATTGAGTTTAGAAGGAACTTTGATCATAGGTCAAGAAGGTGTTATATATATATATATATGTGTATATATATGTGTGTGTATATATATGTGTGTGTATATGTGTGCATGTGTGTATATATGTATACACACACATATATACGCACACATATACACACACACACACACACACACATATATATATATTTTTTGAGACGGAGTTTTGTTGTCACCCAGGCTGGAGTGCAGTAGTGTGATCTTGGTTCACTGGAACCTCTGCCTCCTGAGTTCAAGTGATTCTCCTGATTCACTTGAACTTCAACGATTCTCCTGCCTCAGCCTCCCAAGTAGCTGGGATCATAGGCGCCTACCACCACGCCAGGCTAATTTTTGCATTTTTAGTAGAGACAGGGTTTCACCATGTTGGCCGTGCTGGTCTCGAACTCCTGACCTAAGGTGATCTGCCCGCCTTGGCCTCCCACAGTGGTGGGATTACAGGCATGAGCCACTGCGCCCAGCCGAAGGTGTCATATTTAATTCTCCCTGTGGCTTGTCTTACAATAGCAATCATGCATGAAGCCCATGGGTTTGCTGCATCTAGGTTTACTCAAGCAAAGGCTCTGGACTTTCTTAGTTTACACTGATGTGTTCTAGTTTGCATCTGAAATGTACTCTGAGGATGCTGACTTCCAGATAGCCATTTTTAGGTCAAGGATAGTTCAGGTCTCTGAGTATAGTAGCCATACCTCCCAGAGAGCTTCCTTTTGGTTTGGTTACAAAATTTATTTTAGCTTAGTTTTCTTACATTAGGTGGGCAAAATAAGAAAGAGCAGAAGGCCAGATGTGGTGGCTCATGCCTGTAATCCCTTTGGGAGGCTGAGTCAGGTGGATCACCTGAGGTCAGGAGTTCATACCAGTCTGGCCAACATGTAGAAACCCCATCTCTACTAAAAATGCAAAAATCATCTGGGTGTGGTGATGTGTACCTGTAATCCCAACTACTTGGGAGGCTGAGGCATGAGAATCGCTTGAACCCAGGAGGTGGAGGTTGCAGTGAGCCGAGATTGCATCACTACACTCTAGCCTGGGGGATAGAGCAAGACTCTGTCTCCAAAAACAAACAAAACAAAACAAAAAAACAAAAGTTTAGGGACACTCAACAAAACTATAAGGCCTAGAATTGGAAACTGGGAATTACTGTTTGTAGATGATTTCTTTTCAAGATGGGCTAGTGGAGTTTCTGAGCAGCAGCTACGTTCTCCTTTCACGTCTTCAGGTTTTATAAGGTTACCTTTTGCCCTCTGAGTGATCATATCTGCCTCACAGTCACTCATGGGAGCCCTTGATCTTGACAAAATGGACCTTGAGTAGCTGAGTTCAAAGAACTGAGGTGGCAAGAGGGGATCTCCTTCTTGGTTCTTATATATTTTTTTAAATGAAAGAGCTAGAGAAGCAATCTTAAGGTCAGGATAACTCACCCTGATGTTCTTCTCACTTGTCAGGGATTGTGCTGCATTCGAACATAGGTTCTGCCATCAAACACAGAATGCCCTGATCCTTAGAGGCAGAGGCAGCTCTTCAGCCTATGGGGTAAGTAACCAGGGAATGGAATTCTCACCAACTCTTGTTAGACAATAAGTTTTACTTTAAGATTTGGGCCTACTTTTTTTTTTTTGAAATGAAGTTTCACTCTTGTTGCCCAGGCTGGAGTGCAGTGGCACTACCTCGGCTCACTGTAACCTCCGCCTACCGGGTTCAAGCAATTCTACCTCAACTTCCCAAGTAGCTGAGATTACAGGCATGCATCACCATGTCTGGCTATTTTTAAAAATTTTTTAGTAGAGATGATGTTTCACCATGTTGGCCAGGCTGGTCTCCAACTCCTGACCTTGGGTGATCCACCCGCCTCGGCCTCCCAAAGTGCTGGGATTACAGGCATGAGCCATTGGGCCCGGCCTAGGCCTGCTTCTTTCTTTCTCTCTTTCTTTCTCTTTTTTTTTTTTTTTCTAGTAGCAGTTTAAAGTTGGTGCCTCATTTAGACACAAGCAAAAGGATATTAGCCCAGCTTTGGAAATAGGTGTGAGCCCACACATGATTTTCCTAGTTTTTCCTCTCCCTTCACTTTTTGCTCTCTTGGTAGTATGTTAATTGTATTCTCTCTCTGAATCTTTTTTCCCCATTTCTTTGGCATACATTTTCACTTGTCTTGGTTGAGTAGGTGAAGAGCTGTTTTTCGGACTCTTTGGAAGGATGGATGATAGTCTTGGCTAATGGTAACCAGTTCCAGGGAGCTAGGGTCAGCGTGAGCTGGAATGAGTTCAAATTAGAAAGCACTGGCACTCAGTGGCAGGACTATAAGTGACCGCAAAGTGTTAAACACATCTTGAAAGGGATAGTGACATCATTCTCAGAATCTGTTGGGAATACACATATCCTGTAGTCTCATTCCTGTTTGAGTCTATAAAGACATTTTAAAGAGTAATACCCTGAGTGGTTTTCTGGCCAGCTTGCCTGCTCATTTATCTTTGAGGACAGCATCCCTCGTGGAGCTCCGCAGGCCCCAGGGGTGTATGGATTCTACATTGGAAAATGCTGATGCTGAGAGACTGGGTCTTGGCGGACCTCAAGGAGTCTGCTTTTCCTCTACTTATTTTCCTTACTTTTCCTGGCAGCTGGCATTGCTGTTTAAATGGGTTGTTCTTTGCTGTTTAAGTTGTTTGGTAGTGATGTGTCAGGATGCAGGTTTTCTGAATACTTTTTCAGCTGGTTACTTGAGTGGTGGTTAGGGAGGAGCTGTCTTGGGGCTGTTCTGGAGCTGTTGAGGTCGGGTGTCTGTCTGGATACTCACAGCCTATCTGTTGAGGAGAATGCAGTTCTCATTGTGCTGCCTTTGGTGGTGCTGTGTGTGGCTTTTTAGATGTGGGTGGAGGTGAGTTGGGGGAGTTAATGAGATCTTTTTTAGGTGCTTTTGATAAAGTAGTCTGCACTAGAGGATTCATTGTGACTTTTTCCCTTAACCTGCACATACTTCTCTGCTCACCCTTGCTGTCTTTCTCATGTCTTTGATTTTCCAATCTCCTCTTGGTTGAATTTACATAAAGGCTCTGCTATGGTTTAAATGTGTCCCCCAAAGTTTATGTGCTGGAAACTCAATCCTCAATGCAACAGTTGAGATGTGGGGCCTAATAAGACAGCCCTCATGAATGAATTAAAGTTGTTATTGTGGTAATAGATTAGTAACACAAGAGTGGGCTTATTGTAAAAGAGAGTTCAGCCCCTCTTGCCCTCTTGCTTTCTCGCACTCTCTTGTCCTTCTGCCTTCTGCCATGGGAAGATGCAGCAAAAAGACCCTCACCAGATGCAGGCCCCTCAAACTTGGACTTCCTAGCCTCCAGAACTGTAAGAAATATATTTTTTCTCTTCCATTCCCCTTCCCTTCCCTTTCCCTTCCCTTTTTCTTCCCTTCCCCTTCTCTTCCCCTTCCCCTACCCTGCCCTTCCCCTTCCCCTTCCTTTTCCCCTTTTCTTCCCTTCACCTTCTCTTCCCCTTCCCCTTCCCTTCCTCTTCCCTTCCCTTCCCTTTCCCTTTTCTTTCCCTTCCCTTTTTCTTCCCCTTCCCTTCCTTTCCCCTTCCCTTCTCTTCCCTTTTTTCCCTTCCCTTCCTGTTCTCCTTCCCTTCCCCTTCCTTTTGCCCCTCCCTTCTTTTTCTCTTCCCCTTCCCATCCCCTTCCCTTTTCCTTTTTCCCTTCCCTTTCCCTCCCTCCCTTCCTCCCTCCCTCCCTCCCTTCCCCTCCCTCCCTCCCTTTACCTCCTCCCTTCCCTCCC
The DNA here is from genome assembly GCF_000001405.40 of Homo sapiens. Lineage (NCBI taxonomy): Eukaryota > Metazoa > Chordata > Mammalia > Primates > Hominidae > Homo > Homo sapiens. The sequence goes on from NC_000007.14 coordinate 66,865,928, forward strand.
CTCACTTTCCCTCCCCTCCCTTCCCCTCCCCTCCTCTCCCCTCCCTTCCCCTCCCCTCCTCTCCCCTCCCTTCCAAGTTATGCAGTGTGTGGCATTCTTTTATAGTAGCATGAAATGGACAAAGACAGGCTCCATTTTCAAGAGCAAGCCCTTTTGTAGTTTCCAAGCCAATTATGACTGCACAGGAAGTTCTATAGATCGATCGCCTCAGATCCACCACCTAGGAAACCTGCTACCAAGCAGACCTAGGATGTAGAATTCTAGATGAACTGCTGGGCAACATGATACCACTGCAATTTAGTACCTCCCTATATACCTCCAGTTGGCTCAGCCCATCAGGGCTAAAACTACCCCTCATATCTTAGTGTCTCTTGTAGGCAGAAACCTTGCCTAAACCCTAAGCTGCTTAGCTCACATTCTGTCTTGTGCTTTTTTTGGAGGGGGTTCGAATATACCCAAAAGAAATAAATGAACCTCCATGTACCCAACCCCCAGATTAAGCAGTTGTCTCCATTTTGCCAGACTTGTTTCATCTGTTTCAGTCTCCCTAAACATTTATGTTTGTACAGGAAAAACTGGATAAATACCTAATTCTCCACCCCACCTCCCATTTTAAGTCACTTTTCAAAATAATGAGTCAGTGACCTGGTAACTTATACACTTTAGTGACCAATAGTTTTTTTTTTTCTAAATATCGTCATGAACTCATAGATTATTGTTTGCATTTGATGTATTTCAGGCCATTGCAGTCATTATTTATTAATTGTTTTGGATGCTTACTGCTTACATTGTCTTATCTAGGTTAATAATTATCCCTTCAAGTTGACTCTCATGTCTTCTTGATATGATCCTGTTGGACTTTGTTGGCTTCCTTGCTTTCTGACAAAAAAGATGTTCCAGGATCTGTATACTGCACTATGCATGGAGTCAGCCATTTCTCTAGGGGGCCTTGATTCCTTTTAGTAGAGAACACAGTTTGGGCTCTTGGACTGAATCACTTTTGTGAACCTCCTCGCCTGCATCCCTTCTTACAGCCAGTATGCTCTTGCTGGGCATCAGCAGATCTCCTAAAAGTGCCAAGTAGTTCTGCCTCACTCTTACAAAGACTCATCTCCTGAGAGTTTTGTGCTCTACCCCAGATGCGGTCTTTCTAGTTCTGAAGCTTTTGCTCCAGTCACCCTGAATTTTGCCAGCCCTATGCATGTCGTACCTTGGATTGCCACCCCACCCTCACTGGAGCCAATTTCTCCGGTTAGAATAGTTGCCCCTATTCTAATACTCTAATAAACAAGTTACCTTGTAGAGTATTAGTTGCCTAATACTTCAGTAAACAAGGTTCTACCTGGGCTTAGTTAACTTTTGCTCCTTTGGGCCCTGTGTTCTACCAGCATTCCATTTATCTGAAACCCTCCCTCACCTCCTCAAGATCTTAATCTGTTCTTTAATGATTTACTGCTGCTTCCTGGGTTCTAAAGAACCCAGTTCAGAAGTTCCTGTTTTAGTTTGAGATCTTATAGGCCTGTCCATCAGGTTGCTATCATCCCAGCTAGGATTAGGCAGAATTGGGTGGGGGTTGTAGTGCATTTTTTGGCACAGCATGTACCTGGCTGACTAATTCTCTGTCTTTTCTTTCCTATTGTAATTCATGGGTCTCAGCATTTTCTGAATGCTGTTTAGCAGGTCATCCTGTTGATTTCCTGCTAGGGAGGAGCATACTCTGGCTCTGTACCATTGATTGGCAAAGGGACTTAAGGATAGATGATGGGCAGCAGTTTTGTTAAATGGAACAATATGAAGAGATGGCATTATAAAAAAGGCTGGGCAGCAGGGCCCATTTGAATGGTTGGTCCTTGGCTCCCATGTTGATACAGGCGGATCCTTGATGGGAATTTGGAATGATCCCAAATATTGTAGATCACTGGTGCATCAAGTCATCGTCAGGGTTGTCTGTGTAACAATCTTGAGTGAAGTTTTGTGAATCTCTGGAGATTCTCTGTATAGGGTTTAATCATTTAATTATTCTAGTTGAACCTGTTTAGTTTCTTTGCAAGGAGATAAGAAATGTGAAAGAGATGTAGACACTAGGGAAAAAGCCAGGAGCCTTGTTTCCCACCCACTTCTTGGGTTCTGGAACTGGGCTTATAGTTGAGTAGTGAGGAGTGGGCTCAAGTGCATTAATCCTGGATCTAGCTCTGCTTTGTGCTCACTCCAGTTCTTGTGTCAAATTCACTTCAAGCCACTCAGAGTAGTATGTAGAGGGGTCATTCAGGACTGTGCTTATACTTCATTATATCAAACGGGAGATCCAGTAATTTATAGCCTATTATTTCTGGAGTCTGGAGATGGCTCCACATAAGCTTTGTGGAAGCAGATTTTATTACATTAGAAGAGAACCTGGCTGGCTGCATTCAACACTGGTAGCTTTTAGATGCTAATAAGAAGGTCATGTAATAAAGGTCACAGAGTGACTCTGGAACCCATTTCCCCAACCCAAGAAAGAATAACGACATTCTAGGTTGGCCTCTTTTCATTTCCCTTTGATTTTGAGTAATAACTTCCCTCCTTACTTCCCAGCTGAACAATTTGGGAGTCTGTATTCCCTAGAAAGACTCTGTTCACATACCCATCAGATTAAATTAGGTGAGAACTCTTTGGCCTTAATGAATGTTGAAGGATTTCAAAGGGCTAATGGAAATTCTTCCAAAAGTAGCAATTCCCATTCTATTGGTGAGACCATTCTGAAGAAATTTCCTGAATCTCTTAGATTATTTTATACAGCAAAACAGTCAGCATTGTGTTCTCTTTGCTAATAGATGACAAGGAGAATGTAGACACTTGGAATCTATGGAGAATCCCTAAGTTGCATTTTAGGCTGCATGTTAGGTCTCCTTTCCTAACCCTTTTACAAGTCGATCAGTGTGAAACAGCATGATAGATTTGCATGACTTCTCTCCCTGCCTCCTCCCTCCATTCTTTTTTTTTTTTTTTTTTTTGAGACAGAGTCTCGTTCTGTCACCCAGGCTGGAGTGCATGGCGCGATCTCGGCTCACTGCAACCTCTGCCTCCCGGGTTCACGCCATTCTCCTGGCTCAGCCTCCACAGTAGCTGGGACTACAGGCGCCCGCCACCACGCCCAGCTAATTTTTTATATTTTTAGTAGAGACGATGTTTCACGATGTTTGACTGTGTTAGCCAGGATGGTCTCGATCTCCTGACCTCGTGATCCACCCACCTGGGCCTCCCCAAGTGCTGGGATTACAGGTGTGAGCCACCGCGCCCGGCCCCTCCATTCTTATGGAAAGTAGTGAGTGACTGCCTGCCAGGTAAAATCTTGGTGACAAAATCCAAAGTCAGATTCAGAGTTATAAACATAGCCCCCACCCAAGTAACTTCCAAAGAAAAGAAAGAGGCTGGGTGTGGTGGCTCACACCTGTAATCCCAGCACTTTGGGAGGCTGAGGCAGGTGGATCACGAGGTCGGGAGTTCGAGACCAGCCTTGCCAGCATGGTGAAACCCCATCTGTACTAAAAATACAAAAATTAGCCAGATGTGGTGGTGCTTGCCTATAATCCCAGCTACTCGGGAGGCTGAGGCAGGAGAATTGCTTGAATCCAGGAGGTGGAGGTTTCAGTGAGTGGAGATCATGCCACTGTACTCCAGCCTGGGCAACAGAGCAAGACTGTGCCTCGGTGGGGGGAAAAAAAAAAAAGGAAAGAGTTGTGCAAAATCTTGCTTCATTGCTTTTAAATTGGGTACTTACTGAGTTACTGCATTAGATTTGTGCATTGTGCTAGTTGTTGTACTAATGTTGATTGATTTCATTCTCCATTTATGGAACACCAACAGTGTTCCTGGTACTGTGCTGACCACTTGAGATAAAAAGATAAATAGGAGTTGGTCCTTGCCACTTAGAGCTCACAGTCTACTACTGGGAGAGTGTGGGAAGGTGCGATAAGAACTGTAGTGATCTTGCCACATAATTTGCATTTGTATCTTAAAGCCAGTGGGGAGTCATGGAAATACTTTAAGCAGGAGAGTGACATGATTCAATGATTCATTTGTATTTTATTTTTTCTTTTGAGATGGAGTCTCGCTGTGTCACCCAGGCTCCCAGGCTGGAGTGCAGTGACAGGATCTCAGCTTACTGTAAACTCTGCCTTCCGAGTTCAAGTGATTCTCCTGTCTCAGCCTCCTGAGTATCTGGGATTACAGGCATGCACCACCACACCTAGCTAATTTTTGTATTTTTGGTAGAGATGAGGATTCACCATGCTGGCCAGGCTGGTCTTGAACTCCTGATGTCAGGTGATCCATCCACCTCGGCCTCCCAGAGTGTTGGGATTACAGGCATGAGTCACTGTTACTAGCCCACTTTTTCTAGTTTTTGAGACAGAGTCTTGTTCTGTTGCCCAGGCTTGAATGCAGTGGTGCGATCATAGCTCATTGTAACCTCAGACTCCTGGGCTCAGTGATCCTCTTGCCTCAGCCACTCAAGTAGTAGGGTCTATAGGTGTGCACCACCATACAGTACAATTTTTTTTTTTTTGAGTCAGGGTCTCCCTCTATCCCAGGCTGGGGTGCAGTGGTGTGATCATGGCTCACTGCAGCCTCCTGGGTTCACGTGATCCTCTCACTTCAGTCTCCCAAGGTGCTGTGATTACAGGCGTGAGCCACCGTATTTGGCCCCATTTGTATTTTTGAAAGATCACTAGTGGTAGTGAGGATACCAGTGAGTTGGAGGGAGTGAGACTAGAGGCAATAACAGTTTAGATAACAGATATTTTTTGAGCCCCTGCTAAGTGCCAGGCACAGATCTAGGTGCTGGGAACTTAGGGGAGAATGAGTAAGACAGTCTCTGTTCTCGGGGAGCTTCTGTTCTAGTGGTGGTATGCTGGTGGGGAAGCAGACTATATACATGCCACAAATTATATTTTTTCAGATGGTGATAAGTAATTTGATGAAAATAAATAGAGCTATGGGAGTTAGAATGTTTGAGCATTGGGATGGGTACTGACCTATTGGGGTGGGCAGTGAAGACCTCTCTGAGGAGGTGACATTTGAGGTGAGGCAGCTCAAAGAAGATCTGGGCAAGAGTGGTTTGTGATGGGTAGGACATCAAGTGCAGAGACCTGAGATGTGAACGGACTTGGCACGGTGTTTAAGCACCATAAAGATGGTCAGGGTGGCTGGAGCATAGTGGAGCCTGGAGGAGCAAGTAATACTCAGATGAGGATGGAGCACCTTCTAGGCCATGGAAAGGATTCTGGATTAATTCCAATGGAGTAAGAAGCATTGTGATTAAATCAGGTGTTGGCAAACTGCGGCCTATGGGTCAAATCTGGCCTGGTGCCTATTTTTATGACTAAACCACATTGGAACACAGTATCACCCGTGGATGTACATATTGTCCATGGCTGTTTTTAATGTTACAAGAGCAGACTTGAGTAGTTTCAACAGAGCACATATGGCCCAGAAGCCTAAAATATTTACTATCTGGTTTGTATAGAAAAAGTGTACTGACCCCTGAATTAAATGATCTAATTTAAATTTTGAGGAGGTATGGTTTAGGGAATGAATGATAAGAGACATGGCTCACGCCTGTAATCCTAACACTTTGGGAGGGTGAGGTGGGTGGATCACGAGGTCAGCAGTTCGAGACCAGCCTGGCCACCATGGTGAAATCCCGTCTTTACTAAAAATACAAAAATTAACCAGGTGTGGTGGTGCGTAGCTGTAATCCCAGCTACTTGGGAGGCTGAGGCAGGAGAATGGCATGAACCTGGGAGGCGGAAGTTGCAGTGAGCTGAGATGACGCCACTGTACTCCAGCCTGGGCAACAGAGCAACACTCCATCTCAGGAAAAAAAAAAGAAAGAAAGAAAGAAAAAAATAAGTAATTGTTGAGCCACCAGAAAACAAAGATCACACTGTTTTTATTCTGTTTAAAAACAGAATAAATGCTTTATACTCGTTAAATACTGTTGAATGAGTGATGAGATGCTGAATAGGGAGTGCCAGTGAATATGAAAGGGAAGTGAGGTTTTGAGAGATATTTAGGAGATAAAATATCAGGACAGCTTATTGTTGACACGGTGAATAGAAATAGTAGTAGGGCAGAAGGAGGACTGTAGGATGCCCTTCAGGTTTCTGGTTCACGTATCTTAGGTGCATGGCAGTGCCATTTATTGAGACAGGGAAAGTGGAGATACAGAGAACACACGTTGCCAGAGAGAAGGAATTCACCTTTGGACACACGATGCTCAGGACATCCAGGTAGAGATGTCTAAAAGGTAGTTGGAAAGACAGAGCTGAGCGGCATCATATCCAGAATCATGGTCACCAGAATTCCAGAGTCATCAGCTAGTGTGGGCTCTCCTAAAAAGCGTGTATGGTGAGGAGGGCAGGGATAGGTCTCATGTGGCATTCATTTCCAATACATTTTGGCTCTAGAGAGGAGGCAAAGATAAACTAGCTGTATGGACAGTTTGCATCAGTCAGTCAGGTCATCCCATGACCATGGAATGTTTTTTCTGCAGAAGCTGATGGTCTCAAATGAAGGCTTGCCTTACCTGTTCCTCTGGCTGCCAACCTCTTTCTCTTAGTTGGGTTGACTGGGGCAGACGTGGAGGCTTCTTCCCTCCTAGACTCCCAGCTAACATTGGAACATTTGTGGCCTTTTAACTCTGTAGGTGACTCAAATTTGCATTTATCTTTTTATTTTATTTTATTTATTTATTTTTTTTGAGATGGAGTCTTGCTCTGTCACCCGGACTGGAGTGCAGTGTTGCGATCTCAGCCCACCGCAAGCTCCACCTCCCAGGTTCATGCCATTCTCCTGCCTCAGCCTCCCGAGTAGCTGGGACTATAGATGCCCGCCACCACGCCTGGCTAATTTTTTGTATTTTTAGTAGAGATGGGGTTTCACTGTGTTAGCCAGGATGGTCGTGATCCGCCCGCCTCAGCCTCCCAAAGTGCTGGGATTACAGGCATGAGCCACCATGCCTGGCCTATCTTTTTAAGAGACAAGGTCTCATCCTGTTTTCTGGGCTGGAGTTGAGTGGCCCAGTTGTAGCTCACTGCAGCCTCAACCCTCTAGGCTCAAGTGATCCTCCCACCTCAGCCTCCCAAGTAAGTGTGGGATCACAAGTATATGCCACCAAGCCCAGCTAATTTTTTATTTTTTTTTGTGGAGACAGTGTCTCCCCCATGTTGTCCAGGCTGGTCTCGAACTCCTGAACTCAACTGATCTTCTTACCTTGGCTTTCCAAAGGGCTGGGATTGCCAAATACTGTGGCTCATGCCTATAATCCCACCACTTTGGGAGGCCAAGGCAGGTGGATCACTTGAGCTCAGAGTTCGACACCAGCCTGGGCAGCATGGTGAAACCCTGTCTCTACTAAAAATACAAAAAATTAGCCAGGCGTGTCGGCATGTGTCTGCAGTTCCAGCTACTCAGGAGATTGAGGCAGGAGAATTGCTTGAACCTGGAGGCGGAGGTTGCAGTGAACTGGGATTACACCACTGCACTCCAGCCTGGGTGACAGAGTGAGACTCCAACTCAAAAAAAAAAAAGAAAAAGTGCTGGGATTACAGGCGTGAGCCAACATGTTTGCATTTATCTAGTTGAAGCTACGAGGAGGTAGGAGGGCCTAGTTGTCCTTGGTGTTTTGACGTAAGGGCTAGACAGTGGATTGATTTTATTAAATATTGCTAAATATTAATAAATTTATTAAATCCATTAAATATTGTTAAATATTAATACATTTATTAAATTTATTAAATATTAAGTATTATTAAATTTATTAAGTATTACAGGTTCTTTTACACCACAAAGCTAGATAAACCCTTTACCAGCCCTGAATAATGGCTTCCCCTTTCTTTTTTCCTTTGTTCTTTTTGTCTGGGGAAGGGGGACCACAGAAGTATTTAATAAAATAGCACTTGTGGCCAGGTGCGGTGGCTCATGCCACCCCAGCACTTTGGGAGGCTGAGGTGGGCGGATCACCTGAGGTCAGGAGTTGGAGACCAGCCTGGCCAACATGGTGAAACCCCATCTCTACTAAAAATACAAAAAATTAGCCAGGCGTTGTGGCGGGTCCTGTAGTTCCAACTACTTGAGAGGCTGAGGCAGGAGAATCGCTTGAACCGGGAGGTGGAGGTTGCATTGAGCCGAGATCATGCCATTGCACTCAGCCTACATGACAGAGTGGGACTCCGTCTCAAAAATTAAAAAAAAAAAAAAAAAAAAAAAACCACTTGTGCTGAATGTGGTCTTAAAATAGTTGCAATCCAGGCCAGGCACAGTGGCTCATGCTTGTAATCCCAGTGCTTTGGGAGGCCGAGGCAGGCAGATCACTTGAGGTTAGGGGAGACTAGCCTGGCCAACATGGTGAAATCCTGTCTCTACAAAAAATACAAAAATTAGCTAGGCATGGTGGGGGGTGCCTGTAATACTGGGGAGGCTGTGGCAGGAGAATCGCTTAAGCCCGGGAGGCGGAGGTTGCAGTGAGCCGAGACTGCACCACTGCATTCCAGCCTGGGTGACAGAGTGAGACTCTATCTCAACAAAGAAACAAATAAACACCTATAGTTGTAATCCTAGACCTAAATGCATATCTACCCTCTTTCCATTATGAAAAGCCAAGGATGAAATCAAACTATAAAGACAGCAGGGAAGGAGGACCACTATCTTGCTCTTTCACTCCCCTTATATATTTTTTAGCATATTCTCACACCTCTGCTGTTTGTGTATTTTTTATATGTTTTAAAGATATTTTAACCCAGTCTTGCATTTAAATGTTCAAATTTTAGGGGCCCACATGTTTTATCAGTTTTTCTTTGTTTTTTATTTTTTTGTTTTTTTTTTTTGAGACGGAGTCTCGCTCTGTTGCCCAGGCTGAAGTGCAGTGGCATGATCTCAACTCTCTGCAACCTCTGCCACCTGGATTTCAGCCATTCTTCTGCCTCAGCCTACTGGGTAGCTGGGATTACAGGCCCGTGACACCATGCCTGTCTAATTTTGTATTTCTTTCTTTCTTTTTTTTTTTTTTTGAGACGGAGTCTCGCTCGTCACCCAGGCTGGAGTGCAGTGGCACTACCTCAGCTCACTGTAAGCTCCGCCTCCTGGGTTCACGCCATTCTCCTGCCTCAGCCTCCTGAGTAGCTGGGACTACAGGTCCCTGTTACCATGTCTGGCTAATTTTTTTGTATTTTTAATAGAGACAGAGTTTCAACGTGTTAGCTAGGATGGTCTCGATCTTCTGACCTCATCATCCCTCCCCCTCAGTCTCCCAAAGTGCTGGGATTACAGGCATTAGCCACCATGCCTGGCCCTAATTTTGTATTTCTAGTACAGACAGGGTTTCATTATGTTGCCCAGGCTGGTCTCGATCTCCTGACCTCATGATCTGCCTGCCTCGGCCTCCCAAAGTTCTGGGATTACAGGTGTGAACCACCATGTCCGGCCCAGTTTTTCCTGTTCTAAGGAAACAGTTGAGTAATAGCTTTGCTCCTCCTTTAACCTAAATTATTCCTTTCACGAGGTTAGTGACTTCTGACAGGCAGAGGTAGGTAGTCTGAAGCCTGATTACCTGGTCCCAAAGTGGAGGAAATGGAGCCCTGACCCAAACAAATAGGTAGTAAAGGTAAATTAAAAATATGAAGTTATTTTGAAAGGCATATGTTGAGATGTTTAATATTTCCAGCCCTGTCTGGTGCACCGTGTAGAACTTCTCCACCTTATCATATGTCACTCTTAATAGTTCCTTGTATATCCGTCCAGTGTTTATGTAAATAAAAGCAAATATGAACGTATGTTCTTACCTCCTCATACTCTTTTACACAAAAGGTAGCTCATATAACCTGTTCTGTACTGTTTTGCCCTTAACAGTATGTCTTGGGGATCTTTCCTTGTTGGTACAGAGAAAGCTTTCTCATTCTTAAATCAGAGCTGCATAGTATTGCATTGTGTGAATGCCTGCCTCCTACTTTATTGAATCAGTTCCTTATACATGTGCACTTCAGTTGTTTCCAGTATTTGCTCTTACAAGCAATACTTCAGTAAGCAAAGGCAGCTTTTTTTTTTTTGAGACGGAGTCTTGCTCTGTTGCCCATGCTGGAGTGCAGTGGCATGATCTCGGCTCACTGCAACCTCTGCTTCCTGGGTTCAAGCAATTCTCCCACCTCAGCCTCCTGAGTAGCTGGGATTACAGGCGTGCACCAGCATGCCCGGCTAATTTTTGTATTTTTAGTAGAGATAAGGTTTCGCCATGTTGGTCAGGATGGTCTCGAACTTCTGACCTCAGGTGAGCCACCCTCCTTGGCCTCCCAAAATGCTGGGGATTACAGGTCTGAGCCACTGTGCCCGGTCAAAGGCAGCTTTTTTATTTTTATTTTTTTTTGAGAGAAAGTTTGGCTCTTGCTGCCCAGGCTGGAGTGCAGTGGCGTGATCTCGGCTCACTGCAACCTCTGCCTCCTGGGTTCTAGTGATTCTCCTGCCTCGGCCTCCTGAGTAGCTGGGATTACAGTCATGTGCCATCATAGCCGGCTAATTTTTTGTATTTTTAGTAGAGACAGGGTTTCACCGTGTTAGCCAGGATAGTCTCGATCTCCTGACCTCAGGTGATCCACCTGCCTTGGCCTCCCAAACTATTGGGATTATAGGTGTGAGCCACCGCGCCCAGCCAAAGTCAGCTTTTTAAAGGGTTGCACAGCACTGCATATGCTACTTAAAATGAGATTATTATTCTTCATTCTTAGAATCCCAGTTAGTTTTATTGGTTGATAAATTCCCAGTTACTCGTACTCACAAGCACAACATTGATGATGAGTCTGACATATTTTTTTTTTCTTTTTTTTTTTAATTGATCATTCTTGGGTGTTTCTCACAGAGGGGGATTTGGCAGGGTCACAGGACAATAGTGGAGGGAAGGTCAGCAGATAAACAAGTGAACAAAGGTCTCTGGTTTTCCTAGGCAGAGGACCCTGAGGCCTTCCGCAGTGTTTGTGTCCCTGGGTACTTGAGATTAGGGAGTGGTGATGACTCTTAAGGAGCATGCTGCCTTCAAGCATCTGTTTAACAAAGCACATCTTGCACCGCCCTTAATCCATTCAACCTTGAGTGGATACAGCACATGTTTCAGAGAGCACAGGGTTGGGGGTAAGGTCACAGATCAACAGGATCCCAAGGCAGAAGAATTTTTCTTAGTACAGAACAAAATGAAAAGTCTCCCATGTCTACCTCCTTCCACACAGACACGGCAACCATCCGATTTCTCAATCTTTTCCCCACCTTTCCCCCCTTTCTATTCCACAAAACCGCCATTGTCATCATGGCCCGTTCTCAATGAGCTGTTGGGTACACCTCCCAGACGGGGTGGTGGCCAGGCAGAGGGGCTCCTCACTTCCCAGTAGGGGCGGCCGGGCAGAGGCGCCCCTCACCTCCCGGACGGGGCGGAGTCTGACATCTTTTCGTAACTCAAGAATCATTAGTATGACTGCCCCATGGAGGCATACTGCTCTCTCTCAGGTTTATTTCAATAATAAAACCTTTGGAAATTTTAATAGTGAAACCTACTTAAGGCCCTTTGCTCAAGAAGTCAGAATCACTGATCACTGCAATTACTCCCATGGCAGCTATAGAGCAACTTAACAGGATAATAGTGAATAAGATAAATTACACTTCAGATTCTTAATGGATTGATGTGCAAAAGTATATAAGGGAAGATGAGTGTGGGAGAGGAGTGCCTTTCAAATTTCTGCACACAGCAATAAAATAGGGAACTGGGCCATTGTAGCCATTACTGTTAGGGATTAGTCATCTAGTAACAAGCTCTGGGGCTCAGTGGTGGGTAGCACATCCTGTTTATTATAGACAACAAATTGGGTTAATTCTCTTGTTTGTGTGTCTCTGTGGAGGGGTTGGAAATTCTAGGTGATTTGCTAATTGTCTGATTTAGAATACTCCCCTTTCTACTAAATAATTAGTGTCTTTGGTGTGAAAATAGGGAGGCAGACCAGTTTTACAAATAGCTGCTGGCCTGGAGAATAACAGTTTCTACCAAGTGAGTGGTTAAAAAAGGCAGCCTGGAAAAATAACTGTGGGATGGTAAGTGTTTCTTATTTTCAAGGCTAACATAAGTTCTTCCTATGTGTTGGGGATGGAGGAGGGGATGGGTCGGTTAAGAAGTGAGTACAGTGCTTGCTTTTGCTTTGAGTGTCCCTCAATTTGTGTTTAGGAAAGAAGAGTGAGTATGTGGTTATATGGGTAGGGGGTGGGCCAGGGAAGGGGCCCAAGGTAGGAAATTCAGGAGACTTCACTGTAGTTCCACCCTTAGGGATATCCTTGGCACCTGGTCACATTATGGATGCCTCACCGTCTGCTGGGTATCAATTTTTTTTTTCTTTAGAGATGGAGTTTCACTCTTGTTGCCCTGGCTGGGGTGAAATGGTGCAATCTTGGCTCACTGCAATCTCCACCTCCTGGGTTCAAAGGATTCTCCTGCCTCAGCCTTCCGAGTAGCTGGAATTACAGGCATGTGCCACCACACCTGACTAATTTTGTATTTTTACTAGAGACGGGCTTTCTCCATGTTGGTCAGGCTGTTCTTAAACTCCCGACCTCAGGTGACCTGCCCGCCTTGGCCTCCCAAAGTGCTAAGATTACAGGCGTGAGCCACCTCGCCCAGCCAATCACAATTTTAAAAAACCACCATAGCCTAGTTAATGATGCTTATTAGCTTATTGCCACTAATCATTGTGCACACTCACTTCCTATATCAGAGTCTTTAAACTGCCCAATTTTTTTTTTTTTTCAGATGGAGTCTTGTTCTGTCGCCCAGGCTAGAGTACAGTGGCACAATCTTGGCTCACTGCAACATCTGCCTTCTGGGTTCAAGGGATTCTCGTGCCTCAGCCTCCCGAGCAGCTGGGATTGCAGGCATCCACCATCACGCCCAGCTAATTTTTGTATTTTTTAGTAGAGACGGGGTTTTACTATGTTGGTCAGTCTGGTCTCAAACTCATGACCTCAAGTAATCTGCCCACCTCCGCCTCCCAAAGTGCTGAGATTACAGGCGTGAGCCACCGTGCCCAACTTAAACTGCCCAATTTTAAGGGAACAATTGGGAAAACACTTGTTTAAAAAGGAAATGAAGGAGTTGCCACGATTGTGGTTAGCTGTGTGAAGACCCTAGAAAACCTATGTAAACTCCTGGGGGCTCACAGTCTTACTGCCTGGTCAAGAACCTTAGAAAACTTAGATGTACGTGTTAGGAGACCAGGTCTGAAAGCTCCCAGGGTTGTATAAACTTCTATACTAAGTTCCATGATACCCGATGGGTAGTCCCACATTTAGACATGCTATTGCTATTGCTGCTTCCTTCCTTATCATGAAAAGAGCAGAAGATGCAGACAATACATGAAGCAGGAAGACAAAGGGGAGACACTGAACTTGTCACCTACCTTTGGGTGCCCCTCATGCTTCATGTTTCCCATTGAGCCTCACTTATCAGTGACACAGGGAATGGTCCCTTTGCTGTCCACTTTCCCCGTGGCTGCCTGGAGGTAGGAGAGGCAGATCGTGTCACTTGCCGAGATTATGTTGCTGTGGATTCGTTGGAGGGACAGGAACAGGAAATCTTCCTGGTGGTGTATGTATCACTGGGGCTCACAGGGGTACTTTTTAATCTTCTCACTGGCCTCTGATTCTGTGACCCTGGTTATTATATGTTCAGAAAGTGTCAGCTTATTTGAAAGTGATACTCTTATTTTCTATTTAAACACTGCCAAAGACCATCACGCTTTTTTTTTTTAATTGAAACATTTTGGTATTTTTTATTTTTTGGAGATAGTCTTGCTCTTTCATATGAACATGAAGGGACTCATCGTCCTTCCCCTGCAGTATGTCTTTAATTTAATAACATGTCAATGAAGGGTCATGTCTGAATGAATTATAGAAGTTCAGGACCTAAAAAAGGAAGGTCCCAGAAACCGGGCTTTGGTTTATTTCTACTACTACACTTGCTATTGAAACTAAGCAGGCAACTTCATTTCTCTTGGTTTCAGCTTTCTCATGTGTCAGGATGGGAGAGGAAGGGAGGCGTTGGGATAAGTGTCATTCCGCTGTCTGTACTTCAAATCTGGCTAACACGTGTGGCAAATACTTAGATTTGTTGACAGAGGTTTCCTGGAGTGCTGTCTTGAACGATTCTGAGCAGGCTCAGCAAGAAAGTGTGTTTGAGTTGATTGGGTGTATCTGTCATGGAGAAGGAAGTAATGAATGGGGAGTGCTCCCAGCATTCCTGGGGCATTCCTGTTTATTATCTCAATACCTGGTGCTGATGTTTCCTGTCCCTTATCAGGAATCCTGACTACTCTGTGTCTGATGACTGGAACTTACCGAGCGCTGCTTAGTTGCATCATAGACACCACCTGTCTTTGAACAGCTACCCTGCCTCTTGATGAGAATGCAAAGGCTGCCAGGGGCCACTGCTGTATGGAGTGGATTTCGGTCATTTCTGCTTAGAGCACAGAGGTCATTTTGACTAATAACATAACTCTCCTTTTGATTGAAAGTGTTAAAATGTTCCTCCTAAAAGTACTTATTTTTTAGGCTTATTCTTCAGATTTGCCCAATATCCTAAGTAAAATGCCTTCAATATGAAGTGGATATTGCTTGATTGTAGGGAACTTGTCCATAATGTACTTGAGAATGCAGATACAAATAAAAGAATGTCTGTGTCAAATTTTATCTTCTACAAATTATGTTCTCTTGCACTTTCAGCTCAAGCTGTTGGACTCGCCGAGGCAGTAAAAGTACCATATCCTGTGTTTGAATCAAACTCCAATTTCCTGTATATAGAAGGCTTGCCAGACAGGATTCCCTTCCGAAGCCCTACCTGGTTTGGAATTCCATGACTTGAAAGGATCCTTCGTGGGAGTAATAAAATCAAGTTTGTTGTTAAAAAGTAAATTCTAGGCGGGACGTGGTGGCTCACATCTGTAATCCCAGCAATTTGGGAGGCTGAGGCAGGCAGATCACCTGAGGTCAGGAGTTTGAGACCAGCCTGGCAAACATGGTGAAACCCCATATCTATTAAAAATACAAAGAATTAGCTGGGCGTGGTGGCAGGTACCTGGAAACCCAGCTATTTGGGAGGCTGAAACAGGAGAATCACTTGAACCTGGGAGGCAGAGGCTGCAGTGAGCTGAGATCACACCACAGCACTCCAGCCTGGGTGACAGAGTGAGACTCTGCCTCAACAACAACAATAAAAAAGTAAGTTCTATTTGCCACTGTAGTCATTTCTGGAATTAAAACAATAAAATGACATTTCTACTAAAATGTTTTTCTAGCTAGAGGTGACAAGTGTGGCTGTAAGTCCTTGATGAAAAGTCTGGCTCTGAGCTGCAGTCCTGGCACTCTCCATTGACCCCGCATCCCATACTCAGTCGTCTTCATCAGTACAAGAATAGTGACCCCTGCCTCCACGATGTTCAGACACACTGTGGTGGCTTGCACTATGCCTAAGTACTTGAATGACATTTAATCTGCTGGGTTTTATTTGCTTTGTTATTCCTGGGTCAGTCTTGTTGGGGACTAAATATTGACGATTGAGTTTCCTTCCTTCTTTTTTCTGAGACAAAGTTTCACTCTTCTTGCCCCGGCTGGAGTGCAATGGCGCGATCTTTACTCAGTGCAACCTCCGCCTCCCAGGTTCAAGTGATTCTTCTGCCTCAGCCTCCCGAGTAGCTGGGATTACAGGCATGTGCCACCATGCCCTGCTTTTTGTATTTTTTGTAGAGACGGGGTTTTACCAAGTTGGTCAGGCTGGTCTCAAACTTCTGACCTCAGGCGACCCACCCGCCTCAGCCTCCCAAAGTGTTGGGACTAAGGTGTGAGTCACTGTGCCCGGCCTGATGATTTTTTTATTATATCTGTGTTTCTGCAGAGTTTTAGTGGCTAAAGAAAGTACACTAGTGTTAATTTTCTTTTTCATGAAAGAAGTAATTTACTATTCATTCAGTTACTTGCCAGTCATGGGAAGGAAAAGTCAAGATTTTCATCCACAATGATAGGAATTATTGTGACATTACAGGATGACTCTGTGGACACCTTTAGGAAAAAACCCTGGTCATATCACAACCATTTTACTTGCTGTGAGACCACCATTGTACTGACTACTGTAACATTTCTTGGTTTTCTAGACCTGAAGTAGTTATTTTCTACTTGCCTCCTGGAATGGCTAACAAAATAAACACTAAAGGTAGAAGATTACCTGTACTTCATATTATATTTCACTGCATTAAGACATCCTTTCTCAGCATTCCTTAAATCACACAGAATCATTGGCCACTATCTTTGTGGGACTTGCAGTTAGTTTCTTGGCTTTTGAAGGTGTTTTATTTAATGGACCTCTTTTTCTTTAAAAAAACATTTTATTGGAAGTGTCACATTTGCAATCCCACTTCATTCATGTTTCCATGGCTTTGTTGAGCCCCCTGTGGAGGATTACACTACAAGTTTAATTCTGCAGGTTTCTTTTTTTTTTTTTTTTTCTTGAGACAGTCTCGCTCTGTCAACCAGGCTGGAGTGCAGTGGCGCAATGTTGGCTCACTGCAACCTCCGCCTCCCGGATTCAAGCAATTCTCCTGCATCAGTCTCCCAAGTAGCTGGGGCTACAGGTGTGTGCCACCATGCCCAGTCAATTTTTTGTATTTTTTTTTTTTAAGTAGAGACGAGGTTTCACCATTTTCGCCAGGCTGGTCTCAAAACTCCTGACCTTGTGATCCACCCGCCTCGGCCTCCCAAAGTGCTGGGATTACAGGCATGAGCCACCGCGCCCAGCCACAGGTTTCTTTGAAAAGGGCCAAACTGAATGAATTTTAATACTCTGCCCTTATAAGGCATCTCCTTCTGTATTTTTTTCCTACAATAGACTAAAGTAATTCTGTGCTTATTTTATAGCTTTGCAGTCCCCAAAAAAACCATGAAGCCCTGAGAGTAATGAAAAGCTTCCTGACATTGAGGTCACTGTGGAAGGTAAGGGCCAGTCCTTGGCATGTTTCTGTTGATTCTCCAGTGTAATAGTTATGTCAATTCACTAGCTATGTGTTTATACAGTTGAAGGTAACCAAACTAGTTGTACATATGAACAGCTGCCTTTGATAAAGCTAAATTTCTGAATGTTTTTAATTGAAATTTTGAAAATGATTAACAAAAAATAAATAACATGGATCACATCATAAACTGCACTCAAGAAAATCCCTAAAATGCTTTTCCTCTATTACAAAAAATAGGGGTGCAGAGGGTCATGTGGAATGTTTCTTTGCCTTTTGTCCTCTTTGTTTTTTCTATTCTTTTAAGGAAAGAAAGTTGGGTAGTTTAAACAGCAGTGCCTGGAATGAAAGTATTTCCTACAACACCCTCTAATGTACTTCCTTCTCTCCATTCCCACAGGGTCTGCAGGGTTCTCATCTTTTCATGTTCACAGTATTGAAATACATTATACAATACCAAAGACAGTTCCCAACGAACCCTCAAATATGGGTATTTCTTCCATCTCCTCATAAATGCAAAAGGAAATAACTGCGTTAGGATCATTCTTTTTTTTCTTTTTTTTCTTTTTTTTTTTTTTTTGGAGATGGAAGTCTTGCTGTGTCCCCCAGGCTGGAGTGCAGTGGCATGATCTCAGCTTGCTGCAGCCTCTGCCTCCCAGGTTCAAGCAATTCTCCCACCTCAGCCTCCTGAGTTGCTGGGACTGCAGGTGCACGCTGCCACGTCCAGCTAATTTTTTGTATTTTAGTAGAGACGGGAATTCACCATGTTGCCCAAGCTGGTCTCGAACTCATGAGCTCAGGCAATCTGCCACCTTAGCCTCCCAAAGTGCTACGATTACAGGCATGAGCCACCGCACCTGGCCTAGGATCATTCTTTATGTCCTAGGTGTCAATTTTTTAAATAGTTTTCAGTACTGGTGTTTAGTGGTGCAGTAATTTCCATTTAATCATCTGGCATACTCAGAGAGAGGATACCAGATGACTAAGAGTATACCTCACAGAGAGTATACCAGATGACTAAGAGTATACCTCACAGAGAGTATACCAGCTGACTAAATGGGGACGAGAGCGAGTATTTAAACGTTTCATTCATTGATCCTGTTAAGGGAAAGTTTACTTAATAACATAAACTCTTGGTTATGAATTAGATGTTTCTCCTATGAAAGCTTGTAGGCATCTTTTAGCAACTTAATACCAGATTATTTCTGTTCTGAAATGCCAAGAATTAAAAATACATTCAAACCTTTACTTTTCTCCTTTTGGAAAAGATCAGAGGATCAGAGATCTCTCCTCTACACGAGGTGCCATCCTTTCCTGAAGGAGCTCCTTGTAAAGTGCATGAGGTGTTCCTTTTGGTAAAAAGACACACTGCGCAACCACAGAGACCTGAGCCTGAACCTATAAAGATTTGAACAAGGTGAACAATGACACTATGTAAAATATGTGCCACCATGCCTGGCCTCTGCTAGTCCTATATTCTCTAGAGTTCTTTTTTTGGTAGCCAATCTGTCATTATGCCTTTGCCCTGTCATAATTAGTTTTTTTTTTTTTAAATTTTAAATTTGACACTTTACACATTTGAGTGGTTTATGTCTCCTGTTTGGACTCTGACAAATACAGAATTGATGCTAGGAAGGGTCCTGGGAGATAGACCCACACAACTGGGATTTGGGCATAGATTTGGGTATCCAAGGGGCAGTGCTGAGCTCCTTGCCAATGGGAAATTGGATGCTGGTGATTTCCAGGAAGTGACCTCATAATGACTCAAGCTACCACTTACTGTTGATTGTGATGAAATGCCAGCTAAGGCATATGCCTTGGGAGCTAAGTGGCTGCTGCACTTGACCACTATGAAGACTGGTGTGGGAAGAATCCTTTTGGATTCTCCAGCCTGTGTTGCCCAGGCTGGAGCACAGTGGTGTGATCTGCTCACTTGAGCAGAGGCCCCTAATCCCTGGGTCACAGGCCTGTACTGGGCCACACAGCAGGAGGTGAGCAGAGGGTGGGTGAGCGAAGCTTCATCTGTATTTACTGCCACTCCCCACATGACCACCTGATCTCTGCCTCCTGTCAGATCAGCGGCAACATCAGATTCTCGTGAGCACGAACCCTGTTGTGAACTGTGCATGCAAGGGATCTACCTTGCTCTGTCCTTAGGAGAATCTAATGCCTGATGATCTGTCACTGTCTCCCATCACCCCCACATGGGACCATCTAGTTGCAGAAAAACAAGCTAAGGCCTCCCACTCATTCTACATTATGGTGAGTTATATAATTATTTTGTTATATGCTACAATGAAATAATAATAAAGTGCACAATAAATGTAACGTGCTTGATATATCCAAAAACTGACCTTTGCTGCCCCGAGTCTGTGGAAAAACTGTCTTACACAAAACTAGTCCCTCGTCCCTCAAAAACTGAGGACTGCTGCACTTGAGCACTTACAGAGGGAAAAACAAAAAGCTCAAGTCTTTACCTCTCAGCATAAGTCGTGGTCTAAGATCCACGATAGCCCAAACAGAATTTCTTATTTCTTGTATCCACGGGGCTGATATCATTGGAAGTCAAACACAAACTTAAATGTGTGGGTTGCCGAATTACAATGACAGTTGAATCAGTTGAATTCACTGTGTCACCAAGGTTCTCAAGAGAATGTTAGGGCACTAATAAGTGAAGAATGGGATCTTTTTTTTTTTTTTCTTTTGAGACAGTCTCCCTGTGTTGCCCAGGCTGGAGCACAGTGGTGTGATCTTGGCTCACTGCAGTCTCAACCTCCCAGGCTCAAGCTATCCTTCTGCCTCAGCCTCCAGGGGAGGTGGGACCACAGGGATGAGCCACCATGGCCGGCTAATTTTTGTGTTTTTTTTAGAGATGTGGTTTCACTGCATTGCTCAGGCTGGTCTCAAACTCCTGGGCTCAAGCCATCCACCCACCTTGGACTTCTGAAGTTTTGAGATTATAAGCAGGAGCCACCATGCCCGGCCCTGTTCTCTTTTACACTGGTTTATTGTGAGGACCTCCAATTGTCTTCCTGACTTCTATAGGCTTGCTCACTTCAGCCTGTTCACTGAAGCCAGAAGAATTCTCCTAAAAGGCAAATTTGGGTCAGAATAGTCCTTGATTAAAACCTGATGGTGACTGCCCATTGCCTTTAAGACAAAGTCCAAACTAATTTGGCCACAGGGCCTGGTAGGAGCTGGCATCCACTCATCTTCCCAGTTTTATCCTGCACCACCCTCCCCATATCCCTACCCTCCAGCCACACGGAATGTCAGTTTCCTTGGGGGACTTTACTGGTCCTTCTTCAGGAAACCCTCTCCCTACCTCCATCATCACTCTTTCACTCTCATCTTTACTCATCTTTAGCCTTAGCCGAGATGTCTCACCCCACTCTCTATGATGCAACAAGAAGCCCCTGGGGAACGTTTCAGTCCCAGTCTGTACTATTGTCATGTGCTCATCACAGTCTGGTAAGTGCTGGCATACGATTCCTAAATTAGTCCATTTTGCATTGCTGTAAGGAAATACCTCAGGCTGGGTAGTTTATAAAGAAAAAAGGTTTATTTGGCTCACAGTCCTGCAGACTATACAAGTAGCATGGTGCCAGGCTGGGCGCAGTGGCCCACACCTGTAATCCTGGCACTTTGGGATGCTGAGGCAGGAGGATTGCTTGAGCCCAGAAGTTTGAAACCAGCCTGGGAAACATGGTGAGATCTTGTCTCTAGTAAAAATTAAAAAATAGCCAGGCATGATAGTGCATTGATGCATACCTGTGGTTTCAGCTACTTGGGAGCCTAAGGTAAAAATATCTCTTTATCCCAGGATGTCAGGGTTGCAGTGAGCCATAATTACACCACTGCTCTCCAGCCTGAGTGTCAGAGTGAGACCCTGTCTCAGAAAAACAAAAGCATAGTACCAGCATCTGCTGGTGAGGACCTCAGGAGGCTTCCACTCATGGCGGAAGGTGAAGGAGGAGCCGGCATGTCACTTGTTGAGAAGAAGGAGCAACGGAGAGAGGAGGAGGTGCCAGGCTCTTTAAACAACCAGCTCTCACGTGAACTAGTAGAGAGAGAACTCACTCATTACCTTGGGGAGGGCACCAAGCCATTCATGAGGGATCTGCCCCCACGACTCACACCTCCCACCAGGCACCACCTCCAACATTAGGGTTTCAATTTCAATATGAGATTTGGAGGAGACAAACATTGAAACTATATCAATTTCCTGCTACCCTATAAGCTACATGAGGGCAGAAACTCTTTTTCTTCTCTTTTTTCTTTTTTTTTTTTGAGACGTTTCACTCTTGTTGCCCAGGCTGGAGTGCAGTACCGTGACCTCAGCTCACTGCAACCTCTGCCTCCCAGGTTCAAGCGATTCTCCTGCCTCAGCCTCCTAAGTAACGGATTACAGGCATGCACAACCATGCCCCACTAATTTCTGTACTTTTAGTGGAGACGGGGTTTCACCCTGTTAGTAAGGCTGGTCACAAACTCCTGACCTCAGGTGATTCACCTGCCTCGGCCTCCCAAAGTGCTGGGATTACAGGTGTGAGCCACTGCTCCTGGCCAAGGGCAGAAACTCTTACACCTTGTTCACTGCTGTTTCCTGGGCACCTATTATAGTGCCTGGTATATAGTAGGTGCTCAGTAAGTGTTTGTTAGGGACTGATGCGTTGGTTCAAGCCTGTAATCCTGTTGCTTTGGGAGATGGGGGCCAGAGGATTGCTTGTGCCCAGGAATTCAGGGCCAGCCTGGGAAACATAGTGAGACCCTGTCTGTAGAAAAAATAATAAGCTGGCCAGGCGTGGTGGCTCACGCCTGTAATCCCAGCACTTTGGGAGGCCAAGGTCTGCAGATCACCTGAGGTCAGGAGTTCAAGACCAGCCTGGCCAACATGGTGAAACCCCATCTCTACTGAAAATACAAAAATTAGTCGGGCATGGTGACACACACCTGTAATTCAAGCTACTCGGGAGGCTGAGGAAAGAGAATCGCTTGAACTCAGGAGGCAGAGGTTGCAGTGAGCCGAGATCATGCCACTGCACTCCATTCAGCCTGGGCGACAGAGCAAGACTCCGTCTGAAAAAAAAAAAAAGAAAAAGAAAAACTAATAAACTTAGCCAGGTGTGGTGTTACATGGCTGTAATCCCAACTACCTGGGAGGCTGAGGTGGGAGAATCACTTGAGCCCAGTTGATGGAAGCTGTAGTGAGCCATAATCACCTCGCCGTACCTCAGCCTGTGTGACTTAGGGGGACTCTGTCTCAAAAAAAGTAAAAAAAAGAAAAAGAAAAAAGAAATATTCATTGGGGAAAAGAAGAGTGAACAAGCAAAGTTTCAGGAGAGTACTGTGAATGTGGGTCATGTCAGTAAAGTGTAGGGACTTGGGCAGGAGCGGCTGGACTTGAAGAGCAGGTTGGTGGAGACCAGGTCATTTATCCTAAGAAGTTTGCCCTGTAGCATGTAGATTAAATATCCCACGTTGGCTGCTGGCAACTGAACTGGGCTTCCTGTTTCTGTGTTTGGTTTGACCATCACAGTGTTGAAGAACTGTTGAAGTGAATACCTTGCAGTTTGCTACAGTTTCCCCCGGTCTCCCACATTACTCTGGCCTCCTTACCTCATGTAGGTTGCCTGACCCTCTGAGACCTGTGTTTGCTGTTCCTGCAGATGGGTGGGTATGAGGTGATTTAAGGAGGAAGATTTAATATATGAGTTGTAGAAAGATAAATAGACTGGGCGCAGTGGCTAAAGCCTGTAATCCCAGCACTTTGGGAGGCCAAGGCAGAAGGATTAGTTTGACCCAGGAGTTCAAGACCAGTCTGAGCCACATAGCGAGACCCCCTCTCTACAAAAAATTTAAAAATTAGCCAGGCATGGTGGCATGCACCTGTAATCCCAGCTACTCGGGAGGCTGAAGTGGGAGGATAGCTGGAGCCCAGGAGTTGAGAAAGCTGCAGTAAGTGGTGATCTCGCCACTGCACTCCAGTCTGAGTGACAGAGTGAGACCCTATCTCAGGAAGAAAAAAAAAAAAAAAAAAAAGCAAGAGAGATAAATAGATCCACCATTAGTGGGAGTGTGCTTTTGAGTGCTCTTTAGGAGAAAAATTTATTTTAATATTTTTTCTTCTTTATATTTTTTATATTCTAGCAAGCCATTTCTTCAACAAGGAGAAATTAATTTCATCCAAAGAGCCCTAAGAGCAAGGGCAGACTCAGAAAATCAGAGGCACTGTAGTCAGTTTGAGCAGCTTATGTCTTCAGACTGCTAAGCTGGCCAGTGCCAGGCTGGGTCCCTTTAATTTCTCAAACACAAATCGCCCTGCTGGAATCTCAAGTTGGATCTGCAGTAGATCACCATTAACTCAGCAGCTTGCTTTGTTGTGAGTCCTTATGCCAGGAACTGTGCGGGATACAAAATGTAAGAGAAGGCTGGAATAGAGCATCTCCTGGGGAAATGAGAGCCAGAGATACAGCGGTGCCCCATGGAGACAGCCAGCTGGTGTTTGGTAGTTCCTTGTGGAAAGGCTGTACTTTGGTAAGGTCTCCATATCTGCAGTGTGGCCTTCAATATTGTAGGTCCCCAAACTCCAGGTTTTTACATTCGCTGCATAGCTCAGGGTCGTAGGGAGTGATTCATCCTAGCAGAACTCTGGTTTTTAAGGCAGGCGTTCCATTTATTAATTGACAAAGGAGGCATATTTCTCCTTTAGTAACCTGATGATTTAGGTCCTTTCTTCAGGGACTCCCTTTCCACATAAAGGTTCTTGGAAAACTAAGCAGAGTATGAGGAAAAGGCTGTGAACAAGCTTGCTGGTCCCTCCCTGTCCTAAAAAAGAGCATACCTCTTCTGTAACCAGAAAACCCTTTTCACTAGTCAAGGCTGTGCAGACTGAGATGAAAGTGTGTGTGTGTGTGTGTGTGTGTGTGTGTGTGTGTGTGTGTGGACAGGGTCTCACTCTGTCACCCAAGCTGGAGTGCAGTGGTGAGATCAGAGCTCACTGCAGCTTCCACTTTTGCAGCTTCCACTTTCCTCCTCCCACTTCAGCCTGCAGAGTAGCTGGGACTATAGGACTGTGCTACCACACCCAGCTCATTTTCTAATTTTTCGTAGAGATGAGGTTTCACTGTGTTGCCCAGGCTGGTCTTGAACTTCTGGCCTTACGGGATCCTCCTGCCTTAGTCTCCCAATAGGCTGGGATTATAGGTATGAGCCACTTCACCTGACCTGTGATGAGTTTTCAACAATGTGATTCCTCTTTTACAGAACCACCTAAGCTAAAGATTCTTTTGAGAACAAGGGCTAGCCTGTGGTTTCATGGCCTTTCTTCCATTTGGGGTTCTTGCCAAGTGGAATTTAAATGACCTCTTATCAAGATGGATAAACCCAAGTTTCCCAGTGCTGGAATACAGAAAATGGATGGACAAGTAAGTCCCACTCAGCACCCATAGCCCAGACATGGGGACCTCAACACACCTGGGCCCCAGACATCACCTTTCATTGTGGGTAGCTCAGAGATGACACTTTTGGTTGTTAAGTGCCCACTGGCAATAGTTTCTATAACAGCAAGTGAAGGAATAAATAGTCACCAAAACATTTTCTGTTCCCAATTCCAACATTAATTGGGTGAGATAATTATTTTATGAAGAATTGTCATATGGCACAGTCCTGGCCATATCTTCAAGTGAACAGAAAAATTCTATTAAAAAGTCAACCTTCTATCTCACTCTGTTGCCCAGACTGGAGTGCAGTGGTGCAATTATGGCTCACTGCAGCCACAACCTCCTGGGCTCAAGCAATCCTCCTGTCTCAGCTTCACAAGTAGCTGGGACTACAGGTGCTTGTCACTACACCTCACTAATTTTCCCATTTTTCCTATATGTGGATTGCACAGGACTGACTCAAAAACTTGAGTATGTGTGGATTTTGGTATACATAGAAATGGAGGAGCTGGAACCAATCCCCCCATATACCAAGGGACAAATTGTGTCTGTTTCTACAGTTATACTGTAGGATACATTATGTTCCATGACAATGGTAATTTTTAATGACAGTTTTTAATTGAGTGGAATTACCATAAAAATAATAAAAGTAGCAGCTAATATTTACTGAGCTGTTACTAGGTGCCTATAAATATGATAGATTTTTGAAATTCCCCATAACTCTTCCTTATTCCACTTAACCACTCTATCTTAAATTACTCATGCTTGCTTCGGTAGCACATATACTAAAGTTGGAACAATAGAGAGATTGGCATGGCCTCTTTGCAAGAATGTCATGCAAATTTGTGAAGCATTCCATATATTTTTTAAAAAGAGAAAAAAATTACTCCCAGATTTTCACTGGGTACATATGACCTTTTGTTTGAATTATATCCAAAGATGATATTTCCAGAAGTGAGATTACTGTGAGTCACAGGGCATGAGCATTCTTATTACACCTGATGTAAATTGTCGAGCTTTCAGGCATGGTGGCTGTCTGCCTTTAATTCCAGCACTTTGGGACGCTGAGGTGGGAGGGAGGATTGCTTGAAGCCAGGAGTTAGAGGAGGCAGTATAGGGAATCACTGTCTGTATTATTTTAAAAAGACTGCCAAGCTTTACTCTCAAAGGCTTATATACAATTTAAACACCACTAATAGTGTAAAAAAATTGCCCATTTCAGGCCAGGCGCAGTGGCTCATGCCTGTAATCCCAGCACTTTGGGAGGCTGAGGTGGGTGGATCACGAGATAGAAATCGAGACCACCCTGGCCAACATGGTGAAACCCCGTCTCTACTAAAAATACAAAAATTGGCTGGGCGTGCTGGTCTGTGCCTGTAATTTTAGC
The DNA here is from genome assembly GCF_000001405.40 of Homo sapiens. Classification (NCBI taxonomy): domain Eukaryota; kingdom Metazoa; phylum Chordata; class Mammalia; order Primates; family Hominidae; genus Homo; species Homo sapiens. The sequence continues at coordinate 66,891,814 of NC_000007.14, forward strand.
TACTCGAGAGGCTGAGGCAGGAGCATCGCTTGAACACAGGAGTTGGAAGTTGCAGTGAGCACGCCACTGCACTCCAGCCTGGCAATAGAGTGAGACTCTGTCTCAAAAAAAAAAAAAAAAAAAAAAAAAGAAAATGCACATTTCATTGCACCTTTGCCGGCACAGGGTATTATAATTTAACAAGTTATTTTTTGTTTGACTATTTTTAATAAATAAAATACCTAGTATTACTTTATTTTTATTTGTCATATTTTAATATCTTTCCTTGTGTTAGCTTATCAGCTTTATTTCTTCATTGTCCTTTTTTAATTTTTGAGACCAAGTCTCACCCTGTCGCCGAGGCTTGAGTGTAGTGATACAGTCTTGACTCACTGCAGCCTTGACCTCCTGGGCTCAGGTGATCCTTCCACCTCGGTTGCTGAGACTATAGGCACATGGAACCATACCTGACTAATTTTTTTTATTTTTAGTAGAGACGAGGTCTTGCTATGTTTCCCAGGGTATTCTGGAATTCCTGGCCTCAAGCGATCCTCCCACCACCCCCTCCCAAAGTACTGGTATTATAAGTGTGAGCCACCATGCCTGGGCTGTCTGTGTCTTTTCCCTTTATTTATAGAGTTAATGAGTCTTTTACTAATTTGATTATCTATTTTTTATGAAATTATAAAAATAGTAAATACTTTTAAATAAAGAAGTGAAAATTTTCCTTCACTCTTTAGACCCACAATTTTATCTCAGGAAATAATTGCTATTGCAAAAATGGGCCATATTCTTCAAGATACATATAGGCTAATTGGACATCACTTCACATTTTCATATTTCGTGGACATCTATGCCAATACCTATTGATCTATCTTACTCCTTTTCATGGTTGCATAATATTTTATTATATAGATGTATCACAGTTTACCAGTCAGCCACTGTAGGCGTTTAGGCTCCTTCTAATGTTTGCTTTGAACTCTTTATATAATTAAAAATTAACACCCTCAGCCAGATGTGGCAGCTCACACCTGTAATCCCAGCACTTTGGAAGACTGAGGTGGGAGAACTGCTTGAGGGTAGGAGATCATCACCAGCCTGGTCAACAGAGTGACACTTTGTTTCTATTAAAATTTTTTAAAAAATGAGCTGGACATTGCAGTGCACACCTGTAGTCCCAGCTACATGGGACGCTGAGACTGGAGGATCACTTGAGCCTAGGAGGTTGAGGCTGCAGTAAGCTATGATCACACCACTGCACTCCAGCTTTGGTAACAGAGTAAGACTGTGTTTCTTAAATAAAATAAAAATCAGGTGGGAAGATTGCTCTAGCCCCGGAGGTAGAGGCTTCCATGAGCTGTGATTATATCACTGCAGTCCTGCCCACGCAATAGAGCAAGACCCTTTCTCAAAGAATAAAATAAAATAAAAATTAACCCTTTATCATATTTCCCACTAACACCTTCCATCCTACGTTTTTCCTAGAAGCCCTTGAATTTTGTTTGCTTTTCACATACCATTTAAAACTTTTAAGTACTGATGTCTGTTTCATCCCTCCTTTTTTTTTTAAAGGATGTCTTTTTGTCACTTCCAGCTGGATCTACCATGAAAGACGTCAGAGTCCAGGAAGAGAGACTGACTGGGCAACATGTTATTCAGGTACAAAAAGACTTGGACTGTAACTAAAAAATGATCAAATAATAGTGCATACATCAAGAACAATGGAAAGCACTTCTGGAGGGTGAGAGAAGCTTCCAGTTAAGTTGACATTGAAGCTGGGTCCTGAAAGATGAGGAAGAGTTGTATGAGAGTGAGGAGGGAAGGAGGAGGTGGAGGGATGGGGAATGGGCTGGGATGGGATGGAGTGGGCTGTCCAGGTGGGGAAACCAGCACTGTAAAGACCTGGACAATGAAGATGGCACATTTTGTTCAGGGAATGGTGAAGTAAGAGTGGCAGGAGTGCTTTGGAGAGACAGTAATTTGCTTGTATGGAATTTTGCCCAAGAGACCTCATTACAGTTTCTAATCTTTTGATGTTATCATCCATCACTGTCCTTGTCAAATAGTTTGGAATAGGTATGATGATCACAATAACATCAAGCATAATATTTCATTAATTCTCAGAATTAGAGAAGATGATGTGGTGATGGAAGAAGAGGTCAGAGAGGGAGATTTGAAGATGTTGCAGTTCTGGCCTTCAAGATGGAGTCAGGGGCTATCTTCAAGGTGAGTCAAGGAATGGGGTGGCTTCTAGAAGCTGGAAAAGACAAGGGAGCACATTCTCTCTAGAGCCTCCAGAAGGAATGCAGCCCCTCTTACACCTTGACTTTAGCCTTAATAGGCCTAGTTTGGGCCTCTGGTTCCCAGAACTATAATATGGCAGATTTTTGGTGTTTTAAGGCACTAAATATAGGGTAGTTTGTTGCAGCAGCAAGAAGAAACGAACATGAGCCAGGGGCAGTTGCTCACACCTGTAATCCCAGCACTTCAGGTAGCTGAGATGGGGAGCATCGCTTGAGCCCAGGAATTTAAGACAAGCCTGGGCAACATAGTGAGACTTCTTATTGAAAAAAATTTTTGTTAAATTAGGCAGATGTTGTGGTATGCACTTGTAGTCTCAGCTCCTAGGGAGGCTGAGGTGGGAGGATTGTTTAAGTCTGGGAGGTTGAGGTTGTTGTGAGCTGTGATTGAGCCACTATACTCCAGCCTGGGCAATAAAGCAAGACCCTCTTTCAAGAAAGAAAGAGAAAAGAGAGAAAGAAAAAAAGAGGGAGGGAAGGAGGGAAGAGAGGGAGGAGGAAGGAAAGGAAGGAAGGAAGAAAGGAAGGACGCATGACAGATGGAAATGTTAAATAGAGTGGTGAGGGTTGGCCTCACAAGTGAAAATTGAGCAAAAGCTTGAAGCAGGTGATGGAGCTGGCCAAGGTGCTGAGGGAAGAGCGTTGTAGGCTGAATCAACAGGATAAAGGCATTAGGAGACTCCCTGGTGAGTCTGAGGCTCTGGAAGGAGGCCAGTGGAGCAGAGAGAGAGAGGGAGAGAAGTAAGGGAGCAGGCCAGGGAGTTGCTAGGCGGTGATCAGTATAGATCGTGTAAGCCCTGGGAGGCTATTGCTGAGGCTTTGACTTCTATTCTGACTGAAATGGGAACTGCAGGAGGGTTCTGAGTAGAGAGGCGACATGATCTGTCTCCTGATTTAAAAGCACCCCCTGGCTGCTGAGTTGAGAAAGACTGTGGGAAGATTTGGGTAGAAGCATGGGGGCCAAGCTGTGTCAGCATCCAGGTGGGAGATGGTAGTGGTCCTGACCAGGGTCATGGCTGTGGTGAGAGATGGTCAGAACCTGGATAGATGTTGAAGTCAGCCAATAGGATTTCCTGACAGACTGGGTGTGGGCTGTGAGATAAGGCAGGGGTCAAGGTTGAGCTTGATTCTAATGGAATTATTAAGTAATTTTAAAAAACACTGCTGCCTTTCCCAATCCTACCAAGTAAAGGATGCTAGATGAAAGAAATCTCAAGTCGGGCCAGGTGCAGTGGCTCACACCTGTAGTTCTAACAGTTTGAGAGGCAGAGATGGGAGTATGTTTTAAGGCCCAGGAGTTGGAGAGCAGCCTGGGCAACATAGCAAGACATCCTCTCTACAAAAACAAAATAGAGAAATTTAATACAGTAAACTAAATACAGCTGAGCATGGTGCTGTGTACCTATGGCCCCAGTTACTCAGGAGGCCGAGGTGGGCAGATCTCTTGAGGCTAGGAGTTTGAGTCCAGCTTGGGCAACATAGCAAGACTCCTCTCTTTACAAAAATTAAAAAAAAGAATAGCCTGACATGGTGGCACTTGCTTGTATTCCCAGTTAGGGGTAGGCTGAGGCAGGATGATCTCTTGAGTCCAGTTGGACGAGGCTGCAGTGAACTATGATTATATCACTGCACTCCAACCTGGGTGACAGAGCGGGACCCTGTCTCAAAATACAAATACAAATAAAATGAAATTTCAAGTCAGACCAGTCCCTTCTAGGCTATGGAGGCCTTGCAGCCACATAGCTGCATGATTGAGTTTGTGTGGCTGTGGATGAGGAGACCCCTGCCTAATTATTGTTGGCTATATAATCAGTTTATTTTTAATTTTAGTAATCAGATATATTTCCTCATACTTGATGGTCTCAGATATGTGTGGGTTTTGGAATTCTCCTTGGAACAGGTTGTAACATCTTATTGGTTTCATCATTCCGTAATTTTTTTTATCTGATCACTTTTTAATAAGATCAGAATTGACATTAGACTACCTAATCAGTTTTGATTAATGAGAAAATGAAATTATGTTGTTTGCACTTTATCCAAGATTGGTTTCATATTGGCTAAATCTAATCAATACTTGAACAAATGCAAAATTAGAGCTTCTTTATCATGAAACACTTTGTCATTCTTGAAGAAGATGCCATTTCTTTTTTGTAGCCTTTAATAAACAGCTGCTATCATTGCAGACTTGCTATTCAGGCACTTAGGAATTTTTCACTAGAAGGCATGTAAAGAAAGACCATGGGCATTTGTAATGAATTTAGCATTCATTGTTTGACTGCATGACTGTCCCCAGAGCTGTAACTTTACTAACAAATTTTTCAGAATCCACTTAGCTGGCAGCTGAGCCTAACCAGCCACTAACCATCATTATTCAGTGCTCTTTTATTCTTATCTATTTCTCCTCAAACTTGGCTACACTCAAAAAGTGATAAAAACTTGCATTTCTTTTCTTTCCTTTTTAGAGAGAAGATCTTGATCTGTGGCCCAGGCTGCAGTACAGTGACATGATCATGGTTCACTACAGCTTCAAACTCCTGGCCTCAAGCCATCCTCCCACGTCAGTCTCCCAAGTAGCTGAAACTACGGACATGTGCCGCCATGCCCAGCTAATTTTTTATTTATTTATTTACTTATTTATTTTTTCATAGAGATGGGATCTTGTTAGGTTGCTCAGACTGGTCTCAAACTCCTGACCTCAAGTGATCCTCCTGCCTCAGCCTTCCAAAGTGCTGGGATTACAGGCAGGCATGACCACCTGTGCCTAGCCCCTTATTATTATGTTTTTAAATAATAGCTTTATTAAAATATGATTCACACACCATTCAATTTATTGAAATCTGCAGTTCAGAATATTTTAGAATATTCACAGAGCTGTGCATCGATCACCGCAGTCACTTTTAGAACCATTCATTACTCTATAGAGAAATCTGCACCCTTAGCCATTACATCCACTCCCCCAACCTGCCTTTGCCCCCAGCCTCAGGCAACCATGGATTCATTTTCTGTCACTACCTAATCTGGACAAATAGAATTGTACAATAGGTGATCTTTTGTGGCATTTTTCCCTCTTAGCACAATGTTTTCAAAGTTCCTTTATGTCATAGGGTATATCAGTATTTCATTTTTTCTATGGCTGAATAATATTCCATGGTAGAGACACACTGCATTTTGTTGATCCATTTATCAGTTGGTGGACATTTGGGTTGTTTCCACGTATTGGCTATTATGAATAATGCTGCTATGAAGATTACAGTACAAGTTTTTGTGTGGACATATATTTTTATTTCTCTGGGATATATGCCTAGGAGTGAAATTGTTACATTATATTTTACATTTAACCTTTTGGGAAACTGCCAGACTGTTTTCTAAAGTGGCTACACCAGTTGGGTGCAATGGCTCACACCTGTAATCCCTGCTACTCAGGAGGCTCATTTGAGAGGATGGGTTGAGCACACAAGTTCAAGACCAGCCTGGGCAAGACAGTGAGACCCTGTCTTGATTTTTCTTTTAAAAATCCAATTAAAATGACAAGAAAAGAAATACCCAAAGTGGTTACACCATTTTATATTTCCACCAGTGATGTATGTGGGTTCCAGTTCCTCCACATCTTCACTGACATTATTTTTTTTTTCTAGACAGGGGCTTGCTCTGTCTCTCAGGCTGCAGTACAGTGACGCCATCACAGTTCACTGCAGCCTTGACCTCCCAGGCACAAATGATCTTCTCATCTCAGCCTCCTGAGTAGCTGGGAATTATAGGTACACGCCATCATGCCTGGCTAATTTTTATATTTTTTTGTAGTGATGGGGTTTTACCATGTTGCCCAGGCTGGTCTCTTACTCCTGGCCTCAAGTGATCTGCCCACCTCACCCTCCCAAAGTTCTGGAATTACAGGCTGAGCCATCATGCCTGGCCTTCACCAACATTTGTTATTGTCCATTTTTTTTCGTTTATACCTTAAAGCAGTATAAGAACAAGTGTTTTCAATTATGGTAAACAAAAAATATAATCCCGGGGCATTTGGATGCTGAGACAGGAAGATCTCTTGATGCCAGGAGGTTTTTGTTTTGTTTTGTTTTGAAACAGAATCTCACTCTCGCCCAGAGTGGAGTGCAGTGGTGTGATCTCAGCTGCCTGCAGCCTTCACCTCCCAGGTTCAAGCGATTCTCCTGCCTCAGCCTCTTGAGTAGCTGGGATTACAGGTACATGCCACTACTGCCCGACTAATTTTTGTATTTTTAGTAGAGACGGAGTTTTGCCATGTTGGTCAGGCTGGTCTCAAACTCCTGATTTCAGGTGATCCCCCTACCTCAGCCGCCCAAAGTGCTGGGATTACAGGCATGAGCCACTGTGTCTGGCCTGATGCCAGGAGTTTTAGACCAACCTAGCAAGACCTCATCTCAACAGAATATTTAAAAATTAGCCAGATGTGTTGTTGCTTGCCTATAGTCTCTTTTACTTTTTGAGACATGGTCTGGCTCTGTCAGCCAGGCTGGGGTGCAGTGGTATCATCATGGCTCACTGCAGACTGAAACTCCTGGGATCAAGTAATCAGTCCTCCCACCTTATCCTACCAAGTAGTGGGGACCACAAGTGCATGCCACCCGGGTCTTGCTATGTTGCCCAGGCTGGTTTTGAGCTCCTGGCCTCAAGCGATCCTCTCACTTTGGCCTCCCGAAGTGCAAGGATTACAGGTATGAGTCACCATGCCTGGCCCCTACCCTGCCTATTGAGAACCATAAGAAAGAACCAAATTCTCCTTAGCTCAACTCGAGCCATTTCCCAATTGGTTCTTCCACAAGGAGCTGGTTATTGAGCTGTCCAGGCCTCCCAAGCAGCACAGAAATGAGGTGAGGGAGTTTTCCTGCTGCTCCACTCTGTGAGGAGCTGGAGGATGATGTTCACTCATTTGCAGAGAGAGATGTCTTGTAGGCACCTTAGGATGGAGGGGACCCTGATTCCAATGTCCTTTTGTTTTTTTCTTTAGAAGCAGGACCTTGCTCTGTCACCCAGGATGGAGTTCAGTAGTCCAATCATGGCTCATTGTAACCTCAGATTTCCAGGCTCAAGCAATCCTCCCACTTCATCCTTCCCAGTAGCTGGGACTACAGGTTGGTGCCATGACACTCGGTGAATTTTGACTTTTTTTTTTTTTTTTGTAGAGATGGGCCTTGCTATGTTGCCAAGGCTGGCCTTGAACTCCTGCACTCAAGGGATTTTCCTGTGTTGGCCTCCCAAAGTACTGGTAATGCAGGCATGAGCCATTATGCCCAATGTCTCTGGTTCTTAACCTTCTGCCTCCCTCTTCCACATTTAAAGAACCCTTGTAATTACATGGGCTCACCCAGATACTGCAGGATAATCTTGTTTTAAGGTCAGCTGATTAGCAACATTAATTCCATCTGTACTCTTAATTCCCCCTTCCTATGTAATTATGCGGTGTAACATAGGACATGAGCAGTTGGGGGGTCATTACTTTGGCCACCACTGTGATACTTTGGCCACCACCATGACTATTTTGTGCCAGGTACTGAGGTAAGCACTGGTGAATTAAACATGAATAACACACACTCCCTAATCTCCATTCATTTATGGGAGGAGCACCTCGCTTCCCATGCTCCTGAGAATCTAGGGAGTCAAGGAAGACTTCCTGGAGGAGGTGGTGCTAAAGCGGACAAGTGACAGAGGAGCTGAAGCTAGCCAGGAAGAGAGTAGATAAGGGGAAGCGTATTCTAAGCAGAGGGCATCACCCACTTCGCAGGCTCGCAGAGAGAGAGAGTGGGCATTCAAGGGACAGATGAGGCTCAGTTGGACTCCACAGCAGGTAAAATGGAGAGGGGCAAGCAGTGAGGCTGCCTTGCAAGACAGGGCAGAGCAGGGCCTGTTAAGGAGTTTGGACTTAATCCCAAAGGCAAGGAGAAGTGATGTAAACAGGGGAGTAATGTGATGAGATTCACGTATGAGAGACATGGCTCACGCTGCTGTGTGGAGAAGGCACCAGGGGGAGCAGATGGCTCAGTGGGTGTGCTGGAGACCTAAAGCAGGGAACACACTGAGTTTAGGGAGAGTTTTTTAAAATAGCAGAAGTTTGAGTAATTTAAATGCTGGTGGGAAGGAGCTAAAAGCAGGGGACAGGTTAAACATACAGGGAAGTGGGAGGAAGAACTGACAAGTGAGGTTCCAGAGAGGGCAGGAGAAGAGGAGATTCTTATAGGGGGATTAGCATTCCTCTCCCCTCCTCTCCCCTCCCCTCTCCTCCCTTCCCCTCCCCTTCCCTAAGACAGGGTCTCACTCTGCTGCTCAGGCGAGAGTGTACTGGCATGATCTTGGTTCACTACAGCCTAGACTTCCCAGGTTCAAGGGATCTTCCGACCCCAGACTCCCAAGTAGCTGGAACTACAGTTGTGCACCACCACCATACCTGGCTAATTTTTTTTTTTTTTTGGTAGACACAGTGTCTCACTAAGTTGCCCAGCCTGGTCTCCAACTTTTGGCCTCAAGCAGTCCTTCTACCTAGGCTTCCCAAATTGCTGGGATTACAGGCATGAGCCACCATGCCTGGCCTCTGCTAGTTTTGTATTCTCTAGAATTGTCTGTAGTTAGTGCTAGTGTGTCACTCATTATGCTGATCCTCTGTTATAATTAATATTTTTTATATTAAAGTTACTTTTTTTTTTTTTGGTATTGGGTCTCAGTCTGTCACCAAGGCTGGAGTGCAGAGGCATGATCTCTGCTCACAGCAACCTCCACTTCGAAGGCTCAAGCAATTCTCCATCCTCAGCCTCCCAAGTAACTGGGATTACAGGTATGTGCCAGCATGCCTGGCTAATTTTTGTGCTTTTTTTGTGCTTTTTGTAGAGACAGGGTTTTGCCGTGTTTCCCAGGCTGGTCTCAACTCCTGAGCTCAAAGTAATCCACCCGCCTTGGCCTCCCAAAGCGCTGGGATTACAGGTTTGAGCCACCGTGCGCATTCCAGTTTAAACTTTTGAGCGGTTTATATGTTTTGATTGGACTCCTAGAAATACAGAATTGATGCTAGGAAGAGTACCAGGAGATAGACACATATACATGGGATTTCAGCCTTGGTTTGGTTATCCAAGGAGCAGTGCTGAGTTTCTTGCCAATGGGACATGGGATGCTGGTGATTTCCAGGAAGTGTCCTCACAATGAGTGAAGCTACCACTTACTGTTTATTGTGATGAAATGCTAGCCAAGGCATATGCCATGCGAGTTAACGGATGCTATGCTTCACCACTGTGGCAATAAAGATGACTCTGAAGAATGGCATGGGACGGAACCTTTCAAATGCACCTGAGCAGGGGTCTCCACCACAGGGCCACAGAGCTGGTGGTGAGCAGCAAAGTGAGGGGAAAATTCGTTTGTATTTATAGCCCCTCCCCATCGCTCGCATAACCACCTGAGCGTCATGTCCTGACAGGTCCAGCTACTGCCTTCCAGTGACCTCTTTAGGCTCATCTCATGCTTCACCGTGGCCTCGCCAAACCAAGCTGCTGCGTTTCAGCAGCCTCTGCAGCAGAGGCCGAGCTCTGCGTCCTGATCATCCTGATGGCCTCTTTAGGCCCAGCTCATTTCTCACAACGGCCACCTTAGGCCCAGCTTTTCCCTTTTGGTGGCCTCTCCAGGCCGAGAAATTCCTCAAGTCGGCCTCCCCCACCGCAGTTGCTGCCTCCCGGCCTCTTCTCCAGTCCCAGTCCTCTCTCGCAGCTGTGTCTACAGGCCCAGCTCCTGCCTCCAAAGAGCCTCTTTTGACTCGGCTCCTACCCAGCTCCTGGCAGCCTTTGTAGGCCTGAAATCTCTTCCAGTCCAGCACTCCATACCCAGTCTCCCCTCACAGCGGCCTTCCCAGGCCCAGCTTTTGCCTCACAGCGGCCTTCCCCGGCCATTTTCTAGCCGGCCTCGCGGTAGCCTCAACAAGCCCAGCTCCCGCCTCACACTGGCCTCTCTAGGCCCAGCTCAGGCGTCACAGTGGCGTCTCCAGGCCCAGCTCCCGCCCACCCCAACAGCGTCTCGCGGCTCAAGGCGTTCTCAAGATGGCCCTTCCAGGCCAAGTTCCTGCCTCCCGCCGATGGCCCGTGTGGGCCCAAAGCGTCCTGAAGTCGGCCTCGCCAGGCCCAGCTCCTGCCTGTCGTAGGCGCCTAGAGGCATGGCCTCTGCCTCCTCACAGTGGACCCCCCCAGACCCAGCTCTTGCTTCAGCATGGCCACCTCAGGCCAAGCTCCTGCCTTGCCTGTTGGCAGCCTCCACAGGCCCAGCTCTTGCCTCTCGCCATCCTCTCCAGGTCCAGAACTGTTTCCAGCCGGCCTCTCCAGGCCCAGCTCTCCCTCCCGGCTGTGGCTGCCGGCCCAGCTCCTGCCTCGCAACAGGCACGTTCGGCCCAACTCCTGCCCAGCTCATGGCAGCATTTGTAGGCCCCAGGCTCCTCTAAGTCAGGCCTTCCAGGCCCTGCCTTCAGCTCCCTGGCGGCCTGGAGAGGCCCAGCTCCTGCCTGACAGCGGCCTCTCCGGGCCCAGCTCTTGTCTCGCGTCGGCCTCCCCGGGACACATTTCCCCCTGCCTCGCGGCAGCCCCGAAAGACCCAGCTCCTGCCTCCTGATGGCCTCTTTAGGCTCATCTCATGCCTCACTGCAGCCTCCCCCAGGCCAGGCTCCTGCCTTTCGGCGGCTTCCGCAGGTCCGGCTCCTGCGTCCTGACGGCCTCTTTAGGCCCGGCTCGTCCCTCACAATGGCCTCTTTCAAAGGCCCAGCTTTTCCTTCGTGGCGGCCTCTCCAGGCCCAAATTGGCAAGCCTCCCCTGTCCTGGTGGCTGTCTCCCGGCCTACTCTCCAGGCCCAGCACACTCTCGCGGCTGTACCTCCAGGCCCAGCCCCTGCCTGCAGACAGCCGCTTTTGACTCGGTTCGTGCCCAGCTCCTGGCGGCCTTTGTAGGCCCGAAACCTCCTCCAGCACAGCTCTTCAGGCCCACCTGTGGCCTCGCAGCGGCCTTCCCAGGCCCAGCTCTTGCCTCACGGCGGCCTTCCCCGGCTGTATTCCTGCCAGCCTCTCGGCGGCCTCAAAAAGCCCGGCGCCTGCCTCACACTGGGGTCTCTAGGCCCAGCTCACGCCTGACGGTGGTCTCTCAAGGCCCAGCTCCCGCCCACCCCGACCGGCCCAAGGCTTTCTCAAGTTGGCCCATCCAGGGCCCAATTCCTGCCCTCCGCTGATGGCCTGTGCAGACCCAAAGTATCCTGAAGTCGGCCTCGCCGGGCCTAGCTCCTGCCTGTCATAGGCCCCTAGAAGCACGGCCTCTGCCTTCTAAAAGTGGAACCCCCCAGTCCCAGCTGTTGCCTCAGCGTGGCCACATCAGCCGAAGCTCCTGCCCTGCCTGTTGGCAGCCTCCATGGGCCAAGCTCTTGCCTCTCACCATCCTCTCCAGGCCCAGTACTGTTTCCAGCCGGCCTCTCCAGGCCCAACTCTCCCTCTCAGCTGTGCCTGCCGGCCCAGCTCCTACCTCGCAAAAGCCACGTTCGGCCCAGCTCCTGCCCAGCTCCTGGCAGCCTTTGTAAACCCCAGGATCCTCTAAGTCAGGCCTTTCAGGCCCTGCCTTTGGCTCCCCGGTGGCATGGAGAGGCCCAGCTCCTGCCTGACAGCGGCCTCTCCAGGCCCAGCTCTTGCCTCACGTTGGCCTCCCTGGGCCACGTTTCCGCCTGCCTCGCGGCAGCCCCGACAATCCCGGCTCCTGCCTCCCGATGGCATCTTTAGGCTCATCTCGTGCCTCACCACGGCCTGCACCAGGCCACACTCCTGCCTTTCGGTGGCCTCCGCGGGCCTGACTCCTGCGTCCCAATGGCCTCTTTAGGCCCGGCTCGTGCCTCGCCGCGGCCTCCTGAGGCCCACCTTTGCCCTTCTGGCAGCCTCTCCAGGCCCAGGACTTCCTCAAGTCGGCCTCTGCCAGCCCAGTGGCCGCCTCCCGGCCTCCTCTCCGGGCCCAGCTCCTTGCTCGTGGCTGCGCCCGCGGGCCCAGCTCCTGCCTCTGAACATCCTCCTGTGACTCGGCTCCTGCCCAGCTCCCAGCGGCCTCCGTAGACCCGAAGCCTCCTCCGGTCCAGCTCTCCAGGCCTGCCTCCTGCCTCGTGGCGGCCTTCCCCGGCCATGCTCGTGCCGGCTTCCCGGCAGCCTCCACGAGCCCGGCTCCTGCCTCACGCGGGCCCCTCCAGGCCCAGCTCGTGCCTCGCGGCGGCCTCTCCAGGCCCGGCTCCCGCCCAGCCCGACGGCGTCTCCCAGCCCAAGGCTCCCTTCCTCAACGTCGGCCCCTCTGGGCCCAGCTCCTGCCTCCCGCTGATGGCCTGTGCGGGCCCACCCGAGGCGGCCCGAAGTCGGCCTCGCCAGGCCCAGCTCCTGCCTGGCGTAGGCCCCTGGGGGCACGGCCTCTGCCCCACAGTGGCCCCTCCGGGCCCAGCTCGTGCCTCGGCTTGGCCGCCTCAGGCCCAGCTCCTGCCTGTGGGCGGCCTCTCTCCAGACCCGGCTCTCGCCTCCCGGCATCCTCTCCAGGCCCAGAGCTGTTTCCAGTTGCTAGACCATTTTTGTGCCTGCCTCGTTGCAGCATCTCCAAGCCCAGCTTTTGCTTTTCTGCAGTTTCTTGAGGCCGAACTCCATTTTTCGAATGGCTTATTTAGGCCCAGCTCTTGCGTTTGCATTGTCCCTTCAGGCCCAGAACTTTCTCACGTCATCGTCACCAGGCCTAGCTTCTGCATCTGGTCAGCCTTTTAAGGCCCAGCTTTTGCCTCATAAACTCAGCTCCTGTTTAATGGCGGCCTCCCAGGTCCCACCTTCTGCCTTCCTGTGTCCACTCCAGGCCCAGCTACTGCCTTGGTGCTCTTTTTAAGTCAATAATTTTTTCCAGTCGACCTCTCCAGGCCCAACTTGTACCTCTGAGTGTCCTCTAGGATCTCAGCTTCTGCCTAACAATGACCTCTTTAGACTCAGCTCATTTTCACTGCTACATCTTCAAGCCATTCTCCTGCCTCTTGGCAACCTCTAGTGGCCCAGCTTCTGCCTCACAGCAGCCTCTCCATGCATGCCTAGCTCCTGCCTCTTTAGGGAACTTACAGGCCTAAAACTTTCTTAATTTGGGCTTCTCAGGCCCAGCTCCTGCCTTCTGTTGGCCTCTACAGGCCTGGCATCATCCTTTCAACAGCCTCTTTAGGCCCGGCCTCTCCAGGACCAAAACATCCTTAAGTCAACCTCACCAGGCCCGGCTCCTGTCTCCTTGCGGCCTCCAGAGGCCGAGCTTTTGCCTGCCAATGGCCTCTCTAGCCCCAGCTTTTGCCTGCCAATGGCCTCTCTAGCCCCAGCTTCTGCCTTTCATCGGTCTCTCCAGGCTTAGCTCCTTTCTCTTCACGGCCTCTGCAGGCCTAAAACTTCCTCAATTTGGCATCTCCAGGCCCAGCTCCTGCCTCCAGGCCGCCTCTGCAGGCCTATCTCAAGCCTTACAACAGCCTCTTTACCCCCAGCTCCTTTCTCCGACTTGTCTCTCCAGGCCTAGAACTTCCTCATGTTTACCTCACCAGGCCCACCTCCTGCCTTCCAGTAGCGTCTACAAGTTTGGCTCCTGCCTCCCATGGATCTCTCCAGGCCCCAAACTTTCTCAAGTCAACCTCACCAGGCCCGGCTTCTCCCTTTCATCAGCCTTCCAAAGGCCAGCTTTTGCTTCATGTCTGCCTTCCGAGTCCCAGCTCCTGTTTTATGGCAGCCTCCTGAGGCCCAGCTCCTGCCTCCTAGTGGCCTCTTTTGGCCCAACTCTTTCCTCACCAGGGCCTTCCAGACCACGTTCCTGCCTTTTAGCAGCCACTACAGGCCCAGCTTTGCGTCCTTTCAAGAGTCCTGCCTCACAGTGGCCTCCCAAGGGCAACTTTCTGCCTCATGTCAGCCTCTTGTGCCCTGGTCCTGCTTCCTGGTAGACTCTGCAGGCCCTGCTCCTGCCTTACGTTGCCCCTTTTATAAAGATCCAGTTCCTGCCTCCTGGCTGCCTCTATGAGCCCAAATCCTGCCTAACAACAACCTGTTTTTGCCCAGCTCCTGCTTCCTGGCAGCCTCCTTAGGCCAAAAATTTCCTTCAGTTGACCTCTCCAGGCCCAGCTCCTGCCTCTCAGCACCCTCTTTAGGCCCAGCTCCTGCCTTAATAAATTTGAATAAATTATTGTTATGTGATTATTATGTGAAACATTTTTTCTTCAAAAGGTAATGAAAATTGAGGTAAAGTATAAAAGTCTAGCATATAAATTCCTCTATTGTCACCCTTCGTATTAGTCACAGTTCTCTAAAGGAGCAGAACTGTTAGGATAGATGTATATATATAAGGGAGTTTCTTAAGGGGTATTAACTCACAGGATCACAAGGTTCCACAATAGGCTGTCTGCAAGCTGAGGAGCAAGGAAGCCATTCTGAGTCCCAAACCTGAAGAACTTGGAGTCCGATGTTCTAGGGCAGGAACCATCCAGCATGGGAGAAAGATGTAGGCTCGGAGGCTAAGCCAGTCTCACCTCTTTATGTTCCTCTGCCTCATTTTTATTTTTGCCACACTGGCAGCTGATTAGATTGTGCCCACCTAGTTTAAGGGCGGGTCTGCCTTTCCCAGCCCCCTGACTCAAATGTTAATCTCCTTTGGCAACACCCTCACATACACACCCAGGAACAATACTTTGCATCCTTCAGTCCAATAGAGTTGACAGTCAATATTAACCATCACAAGTTCACCCCTTGTCAACTTTAACCCATACACATCTTCTGAAATTATACATAATCTTCAAATAAAGATAATAATAAGGTCATAATTGTGCCTAAGATAATAATAAAAGTATTCTTCATACAACTGGAAATGCACCAATCCTGAACCCAAATGCCCTTATATAAAACTAACACTTAGATGCTTATATGAAGTCAATATAAGTTATTCACACAATAAAGGAAAAAGGAAATGAAATATTCTTAGTACAAGCTTATATATGCACAAACATGTTTTTAACAAAAGGAGGAAATACTCATGACAATTACAGTCCTCGTTTCTGTAGCTGGTCACATGGTCATAGCTGGTATTGATGACTGCCTTTTTCTATTACCCATTCTGTATTCTTTTTGCCTTCAGAAAGCATCTCAGCAGGTTTTTTCCTGGAGTGACCCAAGCCTTCATTCCTGAAGGGTCTGGGCCATTTGTAGTCCTGCCTGGGTTGGGCTGTTATAGTTTCCCATTGACCTTAATCACAGGGCATCTCCTGTATTCCATGCATATTCTTCCTTACCTCCATTGTGGAGTAGTAGACTGATTTCATCTTGATAGTCTGGGTCAATCATCCCAGAAGGTTGTAACTCCCTTCTTAGCCTGTTGATTTAAAAGTGGCAGGACCCCAAAGTGTCCAGGTGGCAATCGTAACTTCCAGTTTAATGGAATCGTTGTGTCTCCTGGTGGCAGCTTTCTTCCCTCTGGATCTAAGACCTCTAGACCAGCAGAATGTAATGTTGTGGGAACAGGTAGCCAAAATTTTCTAGTGGATCACTAGGGGTGATGGTGAGTGATGCCACTTCCACTTCCACCCCTTGATTCCTGGACCTGTGAATCCTGGCTATGGGATAAACAATGCCATATATTGGATGCTGATTCAGAGCAGACATGGCCTTCTGGAGAAATTTGCCCCAGCCCCGCAGAGTATTATCACCTAGTTGGCATTGTAATTGTGACTTCAAAAGGCCATTCCACCATTCTATCAATCCAGCTGCTTCGGGATGGTGGGGAACATGGTGGGATCAGTGAATTCCAAGAGCATGAGCCCACTGTCACACTAGCTGTAAAGTGAGTGCCTTGGTCAGAGGCAATGCTGTGTGGAATACCATGACGGTGGATAAGGCATTCCGTGAATCCACAGATGGTAGTCTTAGCAGAAGCATTGCGTGTAGGATAGGCAAACTCATATCTGGAGTGTCCATTCCAGGGAGGAGAAACCTCTGCCCTTTCCATGATGGAAGAAGTCCAATATAATCAATCTGCCACCATGTAGCTGTGTGATCACCCAAGGAATGATGCCATATCAAGGGCTCAGTGTTGGGCACTGCTGCTGGAAAATGGGGCACTCAGCAGTGGCTGTAGCCAGGTCTGCCTTGGTGAGTGAAAGTCCATGTTGCTGAGAAAGTCTATCCCTGCCACCATGGCCACTTTGTTTATGAGCCCATTGGGCGATGGCAGTGGTGACTGGGGAAAAGGCTGAGTGGTGTCTACAGAATGAGGCACCCTGTCCACTTGATTATTAAAATCCTCCTCCGCTGAGGTCACCCTTTGGTGAGCACTCACATGAGATACAAATATCTTGACTGTTTCTGACCACTCAGAGAGGTCCATCCACATACTTCCCCAAATTTCTTTGTCACCAGTTTTCCAATCATGCTTCTTCCAAGTCCCTGGCCATAGAGCCAAACCATTGGCTACAGCCCATGAGTCAGTATATAATCGCACACCTGGCCATTTCCTTCCATGCAAAGTGCACAACCAGGTGCACTGCTTGAAGTTCTGTCCACTGGAAAGATTTTTCTTCACTGCTGTCCATAAGGGATGTCCCAGAAAGGGGCTGTAGTGCTGCAGCTGTCCATTTTTGGGTGGTGCCTGCATATCGTGCAGAACCACCTGTGAACCAGCCCCTAGTCTTCTCTTCCTCTGTCAACTGATCATAGGGAACTCCCCATGAGGCCATCATTTCAGGCTGGGGAAGAGAAGATAGGGTGGCAGGAGTGGAGACCACGAGCATTTGAGCCACTTCCTCATGTAACTTACTTGTGCCTTCAGGACCAGCTGGAGCCCGATCACATATATACCACCTCCATCTGATGATGGAATGCTGCTGTGCACGACCCACTTTATGGCTAGGTGGGTCAGAAAACACCAGTTCATGACAGGTAGTTCAGGTCTCATGGTGACTTGATGACCCATAGTCAAATGTTCAGTTTCCACCAAAGCCCAGTAATAAGTGAAGAGCTGTCTCTCAAAAGGAGAGTAGTTATATGCAGAAGATGGCAGGGCCTTGCTCCAAAATCCTAGAGGCCTATGGGGGTCTGCCAGAGGCTCCAAACACCATCCCTATCTGCCACTGACACCTCAAGCACCACTGGGTCCGCTGGGTCATATGGCCCAAGTGGCAGAGCAGCTTGCACAGTGGACTGGACCTGTTGCAGAGCCTTCTCCTGTTCTGGACCCCACTTCTGGTACCAAAATGTGTATTAGGGTCCAGGGTCCACTAAAGGGACAGAACTAATAGAATATATATATATATATATGAATTTATTAAGGGGTATTAACTCAATCACAAGGTCCCATCACAGGCCATCTGCAAGCTGAGGAGCAAGGAAGCCAGTTTGAGTTCCAAAGCTGAAGAACTTGGAGTCCGATGTTTGAAGGCAGGAACCATCCAGCACAGGAGAAAGATGTAGGCTCAGAGGCTAAGCCAGTCTAATCTCTTCACGTTCTTCTGCCTACTTTTTATTGTGGCCTCGCTGGCAGCTGATTAGATGGTGCCCACCTGGATTGAGGGTAGGTCTGCGTCTCCCAGTCCACTGACTCAAATGTTAATCTCCTTTGGCAACACCCTCACAGACACACCCAAGAACAATACTTTGCATCCTTCAATCCAATCAAGTTGACACTCAATATTAACCATCACACCCCTCCTCCTTTCCCCAATTCCCACCACAAAAGCATAATAATTTGTCCAAAGAGTCCTACACTTAGTCCTTCTCTGAACAAAATGCCGGGTGGTTGTAGGCTGAGTGTCACTCCTTTATCACGTCTCCTCAGTTTTTTTTTTTATTTTTGAGACAGGGTTTCCCTCTTGCCCAGGCTGGAGTGCAGTGACACAATCCTAGCTCACTCTAGCCTTCAATCCTGGGTTCCAAATGATCCTCCCCCTTCCGCCTCCTGAGTAGCTGGGACTACAGCTACTTAACCACTATGAACCACTTCTGGCTCATTTTTAAATTTTTTATAGATACGGGGTCTCACTAGATTGCTCAGGCTGATGTGGAACTCCTGGCCTCAAGCGATCTGCCCACCACAACCTGGTTCAAGCGATTCTGCCTCTGCCTCCCAAGTAGCTGGGATTACAAGTGCGCACAACCATGCCCAGCTAACTTTTGTATTTTTAGTAGAGATGGGGTTTCACCATGTTAGCCAGGATGGTCTCGATCTCCTGACCTCGGCCTCCCAAAGTGCTGGGATTACAGACATGACAGTGTTTTAATTGCCCATTTTAATTTTCAATTAACCTGAGAGTTTGAGAGTGATAAAGAATGTGATAAGTCCATCGAATATGCTGGTTCTTTGCTCATTGTTGCTCGGCATGGGCTGTGGATTGAGTGTCTTGATCTGGGAAAACGTAACTGAGAGTGCCAAACCAATATGGCTATCAAAGCCAAACAGACCAGGTGTGATCACTCATGCCTGTAATCCCAGCACTTTGGAAAGCTGAGGCAGGAGGATCACTTGAGCCCAGGAATTTGAGACCAGCCTGGGCAACATAGTGAGACCCTATTTCTACAAAAAAATTAAAAAATTAGCTAGGCTTGGTGGCATGCACTGGTAGTGCCAGCTACTCAAGAGGCTGAAGTGGGAGGATCGCCTGAGCCTCTGAAGTTGAGGCTGCAGTAAGCTGTGATTGCACCTCTGTACTCCTGCCTGGGCAACAGGTGATACCCTGCCTGTAAAAACTAAAAATAATTAAAAAATAAAAACAAAGCCAAACTCAGAGTATGCATGCAGACCTGTCGGTGTCCATTTAATTTCTCTTGGAAAAATGGGTAAAGGGCCAGTATCATCTACTTGCCAGCTGTGGGCTGGACTTCCTCCCCAGGAAATACTCCCAGACCTAACTGCAAACATAACCTTTTCTGTTGGTAAACAGAGCAATGTTTAGTAAACATTTGAACTTCTGCAGGGAAAGTACTACATGGTGCTCAGCCCCTCACTTCATGGCACGAGTGCCCCGGGCCCACTCATTTTATGGACCCACATTGCTACTTTATGAGATTGAAGTAGGGCAGGTGCAGTTGCTCAAGCCTGTAATCCCAGTACTTTGGGAAGCTGAAGCAGTAGAATTGCTTGAGGTCAGGAGTTTGAGACCAGCCTGGGCAACATAGGGAGACCCCATCTCTACTAAAAAAAAAAAAATTAGCTGGGTGTGGTGGCACATGCCTGTGGTCCCAGCTACTTGGGAGCCTGAGATGGGAGGATCTACTTGAATTTGGAAGGTTGAAGCTGCAGTGAGCTGTGATGGTGCTACTGCACTCCAGCCTGGGCAACAGAGCAAGACCCTGCCTCAAAAATAAATAAATAAAATGAACTAAGGGGCCAGGTGCAGTGGCTCATGCCTGTAATCCCAGTACTTTGGGAGGCCGAGGCAGGTAGATCGTTTGAGGTAAGGAGTTTGAGACCAGCCTGGCCAACATGATGAAACCTTGTCTCCACTAAAATACAAAAGTTAGCAGGATGTGGTGGTGCATGCCTGCAATCCCAACTATTCAGGAGGCTGAGCCAGGAGAATCACTTGAACCCAGGAGGCGGAGGTTGCAGTGAGCCAAGATCGCTCCACTGCACTCCAGCCTAAGTGACAGAGTGAGACTCCATCTCATAAAAAAATAAACTAGGTATTCACTTGTTGATTCTGGCCACCTTCAGACCCTGGCATAAGGCTTCTTTTGGTGAGCATTGACATGCCCTGCTTTGATTTGCCTTTTATTTTATTTATTTTATATATATTTTCAGAGACGGGGTTTTGTTCTGTTCCCCAGGCTGGAGTGCAGTGGTACGATCATAGCTCACTGCAGCCTCAACCTCCTGGACTCAAGCGATTCTCCTCCCTCAGCTCCCCAAGTACCTGGGACCACAGGCGTGTGCGACTATACCTGGCTAATTTTTTTTTTTTTATTTTGTAGAGATGGAGTCCTGCTATGTTGCCCAGGCTTGTCTCCAACTCCTGGCCTCAAGCAGTCCTCCCATCTTGGTCTCTCAGAGTGCTGAGACTATAGGCATGAGCCACTGCACCTGGTCTCACTTGCCTTTTAAATTCCCATGGAGGTTTCCCAAGGGCAGTAGTCCACAAGGGGATGCATTGTATTCTCCAGTAACGTAAGAACCCACTTAAGCCACATTGCAAGTCCACTGACAAGTGTCAATCTGCAGCCAACCAATGGGTCCTTTATCTGTGTCCAGTTCATCAATTACTGCGCTGAATATAGCCCCTGGGTCAGCTTGTGTTTGCCAATCTCCTGGACTCAGGTAGCAGCTCTCCATGTTGATCTATGGCCTGTGATTCTGAAACTGTAATCTGTGGGCCAGCCAGTTGCCTGGAATCCTCTGGCAATTGGTTGAACAGAGGGGTACATATGGCAATAGTAGCAGGCAGGTCCCTGGACATCTCTAGAGTAAGTCCTAGGAGGAGAGGCTATTTGTTCCTGAATATATTTATTTTTTAAAAAATTTTTAATATATATTTTTTGAGACAGAGTCGCACTCTGTCACCTCAGCTCGAGTGCAGTGGCATGATCTTGGCTCACTGCAACCTCTGCCTCCTGGGTTCAAGTGATTCTCATGCCTCAGTCTTCTGAGTAGCTGGGATTACAGGCGTGTACCACCATGCTCACCTAACTTCTGTATTTTGTTAGAGATAGGGTTCCACCATGTTGGCCAGGCTGGTCTTAAACTCCTGACCTCAGGTGATCTTCCCGCTTTGGCCTCCCAAAGTGCTGGGATTACAGGCATGAGCCACAATACATGGCCGATGTTTGTTTGTTTATCCATTTATTTGAGACCGGCTCTGTCACCCAGGTTGGAGTGCAGTGGCATGATCTCGGCTCACTGCAACCATCGTCTCCTGGGTTCAAGCGATTATCTTGCCTCAGCCTCCCAAGTAGCTGAGATTACAGGTGCATGCCACCACACCTGGCTAATTTTTTGTATTTTTAGTAGAGACAGGGTTTCACCATGTTGGCCAGGCTGGTTTCGAACTCCTGACCTCAAGTTATCTGCCTGCCTTGGCCTCCCAAAGTGCTGGGATTACAGGCATGAGCCGCTGCACCTCGCCAATGTTTATTTATTTATTTTTTAGAGACAGGGCCTCCCTCTGTTGCCCAGGCTGGAGTGCAATGAGGCAGTCATGGCTCACTGCAGCCTCAACCTCCTGCTTGCCTCAAGTGGGATCCTCCTGCCTCAGCCTCCTGAGTAGCTAGGACCACAGACATGTGCTACCACGCCTGGCTAAGTTTTTTTATTTCCTTAATTCTCTTATTTTCTTCAAGATGGGGTCCCGCTCTGTTGCCCAGGCTTGTCTCAAACTCCTAGCCTCAAACGATCCTCTCATCTCAGCCTCCCAAGTTGTTGGGACTACAGGCATGAGTCATCATGCCTAGCAAGCAGCTATAGGCTTTTGCTAGAGAATCAGCTGCCATGAGTGTGGGTGGCCAACACTTCTCATGTTATTTTAGTGGTGGGATCATATTCTAATAGAATACGTTGGGCTACAATTTTCTGCAGACCTAAGAAGCTGTTCCAGCCAATCAAAGATGATCCCTTTTCTGGATGATTTTATATACTGAGGCCGAGTAAGGAATATGAGTCTCCAAAAGCCACATAGGCCCACTAGGCATTTAGCTTCTTGTTTACTCTGAGGGGTGGGGAGAGACATTGTATTCCAAGTTGTCTGCATGTGGTAGGTCATAGGTCACTGAAAGCCATGTAATTCTTCCCGAATTGCAGTCTGTGTGGGTCTTGGATTTTTGCAGTTCATTAACCATCCCTAATCTGATTATGAGCTTAATAAAGTTGTTTTAGGCTGAGTGAGGTGACTCACGCTTGTAATCCCAGCACTTTGGGAGGCTGAGGCGAGAAGATCGCTTGAGCCCAGGAATTTGACACCAGCCTGGGCAACATAGTGAGACTCCATCTCTAAATAAATAAATAAATAAATAAATATGATTGCTTTTAGCTTAACCCATAATCTCCCAGAAAATCATATCATCAATATAGCATACTAGAATAATGTCCAGTTATATTAGCTCTATGTCTCACCTTACCAGCTTGTGACAGTATGCAAGAGAGTTCAAATATCTTTCAAGAGCACATGTATATTGTAGACTATCGCACATAAATGCAAATTATTATTGGCTGTCTAGCAACTGACATGGAGCAAAATTGACTAGCCAGATCAGCTGTGGAATACCAGTCACTTCACTTTCAGTTTGCTGTGTAAGTTGCATAGTCTGCACCATATTCCGGGCCTCTGAGGCTACTTGGGGTTGCTGTTTGGTTGAATCCCCTGTAGTCTACCATGAGTCTCTATGATCTGTCAGCCTCTCACACTGGCCACACCAGGGTGTCATACAGTGAGTTTGTGCATACTATTTGTATATACATTTTATTCGTAATATACCTGCATTAATATTTCATTAATGAGACCCGGCAGAATGGCTCCCGCAAAGAAGGGTGGTGAGAAGAAAAAGGGCCATTCTGCCATCAACGAGGTGGTGACCCGAGAATACACCATCAACATTCACAAGCGCATCCATGAAGTGGGCTTCAAGAAGCGTGCCCCTCGGGCACTCAAAGAAATTCAGAAATATGCCATGAAGGAGATGGGAACTCTAGACATGCACATTGATACCAGGCTCAACAAAGCTGTCTGGGCCAAAGGAATATCCCATACCATGTCTGTGTGTGGTTGTCCAGAAAATAGAATGAGGCTGAAGATTCACCAAATAAGCTCTATACTTTGGTTACCTATGTACCTGTTACTACTTTCAAAAATCTACAATGTGGATGAGAACTAATCGCTGATTGTCAAATACATCATATAAAGTTATAAAATTGTCAAAAAAAAATTCCTTAATTAGGAAACAATTTCTTGTTGCTCTTCAGGTCTTTTTTTTTTTTTTTTTTTTTTTTTTTAAGAGACAGGGTCCCACTCTGTCACTCAGGCTGGAGTGCAGTGGTGCGGTCATGGTTCACTGCAGTCTCAACCTCCCTGGGCTCAGGCAAGTCCTCCCTTTCAGTTCTTTTTTTTTTTTTTTTTTTTGAGACAGAGTCTCACTCTGTCACCCCGGCTGGAGTACAATGTCACAATCTCGGCTCACTGCAACCTCCACCTCCCAGGTTCAAGCAATTCTCCTGCCTCAGCCTCCTGAGTAGCTGGGATTACAGGCATGCACCACCATGCCTGGCTAAGTTTTGTATTTTTAATAGACACGGGGTTTCACCATGTTGGTCAGGCTGGTCTCAGACTCCTGACCTCGTGATCTGCCTGCCTCAGCCTCCCAAAGTGCTGGCATTACAGCCATGAGCCACCGCGCCCAGCCTCACTTCAGCTCTTTAAGTAGCTGGGATTACAGGCGCCTGCCACCACACCCGGCTAATTTTTGTATTTTTTGTAGAGATGGGGTTTTGCCATGTTACCCAGGCTGGTCTTGAACTCCTGGCCTCAAGTGACCCTCCTCGGCCTCCCAAAGCGCGGGATTACATGCGTGAACCACTGTGCCTGGCCCAGGTCTCTGATACAGTTTCAGACGTACTATGTGAATTGGCTTGGGTAATGGTAAAGGCTCTCATTTTTGCATGTCCAATTGGAGAAAGATGTACATGTCATTCCTTATTTCATTTTACTCAGCAGGGAAAGAAGTTTCCATTCAGACATTATTATCCATACCCTTATTAGCATTCAGGTAAAGGAGACACTGTCACAATATACATTATACATTTTTTAAAAATGACACATTCCAACTTTGAACCAGACTTTACCTTTGATCCCTATCACAGTGGCTTCCCCATACAGCCCTGAATCAATTCTGCGGCCCTTAAGCTCATTAGTAGGCCTAGGCAATACTCTCCACTGTGTTCCTGTCAAGGTAAACTTGAAAGAGTTTCTTCTCAATCTTGACCATTTCCCACACATGTTTGTGAAAGGCCTCAGGAACCCCACTGGGAGCTGGATCACGAGGTTCAGTCCTTCTTGTCGATCTTCTTTCACTATTACCACATTGATTCTTTTTTTGATAAGGAATGTCACTTACTTTTTTATTTTATTATTATTATTATTATTATTATTATTATTATTATTATTATTATTATTATTTTAGATGGCGTTTCACTCTATCACCCAGGCTGGAGTGCAGTGGCCTGATCTCGGCTCACTGCAACCTCCACCTCCTGGGTTCAAGCGATTCTCCTGCCTTAGCCTCCCAAGTAGCTGGGATTACAGGCGCCCGCCGCCATGTCTGGCTCATTTTTGAATTTGTAGTAGAGATAGGGTTTCACCATGTTGGCCAGGCTGGTCTCGAACTCTTGACCTCAAGTGATCCTCCGGCCTCAGCTTCCCAAATTGCTGAGATTACAGGCATGAGCCACCATGCTCTGCCTAATTTTTTAATTTTGAAACCATCTCAATGTTAAATAAAAATTTGCAAGTATGGAACAAGGGACTACTGACTTAATAGTAAAAGTGGGGGATGGATGCGATGGCTCACACCTGTAATCCTAGCACTTTGGGAGGCTGAGGTGGGAGGATTGCTTGAGCCTGGGAGTTTGAGACCAGCCTGGGCAATGGACAGTTTCTACAAAGCATAAAATAAAGAGATTAGCTGGAAGTGGTAGCACGCATCTGTAGTCCCAGCTACTTGGGAGGCTGAGACAGGAGGATTGCTTGAACCCGACAGGTTGAGGCTGCACTGAGCTATGATTGTGCCACTGCACTCCAACCTGGGCAACAGAACAAGACCCTGTCTCAAAATGAATAAATAAAAAAACCCAAACAAACATGGGTATTTTGGCATTCAATGCTGTAGGTTCATTGGAAGAATTTTCTTTCTGAAACTTCTCTAAGCCTCAGAACTGTATATGCTAAGGAGTTTGAGGAGACTTCACGGTGGGAACCCCAGATTCCTAGAAAATTATCTCAAAGTTTTGTAGGCTCTTTGTCAATTTCCTTCTTTTTCATGCCATTTAAAAATTAACTGTCTAAGGATTTCCACATGATTAGAGCCTATATTTTTATCCCTTTTCTTGTTTTGGTTTTATTTCTTTTGTAAAGCCTTAACCTTAAAAAAAAGTTTGTTTAGATCTAATTAACATACATACAATTAACTCAATTAAAAGTGTACACTTCAGTGGTTTTTAGTTTAATCACAGAATTGTGCAACCATCATCATAATTTTTTTTTTCTTGAGACAGAGTCTTGCTCTGTCGCCCAGGCTGGAGTGCAATGGCACGATCTTGGCTCACTGCAATATCCGCCTCCCAGGTTCAAGTGATTCTCGTGCCTCAGTCTCTCGAGTAACTGGGATTACAGGCAGGCACCACAACGCCTGGCTATTTTTTGTATTTTTAACACAGATGGAGTTTCACCATGTTGGCCAGGCTGGTGTCAAATTCCTGACCTCAAGTGATCCACCAGCCTCAGCCTCGCAAAGTAGTGGGATTACAGGCATGAGCCACTGCGCACTGCCTGTTTTTGAATATTTTCATCACTCCCAAAAGAAACTCCCTGGCTATTACCACCTCCCAATTGCCTCTTACCCACCCTAGGCAACCCAACCACCAATCTGCTTTCTGTTCCATAAATGTGTCTATTCTGGACATTTCATAGACACGCAATCATCCAATACAGGGCCTTTTGTGACTGGCTTCTTTCACTTGGCATAATGTGTTCAACATTCATCTATGCTGTAGTATGCATTATTTCTTCATTCCTTTTCATGGCTGAATACCATTCTGCTTGTGAATTTGCTACATTTTGTTTTTCCATTAATCAGTTGATGAACATTTGAGTTGCTTCCACTTTTTGGCTATTATGATGCTGCTATAAACACTCCTGTACAACTTTTTGTTTGGAATTTTTGTTTGCAATTCTCTTGGATCTCCAGGAGTGGAATTGTGAGGTCAAATGGTAACTTTTATTTTTTTTGGCGACAAGGTCTGGCTCTGTCGCCCAGGCTGAAGTGCAGTGGCGTGATCTCAGCTCACTGCAACCTCTGCTTCCTGGGTTCAAGCCACTCATCTCAGCCTCCCAAGTAGCTGGGATTACAGGCACCGGCCACCAAACCCGGTTAATTTTTTGTATTTTTAGTAGAGACGGGGTTTCGCCATGTTGGCAAGGCTGGTCTCAAACTCCTGACCTCAAGTGATCCACCCACCTTGGGCTCCCAAAGTGCTGGGATTAAAGGCGTGAGCCACCACATGTGGCCAGTAACTTTTTATTTTTTTAAATAAAGCCATATGTCTTAGAACTTGTTCATTTATTTATGAGATGGGGTTTGCTATGTTTTCCAGAATGGTTTTTTTTTTTTTTTTTTTTAGACAGTCTCACTCTGTTGCCCAGGCTGGAGGGCAGTGGCGCAATCTCAGCTCACTGCAACCTCTGCCTCCCAGGTTCAAGTGATTCTCCTGCCTCAGCCTCCTGAGTAGCTGGGATTACAGGTGCCCACCACCATGCCCAGCTAATTTTTTTATTTTTATTTTTTAGTAGAGACAGGGTTTTACCATGTTGGCCAGGCTGGTCTTGAACTCCTGGGCTCAAGCGATCCTCCTGCCTCAGCCTCCCACTGTTGGGACTACAGGCGTGAGCCAACACACCTGGCTTCAAATGATAACTCTATGTTAAACTTTTTGAGAAATTGCCAGATTGTTGTTTAAAAGTGGCTGCACCATGTAATCTTTTTTTAAAAAAAGAATTTTACAATCCAGCTGGACATGGTAGCTCACACGTATAATCCCAGCTCTTTGGGAAGCTGAGTAAGGAGGATTGCTTAAGGCCAGAAGCTCAAAACCAGCTTGGGCAACACAGTGAGACCTTGTCTCTATTTAAAAAGGTTTCTTTTTTTTTTTTTTTTTTTTTACTGGACTCGGGCTCACACCTGTAATCCCAACAGTTTGGGAGGCCAAGGTGGGCAGATCACTTGAGGCCAGGAGTTCGTGACCAGCCTGACCAACATGGCAAAACACCTTCTCTACTAAAAATACAAAAATTAGCGGGGCGTGGTGGCATGCGCCTGTAATCCCAGCTACTCAGGAGGCTGAGGCAGGAGAATCGCTTGAACCCAGGAGGCAGAGGTTGCAGTGAGCCAAGATCGTGCCACTGCACTCCAGCCTGGGCGACAGAGCGAGACTCCATCTCAAAACAAAAACAAAAATTTTTTTTGAAATCCCATACAAGGCAGCTAGGATGAAAGGTTTGAGGTTGCCTTTTTTACATTCTCCTACGGTCTCAATCACTAAGTCATATATGGTGCCATTGGTGGTGGGGCTCCTTTAATTACATTATCAGTCCTAGCCTGGTAAGGGACATCTCATTAGGAAGTTTGGTTCCATCATTATATACACAATTCAATACTGCCTGCACTTGCAGATAATGTCACACCCATTACAACAAGGAAGATAATTCAAATGGTGCAAGATAACAAAAGAGGGCAAGAATCATGGAAATAAGAGGGTATTCAGTGAAGGAACTGAGCCATTGTGTTGAACATTACAGGCTTCACCTGATAAACTTTTGTTAAAGATGGCTGGGTGTGGTGGCTCATGCCTGTAATCCCAGCACTTTGGGAGGTGGAAGTGAGCGGATCACTTGAGCCCAGGAGTTTGAGACCAGCCTGAGCAATTTGGGGGAAACCCCATTTCTGTGAAAAATATGAAAATTAGCTGGGCACGATGGTGCACATCTGTGGTCCCAGCTACTCAGGAGGCTGAGACAGGAGGATCACTTCAGCTTGGGAGGCCGAGTCTGCAGTGAGCCATGATCATGCGACTGCACTCCAGCTTGGGTGACAGAGCAAGACCTTGTCTCAAAAGCAAGAACAACAAAACTTTATTACCTTTAAAGCACCCTGTACTCCTCCCCCATCCCATTCCCCTAACACTTAACATGAAGTTTATACATCTTTTTCTCATGCTTCATGTCAGTTCAAACAATTATGTATGCATCTCTAAACAATATGTTATGAACTTGCCTGTTTTGAATTTTACATAATGGAAATATGTAGCAGTGTACCATTTTGTGATTTGGTCCCTGCCAATATAGTCTGCAATTGACTACCATAATTGTGTGAGCTGTATTAAATAATTTTCACTGGTCTTTTGTACCCGATTAAACACGAAGATGGGCCAGGCGTGGCAGCTCACACCTGTAATCCCAGATCCTCCCGAGGTGGGAGGATCACTTGGGTCCAGTAGTTCGAGACCAGCTTGAGTAACATAGGGAGACCCTGTCTCTACAAAAACAAACCAAACCATGAATATATCAAAGTTGGTTTTTACATTTGACTGTATGGACATCTGCTTTTTCTCCCCAATTTTTAGTGAGTCATACTGCTGCTAAAAACATTGGTGTTGCTATGAGCATTATTTTGTCTACTTGTGCATAGGTGCAACTGTTTCTCCAGGGTAATATATTCTCAAGAGAGGATGTGTATATCTTTAAGTGTACTGCATAATGCCAAATTACTTTGCAAAGTGATTGTACAAAATTATACTTTAAAAATTTTCATTTTCATTTTATTTTATTTATAAATAGAGTCAGAGACTCCCTATGTTACCCAGGCTGGTCTGGAACTCCAGGACTCAAGCGATCCTCCTGCCTTGGCCTCCCAAAGTGCTGAGATTACAGGCCTGAGCCACCGCGCCTGGTCCAAAATTACATGTTTATCAGCAGTGATTAATATACAAGCACATCAACAGACACACGCATAGCACACACATGAGCATGCACACGTGTGCGCACTCCCTACACATCTACGCATGCACACACCCATACCATCACACACCACACACGCGCACACAGATGCACATACATGCACTCACTGCACACACCGTTGTACACGATGCACACTACAAGCCACATACACGCACTACGCACACACGCACACGCACAACACCAGACCGGCACACAGACCCATAAACGTCCATCACGCACTCCACGCACGTCCGCATGCACGCTACCCGTCCCGGAAGCGTGGTCTCCGCCGCCTGCCTCTGACGAAGCTTGTCCCGGCCGCGCCACCGTCGGACGCCCGGGGTCGGAGGTCACGGCGGCGTTGGAGGTGGCGTGGTTTTTTTTTTTTTTTTCACCCGGAAACCGCGGTTGCCGGAGCCCGAACTGAGGCGGCGGCGGGAGCCCGGTTGGCGTCTGGTCTTCGCGTCGGCCCCGCGGAGCCAGACGCTGCCCCCGGCGCGGGGAGAAGATGGTGCCTAGCGGCCTCGGGCCCGCCACGCGCCGCCACGAGTGAGCCCAGCGCGACCGCGGGCGTCCGCCGAGCAGCTGGCCCGGCTGGGCCCGGGGCGCGCAGCTGCCCGCCGGGGCGGGGTGAGCCGGGGCTGGAGGGCGGGCTGGGGTCGGGCCCAGTCGGGGCTGCCCGCGGGGCCGGGAGCGGGGAGCGTGCTGGTCGGGAGCGGCTCCTCCGCCGGCTTTTTTCACCGCTTCTCAGGGTGCAGACCCCGCCCCAACTGCTGGCGGGGGTCGCCCAGCATCGGCCGACCTCGGCCTGGTCCCCCCACACTGGGGTTTGCCCACTCGCGTCCCCCGAGCCAGGGTTCCCTGCCGGCCTTGGAGATGGCGGGACTTCCCACGTCTGGAGCCGAGGCCTGGATAATTCGGATTTGGCACGGGAAACATCTTGGTCGTTTGCCATTTTTCGGCTTTGGGGAGTGTTTGCGTTTCTTCTCCGTTTGGCAGTGAAACACATCTCAGAAAGGTGGGAGGGAGAGACTCACGTACGTCCACAAAGTTAAATGGCATAGTGGTGTTCCCTGTGTCAAGCTTGGTAAATATCCGGAATGGGGTGGATTCTTTCTTCATGTTTTTAATAAAATGAGGAGTGATCGCAAGGTAATCTAGAGGCATGTAGTTTCAGTTCCCTTGATGGGGACCATCAGAAATAAAACCAGGCTTGTTGTGCTGTTTTGAGTCGTTTGAACGCCGTACCCATCGGACAGCTGGTGAGGAGGCCTTTGTGGAAGAATCTGATGTCTGAGTTTAGTTCTCAACTAGCAGGTGACAGCCCTCACTGGCTGATGAATGGTGAGCTTCTCTGAAGCCTGCTTTGTAAAGATTGTGGCTTCCGCCTGAACTGCTTCTTTCCTGCCTCAAAGGTGAGCCGCTACGGGAGGGAATGGGAAGAAAAACTCCGAGACTGCTGATGAATATGTGATAAAGTGGTTTGTCTCGATAGCACCATCAGCTTGGGTCAGCTTAGGGTCTCAGCATGTGTATCTCATTTGTAGATGAGTGTTCCATCAGCGCTTGACCGATAAGGGTGTCCATCTACTTCCTCTTTTCATCTAGGGATTCTGACAGGAAATAGACCTGTCGCGCACCTAAGGTATACTTAGGTGTGCATTGACCCTAAGTGCATTTACTCTCTAGGATTAAGGATTTGGAGTTTCAACTTGTAGTGAAGATTCTGGGAGAATTCCTGTGGCCTGAATCAGGTGGACTGGAATCACTGCTAGCACCGGAGTCTCAATGCTAAAATCACCAAAGGCTAGTTAACTGGCACCTTCTCCGTTTAGGCTCTAGCTGCATCTGTGGCAAGGAGGAAAGGTAGATTATATATATATATGTTTTTGAGACAGAGTCTCACTCTTGTCGCCCAGGCTGGAGTGCAGTGGTGCGATCTCTGCTCACTGCAACCTCTGCCTCCCAGGTCCAAGCAATCCTCCTGCCTCAGCCTCCCTAGTAGCTGGGATTACAGGTGCCCGCCACCATGCCCAGCTAATTTTTGTATTTTTAGTAGAGACAAGGTTTCACCATGTTGGCCAGGCTGGTCTTGAACTCCTGACCTCAGGTGATCCATCCTCCTCGGCCTCCCAAAGTTCTGGAATTATAGGCGTGAACCACCCGCACCTGGCATAAGTGCGAATATATTAATAGTTTCTGCCTGTAAGGAATGTACTTAGAGGAAGCAATAGGCTAGAAAATGTGGCAGGACTGAATTGCCATAGTGGTATACCAACTGTTCAGGATTTTGTTATGGTTAGGATCAGAAACTAACTTTTTTTTTTTTCTTGAGGCGGAGTCTTGCTCTGTTGCCTAGGCTGGAGTGCAGTGGCGCGAAGTTAGCTCACTGCAACCTCTGCCTCTCAGGTTCAAGCGATTTTTCTGCCTCAGCTGCCTGAGTAGCTGGGATTACAGTTGCCTGCCACCACGCCTGGCTAATTTTTGTATTTTTGGTAGAGACGAGGTTTCATGTTGTTGGCCAGGCCTTGAACTCCTGACCTCAGGTGATCTGCCCACCTTGGCCTCCCAAAGTGCTGGAAGTATAGGTGTGAGCCACCTTGCTCAGCCCGAAACTCGTGAAGTAAACTTTGAGGTGGACCTAGAAAGATCAAGAGGATTTGGGCCATTCAGAATTAGCTGGGAAATGAAAAAACTAGGGCCAGTTGGTGGACAAGCACCCAGGCTAGGTAGCTGGACAATCAGTGCCTAGAAATATTGGCAGAGGCAGCTAGTTAAGGGTTAAATGCTTTTCTAAGAAAGATAAGCATAAGCTACCCAGTCTAGTTTCTCGTAGATTTCTGGGTTTTTTTGTTTTTGTTTTCTTTGAGATGGAGTCTTGCTCTGTTGCCCAGGTTGGAGTGCAGTGACGCAGTCGGCAACCTCTGCCTTCTGGGTTCAAGCGATTCCTCAGCCTCCTGAGTAGCTGGGACTACAGGTGCATGCCGCCACACCCAGCTAATTTGTGTATTTTTAATGGAGACAGGGTTTCACCATGTTGGCCAGGCTGGTCTCAAACCCTTGACGTCAAGTGATCCGCCTGCCTCAGCCTCCCAATGTGCTGGGATTACAGGCGTGAGCCACCAGGCCTGGCCTTTGGTTTCTAAAGAATTGTTTTCATTTAATGAGTTTGTCTTGTTCTGTAAGAGGCCGTTGGCATAAAACAATGCTTAACTTATTTTATTAAGGACAATGAAAAAGATGCTGATTGTCATTCCTGTCTGGTATTGACAATCAGGAAATTAAATTTGATGTCTGTGAGTTGTTTCAGTGCCTGTGTTCAGTTTGCAGGAGCACAGCTCTAGTCTGGTCTCTGCAGCTCTGGCTACAGCCAAAGGATAAATGGCAAGCCCTTCAGTCCTCTCCAGAGGGTTTTTAGTGAAATCTGGTCCATGTCACAGAGATGGTGTGTTTCCCTTGCCCAGTACTGAAGAACCTTTGAAGCCATTCACACAGGATGCCATGTAATTGCTCTAGATGATATGACTGATCTCAGGACCTCACTGGCCTCAGCCTTAGCCCTTATTTTATTTTATTTTATATATATTTTTTGAGACAGAGTCTTGCTCTGTCGTCCAGGCTAGAGTACAGTGGCGCGATCTCAGCTCACTGCAACCTCCGCCTTCCGGGTTCAAGCGATTCTCCTGCCTCAGCCTCTTGAGTAGCTGGGATTACAGATGCCCGCCACCATGCCTGGCTAATTTTTCTATTTTTAGTAGAGACAGGGTTTCATCATGTTGGTCAGGCTGGTCTCAAACTCCTGACCTCAGGTGGTCCGCCCACTGCGGCCTCCCAAAGTGCTGGGATTACAGGCATGAGCCACCACACCTGGCCTTATTTTTATTTATTTATTTATTTGAGATGGAGTCTCACCTTGTTGTCTGGGCTGGAGTGTAGTGGCATGACCTCGGTCACTGCAACCTTCGCCGCCCAGTTTCAAACGATTCTTCTGGCTCAGCCTCCCGTGTAGCTGGGACTACAGGCACGCACCACCACGCCTGGCTAATTTTTTTGTATTTTAGTAGAGATGGGGTTTCGCCATGTTGGTCAGGCTGGTTTTGAACTCCTGACCTCGTGATCCGCCCGCCTTGGCCTCTCAAAGTGCTGGGATTACAGGCGTGAGCCACCAGCCCCGGCCCTATTTTTTAATTAAAAAAAATAATTATTACGGGACAGAGTTTTGCTCTGTTGTCCTGGCTGGAGTGCTGTGGGTGATCATGGCTCACTGCACCCTCCTCCTCCTGGGCTCAAGTCATACTCCTGCCTCAGTCTCCTGAGTGGCTGGGAGCACAGATGTACACCACCACACCTGGCTAATTTTTTGATTTTTTGTAGAGGCAAGGTCTCACTCTGTTGCTCAGGCTGGTCTCAAACTCCTGGGCACAAGTGATCCTCCCATCTTGGCCTCCCAAAATGCTAGCATTAAAGGTGTGAGCCACCCAAAAATAACTGTATTAACTATATTTACCACACTGTGCAATATAACTCAAAAAAGAAAAAATATATTCCTTTTCTCTAACGGACTTTGTACCCTTTGACCATCATCTCCCTGTTCCCCACCCCCTGCTTCTGTAACCATAGTTCTGCTCTCTGCTGCAATGAGTTCCATTGTCTTCTAGATTCCACATATAAGTGGAATCCTATATTGTGCTTCTATGCCTGGCTTATTTCTCTTAGTATAACGTTCATCGCTTCTGTCCATGTTGTGGCAAATAGTGCTGCAGTGAACAGACATCTCTTTGACAATCTGATTTCAATTTGGGGTAGTATATATTCAGCAGTGGGATTGCTGGATCATGAAATAATTCTATTTGTAGTTTTTTCTTTTTTTTTTTTTTGGAGACAGAGTCTCGCTCTGTTGCCTGGATTCAAGCGATTCTCCTGCCTCAGCCTCCCGAGTAGCTGAGATTACAGGTGCACGCCACCACGCCACGCTAATTTTTTGTATTTTTAGTAGAGACAGGGTTTCACCATGTTGGTCAGGCTGGTCTTGAACTCCTGACCTCATAATCCACCCGCCTCAGCCTCCCAAAGTGCTGGGATTACAGACGTGAGCCACCACGCCCGGCCTATTTTTAGTTTTTAAAGGAATTTCTGTGCTGTTTTCCATCTTGGCTGTACTAATTTACATTCCCACAGTGCATGACGGCTCCCTTAGCTCCACATTCTCACCAGCATTTGTTTTTCTTTGATAAAAGTCATCCTGACAGGCGCGAGATGATATCTCATTGTGATTTTAATTTGCACTTCTCTAGTGATTGTGATATGTTGGCCAACTATATCTGTTGGCCATTTGTCGGTCTCTTGAGAAACATCTGTTCGTGTCCCTTGCCCATTTTTTAATCCCTAGGGATTTGGAGAAGCTACTTGCAAACCATACGTCTGAAAAGGGGTTAATATCCAAAATATATACAAAGCTCAAACAACTCAGTAGCAAGAAAACAAAAAATCCAATTGAAAAATGGGCAGCCAGGCACCGTGGCTTACGCCTGTAATGCCAGCACTTTGGGAGGCCAAGGCTGGTGGATTGCTTGAGGTCAGGAGTTCGAGACTAACCTGGCCAACATGGTGAAACCCTGTCTCTACTAAAAGTACAAGAATTAGCTGGGCGTGGTGGCACATGGTTGTAAGCATGCTTACAAGCTACTTCAGCTACTCAGGAGGCTGAAGCAGGAGAATCACTTGAACCTGGGATGTGGAGGTTGTGGTGAGCCGGGTTCGCACCACTGCAGTCCAGCCTGGGTGACAGAGCAAGACTCCATCTGAAACAAAAAAAAAAAAAAAGAAAAGAAAGAAAAATGGACAAAGAACCTTGGCCTTTCTTTAAAATGAAAAAACAGAAAGGAGGAAAGATAGAGGTTTTAGCAAATTGAATTTTCATTTAGATTGATTTCGAACATGGAAATCCTTAAGTTAACTTTCTCATGTACGAATCAAATACATTTGACAAGAGGTCTGTAGTGTTTTTTCTGCGTGTGATTACATACCTGAGTGTGATCCTGGGGAGTACATGACACAGCCTTCGAAACACTGCCGTTTGGACTTTTGTGTTGTTTGGTTACAAGTGCTGTTTTTCAAACATGTCCCAGTCTTACACACTGAGTTTGGTTACAGAAAGGTTTCATACTGAACTATTAGCTTTTGTTTGATCTTGGCATCCCTCATGACTTGTTTTCTTAAAAATTAAGCCCCAGATTATTAAATTTTAATATGGGAGTACTTTTAATTTTGGTGTTTAAGATGGTTGGCAATTATTTAAAAAACTAAAGAACAAAGATAAATTATTTTCCATCTTGAGACTGTAGTGAATTTTTTTAAGAAGCGGGGGGGTTGAACGTTACCATGGTTTTATATCATGATTTTGAAAATGGAACGATGCATTCATTAACAACCGTAAGTGAGGAGAAATAAACGGGAAGTCTGAGTTTTAGAAGTAAGTCTGGTTCCAGACATGTAATTATGTCAGCCTACATTCCTTTCCTTTTGTCTTTATGAGACTACTGATGTTGCCTAAACTACACGTTTAGCAACTAAAACTATGCTTTCTCTTGTAATTTCTTATTTGATCTTTTTTTTTTTTTTGAGACAAGGTTTCTCCCTGTCACCGAGGCTGGAGTGCAGTGGTGTGACCATAGCCGTGGCTCACAGTAGCCTTGAACTCTTGGACTCAACTGATCCTCCTGCCTTGCCCTCCCAATTAGCTGGGACTATAGGTGAAACCATGCCCAGCTAATTTTTTTTAATTTGGGTTTTGTTTTTTTTTTTTTT
The DNA here is from genome assembly GCF_000001405.40 of Homo sapiens. NCBI lineage: Eukaryota > Metazoa > Chordata > Mammalia > Primates > Hominidae > Homo > Homo sapiens. The sequence continues at coordinate 66,927,639 of NC_000007.14, forward strand.
TAGGGACGGGGTCTCACTGTGTTGTCCAGGCTGGTCTCGAACTCCTGTGCTCAAGTGATCCTCTGACCTTGGCCTCCCAAAGTGTTGGGATTACAGGCATGAAACACCATGCCCAGTCTCTCTTTGGTTCCTTTTAAACGTGAGTTATTGTGAAAGTCTGTTCTACACTGTGAATTGTATCACATTAAGAAACAAGACACTATTGGCAGAAGACTGTGCCAGTCTTTGCTTCATACTCTTAACTGATGAATGAGTGCTGAGATGGGAGGAATCCTGCTAAAGAAATGGAAAATAGGCTGAGCACGGTAGCTCACACCTGTAATCCCAGCACTTTGGGAAGCCAAGGCAGGTGGATCACCTGAGGTCAGGAATTCAAGACCAGCCTGACCAGCTTGGTGAAACCCTGTCTCTACTAAAAATACAAAAATTAGCTAGGCCTGCTGGTGGGCGCCTGTAATCCCATTTAGTCAGGAGTCTGAAGCAGGAGAATCACTCGAACCCAGGAAGCAGAGGTTGCAGTGAGCTGAGATTGTGCCATTGCACTCCAGCCTGGGTGATGAGAGTGAAACTCAGTCTTGAAAAAAAAAGAAACTAAGTTAAACATTTTAAACTTCAAAAAAGTTGATCTCTTACTTGTGTCTTTGTTAAAATCAGTGACTAAAATGCACTTTGTATATCTATGGCATGTGAGTTGTTTTTTTTTTTCACTTTGGCATTTGACTTGAAACTGTCTTATCAACCTTGGCATTGTGATTGATAGCATGGCTTTTGGGGTCAGATGAATTAAGTCAGAATCCATTTCTGCCATTTATTTGCAGCATGACCTAGTACAAATTACTTAAGCTCATTTGCTTCAGTTTTCTCATCTGTAAAGTGGGAATAGTAGTATCTATCTAGCAGTGTTGCAAGGATTAAAAAATATGTTAAGCGCTTGGCACGGTGCCTGGGAATGGCATGTTCTAAGTGGTAGCTGTTAAGAATGCTCTCTTCTCACTCCTTCGTCCTTGTCACCTGGTTTTTGCCTCTATCACCCTAGTGAAAGGGGTTTTGCTTACATCACTATTGATGTCTCGATTGCAAAATTATATGGATGCTTTTCTGCCTTTTCTCATTTGATGGGATTGACTCTTAAAAAAATTTTTTTTTTCCTTTTTATTTTCATTTTTTGAGATAGGGTTTAACTCTGTCTCCCAGGCTAGAGTGCAGTGGTGCCATCACAGCTCACTGTAGCCTCAAACTCCTGGGTTCCGGTGATCCCTCCACCTCAGCCTCCCAAGTAGCTGGGACTACAGGTGTGCACCACCACACCCAGCTAAATTTTGTATTCTTTGTAGACACAGGGTCTTCTTGTGTTTTCCAGGCTGGTCTCGAATTCCTGGGCTCAAGTGATCGGCTGGCCTCAGCCTCCCAGAGTGCTAGAATTATGGGCAGGAGCCATTGTGCCCTGCCAGATTGACTTCTTTATGCAAACCTATATCATTTATTGGACCGAAGTAGAACTTAATGGTTAATGCATGGGCTCTGGAGGCCAACTGGATTTGAATCCAGGTTCACTTCCCGTGTGATCATGGGCACATTAGCTGACTTCTATATGCCTTAATTTCCGTATCTGTAAAATAGAGATGTTTTAGGGATCATACACAATAGGTGCAAAACTCTTAGAGCAGTGCCTCTCTCAAAAAGTAGGCAATGACGGTAGACGTTATTATTGTTAAGCACCTTCCTGGTGTCAGGCACTGTCCAAGGTAGGAGGAATGCAGAAACAATATCATGGAAATGAGAGACAAATTTTTTTTTTTTTTTTTTTTTTTTTTTTGATACAGACTCTTGCTCTCGTGCCCAGGCTGGAGTTCAGTGGCTTGATTTTGGCTCACTGCAACCTCCGCCTCCCGGGTTCAAGCGATTCTCCTGTCTCAGCTTCCTGAGTAGCTGGCATTATAGGCGTGCACCGCCATGCCCAGCTAATTTTTGTATTTTTATTAGAGATGGGGTTTCATGTTGGCCAGGATGCTCTCAAACTCCTGGCCTCAGGTGATCCACCTGCCTCGGCCTCCCAAAATGCTGGCATTACATCTGTGAGCACCCGGCTCAGACAACAATTTAATTTGGCTGAGGGTGCAGGGAGGCAGTGTCAGTGGGGATGGAGTGAGAGCTGCCCTTGAGAGACACTTAAAATGTGGAAACGATAGGACTTGGTAACTGGTTGTAGGAGAGCCAGAGTGTCAAGGATGACTGGCAGGAGCTGGGCGCAGTGGCTCACGTCTGTAATCCCAGCATTTGGGAGGCTGACGCGGGAGGATCGCTTGAGCCCAGGAGTTTGAGACCAGCCTGGGCAACATGGCAAAATCCCATCTCTACAAAAAATACAAAAATTAGCCAGGAGTGGTAGCATGCACTTGTAGTCCCAGCTACTTGGGAGGCCAAGGTGGGAGGATCGCTTGCGCCCAGGAAGTCAAGGCGGCTGCCATGCTCATACCACTGCACTCTAGCCTGGGCACCAGAGCCAGACCCTGTCTCAAAAAAAAGAATGACTGGCAGGGATCACTAGGTAAATGACGGTGTTTTTCCTTAGGGAAGGAGCCAGTTTGGTGCCTTGGGATAAGTTTTGGCCTTGATGGCCTTTGGGTCATCTAAGGAGATAGCTCCAGTAGGTGACTGTTTGGATCTGGAGGTGAGTAGGTACATAAAATGGGATTAAGGCATGAATGAGCGTGTCCCCCTTGAGCAGAGGCCCCAGCTGGAACTTGGGAACACCAGCTTTTGAAGGATCCTGAGAAGGAAGGGGTGGCCAGATGAATGTTAAGAAAACCCGGAGTGGAAACTGGGAGAGGATCCACCCCACTTCTGTATCAGATGCTGCAGCAACATGAGTTAGGGACTGGAGCTCCAGCTTTGGACTTAGCAGCCCAGAGATTACTGGAGACCTTGAAGTTCTCCTGTGTCTTCGTTGCTTCTCACTTGTCTCTCTGAAGGTTCATTCTGCCTGCACTGCTTTGCGGTGGGGCAGGAAGATGGTTTCTGCGCAGTGCTTGGGGCAGCTGGGTGCTGGAGCTTGCACAGGGTTTCTTTGATACCAGTAAGTGTCTTCAGCTCTAAGTGTTGGATAATCTGGCATCGCATCGATGACTGTTGTTTACTAGGCTCAGGGTTTGTAACCCCGGCCTTAAAGCTCTTTGAGGGTCTCAGACATCACAGGATATTTGAGAAATGCTACTTTCTGCTACATGAAGGTGAGTTTCTGTCATTCTGTCTTAGCACAAGTCCGATGTATTTCCTTTGGTTGGCGTAGAGAGCAGGCTTGCTTCTCCCATCCTCTCTTCCTCAACTTTCAGAAACTTCCCATTTAACCTAAGGTAGAAAATCTCATTTAAGATGAATGGTGGGCCTGGTGTGGTGGTTTGTGCCTGGAATCCCAGCACTTTGGGAGGCTGAGGCAGGTGGATCACTTGAAGTCAGGAGTTTGAGACCAGCCTGGCCAACATGGTGAAACCCCATCTCTACTAAAAATATCAAAATTAGCCGGACGTGGTGATGTGCACCTGTAGTCTCAGCTATTTGGGAGGCTGAGGTAGGAGAATCGCTTGAACCTGGGAGGCAGAGGTTGAGCAGAGATCACACTGCTGCATGCCAGCCTGGGTGACAGTGCGAGACAATATCTCAAAAAAAAAAAAAAAAAAAAAAAAGAACAGTTTAAAACTACAATAAAGTTAGTTTAAAACTTGGACAAGTAGCCATGTGTACATATGCGGGCTTTGGAGAGAGGGAGAAACTGAAAGGCTTCCTGTGTCTGTGGCATAATGAATGTTAACTTACTTTTTTTCTGATAAAATGTTATTAAGTTGCAAAATTACATTTTTTTTTTCCACCATGTTGGCCAGGCTGGAGTGCAGTGGCATGATCATAGCTCACTATAGCTTTGACCTCCTGGGCTGAGCCAGTCCTCCCACCTCAGACTCCCAAGTAGCTGGGCCATTGGTGTACACCACCATGCTTAGCTAATTTATTAAAAAATTGTTTTTTGTAGAGACGGGGTCTTGTTGTGTTGGCCAGGCTGGTTTCTAACTCCTGGCCTCAAGCAATCCTTCCATCTCAGCCTCCCAAAGTGCTGGGATTACAGGTGTGAGTTATTGTGCCCAACCAGGAGGCCTTCCTCCTTTTTTTTTTTTTTTTTTTTTTTTTTTTTTGAGGCAGAGTCTCGCTCTGTCACCCAGGCTGGAGTGCAGTGGTGCTATCTCGGCTCACTGCAAGCTCCGTCTCCTGGATTCATGCCATTCTCCTGCCTCAGCCTCTCAAGTAGCTGGGACTACAGGCGCCCGCCACCACACCTGGCTAATTTTTTGTACTTTTAGTAGAGACGGGGTTTCACCATGTTAGTCAGGATAGTCTCGATCTCCTGACCTCATGATCCACCCACCTTGGCCTCCCAAAGTGCTGGGATTACAGGCGTGAGCCACTGCACCCATCCGGCCTTCCTCCTTTACTAGCTGCTTTCCTCCCCTTATATTAGGTTGGTACAAAAGTAATCGTGGTTTTTGCCATTATGTATTGGTGAAAACCGCGATTCCTTTTGCACCAACACAATTAACTGTGTTTTTGTTAACTCATGTAATAAAAAGTAAGCATCTCCTCCCACACCTCTCCCTTTCACCTGAACTAGTAGTGTTTTGAAAGTTTATAACACAGTCTTTTCCTGGCCACCCTTAAGGAACTTGTGTTCTTGCAACCTGTGGGTTGCTTGAAATATTATCAGGGTAACCTGGATATTGCCTTTTGCTTACGTAAAGCGCCTTCTGTTGGTTACCTGTTGCCTCAGTTTCTCCATCCCTGTTCTCACCTCGCCAGATGGAGGATTGTGCAGAGCACAGTTTTCCCTGAGAACTTTTTTTTTTTTTTTTGAGATGGAGTCTTAGTCTGACACCCAGGCTGGAGTGCAGTGGCGTGATCTCGGCTCACTGCAACCTCTGCCTCCCAGGTTCAAGCAATTCTCCTGTCTCAGCCTCCCAATAGCTGGGATTACAGGCGCACGCTGCCACTCCCGGCTAATTTGTTGTATTTTTAGTAGAGATGGGGTTTCACCATGTTGCCCAAGCTAGTCTCGAACTCCTGAGCTCAGGCAGTCCACCCGCCTCAGCCTCCCAAAGTGCTAGGATTACAGGCATGAGCCACCGCGCCTGGCCGATTTTATTTTTTTATGGCAACTGTATGTGATATTTTAAGATCCTGTGGGTGTTTTGTTTGTTTGTTTTGAGACAGAGTCTCACTCCATCACCCAGGCTGGAGTGTAGTGGCACGATCTTAGCTCAATTCAACCTCCCAGGTTCAAGCAATTTGTGCCTCAGCCTCCTGAGTAGGTGGGACTACAACCACGCGCCACCACACCCGGCTAATTTTTTGTGTTTTTAGTAGAGACAGGGTTTCACCATGTTGCCCTGGCTGGTCTCGAACTCCTGACCTCAGGTGATCCGCCTGCTTCGACCTCCCAAAGTGCTGGGATTACAGGCGTGAGCCACTGTGCCTAGCTCCCGCTTTGTTTTGGTGGTTGTGGGGGATAAGAACTCACTCTGTTGCTCAGGCTAGAGTGCAGTGGCGTAATCAATCATAGCTCACTGCCGCCTCAAACTCCCAGGCTCAAGCCATCCTCCTGCCTCAGCCCCCCACGTAGCTGGGACTATGGACGTGTGCCACCACGCCCAGATCTTGTGTTTTTGATAGGTACAATACTGGGGAGAAATCCTGCTTTATTCAGTTGTCCCCTGCTATTGTTGGATATGTAGTTTTCCATTTTTTAACAATTGCAAACACTCCAAAAATAACTCTGAGTAGTTAAATCTTTGGAGCAATGGGTGTTTCCTTAGGTTTAGTTCTTAGAAGTAGAATGTTGGAGATAAAATATGCCAGATTTTAACACTATTGATATGTATAGCCAAGTTGGTTTCCAGAAAGTTTATAACACAGCTGTTTCCACGCCCCTTTTTAAGGAACTTGTGTTCTTGTAACTTGTGGGTTGCTAGAGATATCTTTGGGATAATCTTGGTATTGCCTTTTGCTTGCTTACAGTGCCGTCTGATGTTTAGCGTCTTCACTGAGTTAGTCTCAGAGATCTAAGGTACTGTGCTGATAGATTTTCATCACATGTTCTCACGTGCTTGTGAATTTGCCTTTTGGCCATGTTCAGTGTACCCTAAATCCCTGAACTTTTCAGAGAGGCAGCTTCCCAGCAGTGGTCATTTCTTTCTTCATCTTGGTCAATACCAGGATGCCCTAATTGGAGTTGGAATGAATTTAGCGGGAGGGGTCAAATAGTGTGCTTTCTTTTATCTCTTTTTCTTTTTTTTTTTCCTAAACAGAACTTAATTTATTCATTAATTAAAACTAACATTTGCCACTGTGACGCTTACAGAAATTTTCTCGTAACTCTTTGCAGAGGGGATACATTTATTTAGTCTTCATTAATTTCCTATTTGAAAACGCTTGTGAATGGTAGAAAGGAATTTTAAGTTTGTAAAATGTTTGGAATCTTAATAGTTTTATTCAAGCTTTCTTTTATTATTATTATTATTTTATTATTATTATTATTTTGAGATGGACTTTTGCTCTTGTTGCCCAGGCTGGAGTGCAGTGGCACAAAGTCAGCTCACTGCAACCTCTGCCTCCTGGGTTCAAGTGATTCTCCTGCCTCAGACTCCTGAGTAGCTGGGATTACAGGCACACGCCGCCATGCCCAGCTAATTTTTGTATTTTTAGTAGAAATGGGGTTTCATCATGTCAGTCAGGCAGATCTCGAACGCCTGACCTCAGGTGATCCACCCGCTTTGGCCTCCCAAAGTGCTGGGATTACAGGCGTGAACCACTGCGCCCGGTCCATTCTTTCGCTTTTTTAGTGACTATAATTGTCCTGTGCTGGAAGTTTCCCTAAATTAAATTGGCTTATGTTGACAATATTTGCCATTTTGTGGGTATTTCTGTTGATATAATTGTTTAAATTCTGGTGTGATGTGCTTTTAATGACTATTAGTTTTCCTTGAAGTGAATTCTAATTCAGATTTTTCTACTGTTTTCCTGAATGTTTCATAATTGTAGTTCCAAGTGGTAAGTGGGTCCTATTCATTTTTATATAAGGCTAAGGTTTTGGGCCAGGTGTGGTGGTTCACACCTATAATCCCAACACTGTGGGAGGCCAGGGTGGGCGTATCACTCGAGGACAGGAGTTCAAGACCAGTCTGGTCAACATGGTGAAACCCTGTCTCTACTTAAAAAAAGACAAAAATTAGCCAGGCATGTTGGCATGCACCTGTAATCTCAGCTACTCAGAAGGCTGAGGCAGGAGAATCACTTGAACCCAGGAGGCGGAGGTTGCAGTGAGCTGAGATTGTGCCCCTGCACTCCAACCTGGGCGACAGAGTGAGACTCTTGTGTCCAAAAAAACAAAAAAACAAAAATAAGTTTTTGTTCTTGCTCAATAAATTGAACTCTGATTTACTGTTGACATTTTTATTTATGAATCATATTAATCTTAACCTAACTAGTGTTGTTTCCAGATTATTATTGTTATTATTATTTTTGAGATGGAGTCTTGCTCTGTCACCCAGGCTGGAGTGCAGTGGCGCAATCTCAGCTCACTGCAACCTCCACCTCCTGGGTTCCAGCAGCTCTCCTGCCTCAGCCTCCCAAGTAGCTGGGATTACAGGTGCTTGCCATCACACCTGTCTAACGTTTGTATTTTTAGTAGAGACAGGGTTTCACCATGTTAGCCAGGCTAGCCTCAAACTCCTGACCTCAGGTGATCCACCCACCTTGGCCTCCCAAAGTGTTGGGATTACAGGCGTGAGCCACTGCGTCTGGCCCCATTTACTTTAAATCATCTCTAGATTACAGTACCTAATGCAATGCAAGTACTATGTAAATAGTTTTTATACTTTTTTGAAACGGAGTCTTACTTTGTTGTGCAGGCTGGAGTGCAGAGGCACGACGTTGGCTCACTACAACCTCTGCTTCCCAGGTTCAAGGGATTCTCATGCCTCAGCCTCATGAGTAACTGGGATTATAGATGCACACCATCGTGCCCAGCTAATTTTTATTTTTTTTAGTAGAGATGGAGTTTCACCGTGTTGGCCAGGCTGGTCTCGAACTCCTGGCTTCAAGTGATCCACCTGCCTTGGCCTCCCAAAGTGCTGGGATTACAGGCATGAGCCACCATGCCTGACCTCTTGATTTCTTTTTTAGATTGCTCTCTATTGGCACGTAGAAATGCTACTGATTTTTGTAGGTTGTTTTTGTGTCCTGCAACTTTACTGAAAATTGGTCTATCAGTTCTAGTTTTTTGATGGAGTATTTAGATTTATCCAAATATAAGATCATACCATCTGCAAACAAGGATAATTTATTTTATTCCTTTCCAGTTTGGATGCCCTTTATTTCTTGTCTGATTGCTGTATCTAGGACTTCTAGTACTCTGTTGAATTACGGTGGTGAAAGTGGGCATCCTTTTCATGTTCCAGATCTTAGAGGAAATGCTTTCAGTTTTTCACCATTCAGTGTGATACTAGTTGTGGGCCTGTTGTATATGGCTTTCATTGTGTGAGGTATGATCCTTCTAAGCCCAGTTTTTTTGAGGGTTTGTATCATGAAGAGATATTTAATTTTATCAAATGCTTTTTCAGCATCAGTTGAATGGATCATATGGTTTTTGTCCTTTATTCTGCTGATATGATGTATCGCTTTGATTTATCTGCATATGTTGAACCATCCTTGCTTCTAAGGGATAAATCCCACTTGGTCATGATGAATGATCTTTTTAATGTTTTGAATTCGGTTTGCCAGTATGTTTTGGAAGAGATTTACAACAATCTTCATCAGGGATATCTGCCTGTAGTTTTCCTTTTTTTTTTGATGTATCTTTGGTTTTGGTATCAGGGTGATACTGGACTCCTAGCATGAGTTTGGAGGTACTCCCTCTTCTTCTGCTTTTTGAGATAGTTTACGTAGGATTGGTATTAGTTCTTCTTTTAGTGTTTGGTAGAATTCAGCAGTGAAGCCATCAGGTCTTGGTAGGTTGTGTGTGTATAGGAATTCATCCATTTCTTCTAGGTTTTCCAGCCGGTGTGCAGTTGCTCGTGGTAGCCTGTAATGATCCTTTGAAGTCCTGTGATGTTGGTTTAATGTCTCCTTTTTCATGTCTGATACTATTTCTTTGAATCTTGTCTCTCTTTTTTCTGACTTCATCTGGTTCAAAACACCAACTCTTTGTTTCATTGATCTTTTATATTTTTTTGTTTCAAATTTATTTATTTCTGCTCTGATCTTTATTATTTCTTCTAATTTTGTGTTTGGTTTGCTCTTGTTTTTCTAATTCTTTAAGATGCATTGCATGTTGCTTTTTTGATGTTTTTCTACTTTTTTATGTAGGTGCTTATAGCTATAAACTTTCCTCTTAGTATTGCTTTCACTGGATCCCATAGGTTTTGGTATGTTGTGTTTTCATTTTCATTTGTTTCAAGACACTTTTTAATTTCCTTCTTAATTTCTTGATTGACCCACTGGCCATCCAGGAGCATGTTATTTAATTTCCATGTGTTTGTATAGTTTCCAGAATTCCTCTTGTAACTGATTTCTAGTTTTATTCCATTGTGGTCAGAGAAGATACTTGATATAATTTTGTATTTTTTTTAATGTTTTAAGACTTGTTCTGTGGCCTAACGTGGTCTATTTTTGGGAATGATCCATGTGATCTGTTAGGTCCATTTGGTCTGTAGTGCAGATTAAGTCATTTCTTTCTTGGTTTTCTGTCTAGATCTGTCCAATGCTGAAAGCAGAGTGTTGAAGTCTCCAGCTATGATTGTACTGGGGTCTGTCTTTCCCTTTAGTTCTAATATTTGCTTTATGTATCTTGGTGCTCCAGTGTTGGGTACATATATATTTATAATTGTTACATCATCTTGCTGAATTGACCGTTTGACCTTCTTTGTCTCTTTTTATAGTTCTTGTCTTGAAATCTATTTAGTCTGATTAAATATAGCTACTTCTGCTCTGCGCTTTTTTGGTTTCCATTTGCATGGAATATCTTTTTCCATTTCTTTATTTTCTTTTTTTGAGACGGAGTTTTGCTCTTGTTGCCCAGGCTGGAGTGCAATGGCGCGACCTTGGCTCACCACAACCTCTGCCTCCCAGGTTCAAGTGATCCTCCTGCCTCAGTCTCCCGAGTAGCTGGGATTATAGGCATGCACCACCACACCTGGCTAATTTTTTGTATTTTTAGTAGAGTCAGGGTTTCTCTACTAAAGAAACTGACTGTTGGTCAGGCTGGTCTCGAACTCCTGACCTCAGGTGATCTGCCCACCTCAGCCTCCCAAAATGCTGAGATTACAGGTGTGAGCCACTGCGCCCGGTTATTTCTTTATTTCCATTTGATGTGTGTCTTTATAGGTAGGGTGTGTTTCTTGTAGGCAACACATCGTTGGATCTGGTTTTTTTATTCATTCAGCCACTGTGTCTTTTGATTGGAGAGTTTAGTCCATTTACATTCAGTGTTGTTACTGATAAGTAAGGATTTACTCCTGCCATTTTGTTAGTTGTTTTTTGGTTGTTTTGTGGTCTTGTCTTCTTTCTTTCCTTCCTTCCTGTCTTCATTTTAGTGAAGGTGATTTTTCTCTGGTGGTATGTTTTAATTTCTTTTTATTTTTTATGTATCTGTTATAGGTTGGGCTTTCTTTATAGGACAGTGAAAACATTTGAAAATTGATAGTGAGGGTTGTTGTTCAAATCAGTGAATATACCAAAAATCATTGAATTGTATACTTTAAATGGGTGAATTGTATGGTATGTGAATTATTTCTTAATACTATTAAAAATATCAAGAACCTTTCTTTTTCTTTTCTTTTTGTTTTCTTTTGAGATGGAGTCTCGCTCTATCGTCGAAGCTGAAGTGCAGTGGTGTGATCTCGACTTGCTGCACCTCCGCCCTCCGGGTTCAACTGATTCTCCTGCTTCAGCCTCCCAACTAGCTGGGACTACAGGCACATGCCACCATGCCCAGCTACTTTTTGTATTTTTCATAGAGACGGGGTTTCACCATATTGGCCAGGCTGGTCTTGAACTCCTGACCTCGTGATCCACCTGCCTTGGCATCCCAAAGTGCTGGGATTACAGGCGTGAGCCACTGTGCCTGGCTTCTCAAGAACCTTTCATATGGCAAAAGATACCATAAACCATATTAAAGAAAACCCAGACTTGGATTAATTATACGTAACATATAAAACTGTTAAAGGCTTAGTACCCAAAACACAAAAGGAATTTCTAAACATCAATAAGAAATAGACTAACACCCTATTAGTAACTTACCAGAGGATTCAGGCAGTTCAGTTAAGATTGGGCCTAAATGGCTGATTAAAAAAGCGGAAAGATGCTTTGTTTCAGGGAGATACCATTTAAAATAATAGAGATATCATTTCACATCTGTCTTTTTGGACCATATTAATATGCCTTAGGAAATCAAGTGTTGGCACAAATCTCATGGAATGGAGCAGGCTCCTTCACTGCTGGGGAAGTGTAAACTGGTTGATCTCCTTGGAGAGTGGTCTGACAATATCAGGTTGAAGACAGGCCCTACTCTGTGACTTTGTTGTACTACAGCCACTCTTGTACCTGTTGCAATGCGCTTGGTGGGTGAAACAGTAACAGGAACCCAGCTAGGCCCCTCAGACTGGAATAACTCAACCACAGAACAATTACATATATACATCAGTGAAATTCAACGAACTAGATCAACAGAGATCAACAGAGATGTCAGAAAAACAATGTTGAGTGAAAGTGGCATGGAAAATGTGTTGCTGTTGATTTTTAGGGGCTGTTGATGCATCTTTTTGTCTCTAAAATTTAAACGCTGATACAGACTTTTTAAAAAATTGCTTTTTGCTAATGTTGTCGCAGTTTGCTCGTGTTTATAAGTGCTCATTGTGTGCCAGCTACTGTTCTAGGGGCCAGGGGCCAGGGCTGTAGCTGTGAACAAGACAGGCAAAATCTCCACTCTCACTGGGCTCATAAATGAGGGATGACAGATAGTAAACAAGTAGGAAAATAATTGTGCTCTTGGTTGATGCTAAACAATATAAAGGAAATAAAGCAGGGGCTGAGGGTGACCAAGGAAGGTGTGCAAAATCTCCGCTCTCGTTGGGCTCATAAATGAGGGATGACAAACAGTAAACAAGTAGGAAAATAATTGTGCTCTTGGTTGATGCTAAACAATATAAAGGAAATAAAGCAGGGGCTGAGGGTGACCAGGGAAGGTGTGCTCTGAGGAGCTGGCTATTAAACAGAGACTTGCATTTTTTTTTTTAATTGAGACAGTCTCATTCTGTCCCTCAGGCTGGAGTGCAGTGGCGTGATCCTGTCTTACTGCAACCTCCACCTCCCAGGTTCAAGTGATTCTCCTGCCTCAGCCTCCCTAGTAGCTGGGATTACAGGTGTGCACCACTATACCTGGCTAATTTTTGTATTTGTAGTAGAGGCGGGGTTTTGCCATGTTGGCCAGGCTGGTCTCGAACTCCTGACCTCAAGTGATCCACCCGCCTCGGCCTCCCAAAGTGCTGGGATTACAAGCATGAGCCACTGCGCCCAGCCATAGATGTGCGTTTTAAGAAGAGCAAACGTGGAAATGTTTGGGGAAAGCATCCAGGCAGATACAAAATTCTTCAGCTACATCATGGTCAAAAATGGCAGGAAGCATTAAATACTTATGAATAAACTTAATAAAAGAAGTGCAAACGTTAACACTGAAAACAGAAAACATTATTCAAATAAGGAAGCTAAATAGATGGAAAGGTCTGCAAGGCTCTTTGACTAGCAGACAACGTTGTTTGTTAAGAGAGCAGCACTCCCCAAAGCGATCCACAGATTCAGTGCAGTCCCTGTCAGTCCCAGCTGATTTCCTTGCAGACATTGACAAGATGATCCTGAAGAATAGCAAGTCCAGTGTGGCCAAAGCCCAGGAGGGAGGAGGGGAAGTGGATGGTGATGCAGTCAGGGAGACTGGCAGGGCTTCTGAGTCCTGAAAACCCTGTGGGCCATGACAGGGAGCTATTGCCGACCTCTCCTAGGTCTGGTAGAAGCCTTAGGAGCTTTTAAGCAGGGCTGGGATGGCTGTGAGCCATATGGCAATGAGCAGGACAGAATGTCGAATAAATAGAATTCAGCTTTTCAGTGGCAGGAAATGAGAGCATCCTCACTTTCTTTCTGTACATGTTGTGTATTTGTGTCACATTACTGACCCACCTAAACCTTTTCTTAAGTGATACGGAAGTAACAGTATTTATTATAGAATATTTAGAAGATTGAGTCTGGGTACGGTGACTCACACTTGCAATCCCAGAACTTTGGGAGGCTGAGGCAGGAGGATTGCTTGAGGCTAGGAGATCAAGACCAGCCTGGGCAACATAGCGAGACCCCATCTCTTAAAAGGTAATAAATTAGCCGGGCACGGTGGCTCACGCCTGTAATCCCAGCACTTTGGGGGGCCAAGGCAGGCAGATTACGAGGTCAGGAGTTCGAGACTAGCCTGGCCAATATGGTGAAACCCCATCTCTACTAAAAATACAAAAATTAGCTGGGTGTGGCGGCACATGCCTGTAGTCTCAGCTACTTGGGAGGCTGACGTGGGAGAATCACTTGAACCCAGGAGGCAGAGGTTGCAGTGAGCCAAGACTACACCATTGCTCCAGCCTGGGTCACAGAGTGAGACTCCGTCTCAAAAAAAAAAAAAAAGAAAAAAAAAAATTAGCCGGGCATAGTGGTACACACCTTTAGTCCTGGCTACTCGGGAGGCTGAGGTGGGAGGATAGCTTAAGCCTAGGAGTTCAAGGCTGCCGTGAGCTATGATCACGCCACTGCACTCTAGCCTGGGTGACAGAACGAGAGACCCTGTTTCTTAAAACACACACACACACACACACACACACACACACACACAATATTTAGAAGATTCAAACTGAAAGAGAATATGTATTCAGGATCCTGCCACTTTGAGGTAATGGCAGTTAACATTTAGTGTTTCTTCCTTCTAGTCTTTTGAATGAAGTTATGATCCGACATTTCTCAAATTCAGTAATGAGTGCCCATCCCACCCAGCTCACCCCCCAACACCTCAAAAGGAAACAAAAGAATCATAGCTTTCCTGTTGGCAAGTCAGTCCTTGAAGCTTCTGATTCATTTCTTTCAGGTGGAGCTGATCAGAATAATGTTCAGCATCAACCCCCTGGAGAACCTGAAGGTGTACATCAGCAGTCGGCCTCCCCTGGTGGTCTTCATGATCAGCGTAAGCGCCATGGCCATAGCTTTCCTGACCCTGGGCTACTTCTTCAAAATCAAGGAGATTAAATCCCCAGAAATGGCAGAGGTATAGTATGCTCTGACTTCTCCCGGGCTGGCTGGTCCTTGTGCAGTGGGGCAACACCCTGTGGCTTGCCATATAGCTTTCTTGGGTTTTGGCCTTTCTCTCCTAGTGAGAAAAATCAGTATTTATTCAGAATTTTCTGTTTTCCATCTCCCCAGGACTCACTTTGTTAGGAAATACCTAGATGGGTATTGTTCGATTTAAATATGCTACCAGTTTCAGTTAGACTATTTTAGCAGTGAAACATGCACTTTGGAGAGTACATTTGTAAAATGATCTGTGTCAAAAAGCTGGAGACCTCACCTCTGTAATATTCCATCTCAAATGGGTTCATTGCTGTTTTAGAAAACTGAACATTTGGTATTTTAAAACCACATATCATCATGGAGTTTTATCAGCTATACTAATGGTTTTTTTCATGAGATAAGAAGGAATCCTAAAGAAATTCAAAAACAGGACCTAATTTCCAAATATATTTGTTTTTTGTTTTTTGAGACGGAGTCTCGCTCCGTCACCTAGTCTGGAGTGCAGTGGCGTACTCTCAGCTCACTGCAACTTCCACCTCCCGGGCTCAAGCGATTCTCCTGCCTCAGCCTCCTGAGTAGCTGGGATTACAGGTGCCTGCCACCACGTCTGGCTAATTTTTGTCTTTTTAGTAGAGACGGGGTTTCGCCACGTTGGCCAGGCTGGTCTCGAACTCCTGACCTCAGGTGATCCACCCATCTCGGCCTCCCCAAGTGCTGGGATTACCGGTGTGAGCCACCGCATCCAGCCTAATTCCTGTCTTTTAGTAGATTCCTTGGGTGCCTTCTCTTATTCTATTTCCTTCTTCTTGGGTTTGTTGGTGGGTGGAGGTGGGGGTGGGAGTGGGGCTGGGAGTGCGTGGTTGCCGCATTGAGTGTGCCTTGCAATGGAGAGGAGAGTTGTGTTCCATGTAATTGAGATCGTAGCTTTCTCTCATGCTCTAGGGCATTCTAGATCTTAAGTGATCTTGGCAAAAGGAACCGCCTACACATGTGAGCTCTTTCTAGCACAGTTCAAGTAACGAGTTTTAGCTATTTCTACCATGTAACCCTTTCAAAGAGTTTATTACTAAGAGACATACTGGCTGGCTTAATTCTCTCTCTTTTCTGACCCTGCCTCAATCTTTAAAGGTTGTGAAAACAGGCTGCCCCCACATCAGGGCTGAAAATGAATATTCTACTCAAAACTAAAGCTGCACAGCCTCCTGCCATTTCTTTCCCGCAGAGCTTGAGTCCATGTTGAGCACTTGGCCAAGGCCAGTGGTTGCACTGAAGCCTGGATAATTAGCCCTTAATAATCCAAATTAGGCCTGGCATTGGCTTTAGCCAGCTGTTCAACGTGGACTCCAGCTCTGTAGGAACGCATTGTTGAGATGCTGCGGAACTTTGGTTATGATTAGTTTCGTGATTTTTGTTTTCAAATGAGGATCCTAGGTTGTAGGAAAGGCAGTGGTGTATGGGAAACATTTGGGGCTGTGAATCAGAACTTAATGCTGATTTTACCTTGAACTAGAATTGGAGAGTCCCTAATTTGCCCTGGGCCTCAGTTTCTTCATGTCTAGGATTATGAAGGACTGAGACTAGAATGTTCATTTTCAACCCTAATGTACTAGAATGGTCAGTTGAGTTTGTAGGTGTTAGGGAAAATGTAATTTGATAGATCCAGTTGCAGTCTTACTAAATGTCACATACAGTTAAACTGATGCTGTAAGGGTAGACTTACTGGGCTGGGTAGGGGTTGCTCAGATGACTTTTTTTTTTTTTTGAGGTGGAGTGTCACTCTGACACCCAGGCTGAGGCTGGACTTCAGTGGCGCGATCTTGGCTCACTTCAGCCTCTGCCCCCCTTCAAACGATTTTCGTGCCTCAGCCTTCCAAGTAGCTGGGATTACAGGCATGCGCCACCATGTCCAGCTAATTTTTGTATTTTTAGTAGAGACAAGGTTTCACCATGTTATCCATGCTGGTCTCGAACTCCTGGCCTCAAGTGATCCACCCTGCTTGGCCTCCCAAAGTGCTGGGATTACAGGCGTGAACTACCGTACCTGGCCTCAGATGGCTTTTTTTTTTTTTTTTTTTGAGACAGAGTCTCACTGTGTCGCCCAGGGTGGAGTGCAGTGGCACGATCTCCTCTCACTGCAACCTCCACCTCCCAGGTTCAAGCGATTCTCCTGCCTCAGCCTCCCAAGTAGGTGGGATTACAGGCACACACCACCACACCCGGCTAATTATTGTATTTTTAGTAGAGACGTGGTTTCACCATGTTGCTCAGGCTGGTCTCGAACTCCTGACCTCAAATGATCCACCCACCTTGGCCTCCCAAAGTGCTGGGATTACAGGTGCGAGCCACCGTACCTGGCCCCTTCCTTTTTGAAATCGTTGCTGCTCTAAGGTGTCATCAAAAGTCCATAAGAAGGGGGGCAGTGTCCCAAATGAGTATTAGTATTCACTGCTGTTTTGTGTTCTAGAGAAAGAGAGCAAGGTGTATGGAATTGACCTTTTGGGACATTATTTTAAGGTGACTTTATTTAAAGAAAAGAATTGTAGTTGCAAAATGAGTTTGGATTAATGCTTTTCTTCAAGCGTTCTTTTCAAGTTTGGTTCTGAGGCTAGATCATTTTCTCTAAGTGTAATATGCTGGATTTTTTAAAAAGATTTTCTTGAATAAATTGATTTGATTTCACAGTTTATTGAGTATCTTGTGCCAGTGAAGAGTTCATATTTTAGGTTGTGAATATAAAAGTGATTAGGAAAGCCACATCATGCTGCCTGTGAAGAGGGTGGTGGCCGAGTTGTCATGATCTTAAATGATCAGCTCTGAATTGTAGTTTGCTGATGTGCTGCGGTGCCACACTGGGGTCTTACCTGTATTCCCGCAGTGGGAGACAGGCGCTGCTTAACACCCATTTCTCTTTCTTTCACTTTCCCAAAGGATTGGAATACTTTTCTGCTACGGTTCAATGATTTGGACTTGTGTGTATCAGAGAATGAAACCCTCAAGCATCTCACAAACGACACCACAACTCCGGAAAGTACAATGACCAGCGGGCAGGCCCGAGCTTCCACCCAGTCCCCCCAGGCCCTGGAGGACTCGGGCCCGGTGAATATCTCAGTCTCAATCACCCTAACCCTGGACCCACTGAAACCCTTCGGAGGGTATTCCCGCAACGTCACCCATCTGTACTCAACCATCTTAGGGCATCAGATTGGACTTTCAGGTATGCAGTAGCCACTCTCCACTCAGGCTCCTTAGGCAACCACTGTTACAAAAAGAGGATGCACCGTGTATGTTTTTACTGACTATATTGTACTAGATTGTAGTCTTGCGCGTGTCTTTTTTTTGTTGAGTTTGAACTACATGAACCATTTCTGTTCCATCGTTACATGGTAAAGTACCTGGCTAGAAGTAGTTTCTCAAAAGCCTGTAGGAATGAGAAACTGTGAGAAAACTGTTAAGGCCTGTCTAATATTTACAAACATGTAATTTTAATTCAGGCTTGTCCTGTTGGAGTTTTCATTACTTACTACACATCTTCTATTGCTATTAGTTTACATATTTTTTAATGGCCATTGTTAGTCTGGCACTGTGCTAAGCTGCTGGGAAGAACTAGAAAATGACTAAGATGGCTGGGTGCAGTAGCTCATGCATGTAATCCCAGCACTTTGGGAGGCCGAGGTGGGTGGATTGCCTGAGCTCGGGAGTTTGAGACCAGCGTGGGCAACATGGTGAAACCCCATCACTACTAAAATACAAAAAATTGGCCGGGCGCGGTGGCTCACGCCTGTAATCCGAGCACTTTGGGAGGCCAAGGTGGGCAGATCACAAGGTCAAGAGTTTGAGACCAGCCTGGCCAATATGGCAAAACCCCGTCTCTACTAAAAATACAAAAATTAGCCGGGCGTGGTGGCAGGCACCTGTAGTCCCAGCTACTCGGGTGGCTGAGGCAGGAGAATAGCTTGAACCCAGGAGGCAGAGGTTGCAGTGAGCTGAGATTCATGCCACTGTGCTCCAGCCTGGGCGACAGAGGGAGACTCTCTCTCCAAAAAAAAAAAAAAAGAAGTCAGCTGGGCATGCAGGCATGGTGGTGCGCACTTGTAGTCCCAGCTACTCAGGAGGCTGAGGCAGGAGAATTGTTTGAACCCAAGACGTGGAGGTTGCGGTGAGCCGAGATTGCACCACTGCACTCCAGCCTGGGCGACAGAGCGAGACTCCATCTCAAAAAAAGAAAAGAAAAGACAATGCCTAAGATGGGCCCGTGCGCAGTGGCTCACGCCTGTAATCCCAGCACTTTGGGAGGCCGAGGTGGGTGGATCACTTGAGGTCAGGAGTTCAAGACCAGTCTGGCCAACATGGTGAAACCCCATCTCTACTAAAAATGCAAAAAAATTAGCCAGGCGTGGTGGCAGGCGCCCGTGATCCCAGCCACTCTGGAGGCTGAGGTGGGAGAATCACTTGAACCCTGGAGGCGGAGGCTGCAGTGAGCCAAGATCATGCCACTGCACTCCAGTCTAGGCAACAGAGTGAGACTTCACCTCAAAAAAAAAAAAGGCCTAACATTTGGTCTCTTCCTTTTGGAATTTTGGGGTTATGGAAGAGACAAAGATAAACGTGAGTTAATGTTTATCAAGCACTTACAATAGTTCCTGCCACAAAGGAAATGCTACGTAAGTGCTTGATAAGGGATATGAAAAAATACATACTTATAAAATGTGGAGCACTGCCCTTTGACCAGTACTAAACCCATGACAGACTGTAAGTGTTGCAGGAGAAGGGCTAGAAGGCAGTGGAAGCTGGAATAATCAGGAAAGGCTTCATATGGGACACCTGGGCCTTGGAAGAATAACCTTTTGTTCTTTGGTTACCAAAAGGCTTTTTAAAAATTGCTTAGGCTAGATGCAGTGGCTCATGCCTGTAATCCCAGCACATTGAGAGGCTGAGGCAGGAAGATTGCTTGAGCTCAGGTGTTGAAGCCCAGCCTGGGCACATAGCAAACACCTGTCTTTATGAAAAAATTAAAAAAATTAACCAGGTGTTGTGGCGTGCACCTGTAGTCCCAGCTACTTGTGAGGCTGAGGTGGGAGGATTGCTTGAACCTGGGAGGTCGAGGCTACAGTGAGCTAAGATTGTACCACTGTACTCCAGCCTGGGCAATAGAGTGAGACCCTGTCTCAAAAAAAAAAAAAAAAAAAAACAAGAAACAAATAAAAAGTCCTTCAAGGAATTTAAGTGCCCACCAGCCTCCTATTGGCTGTTAGAGGTGAGAATATTCCCATAATAATCAAGGTATGGGTGACTTCTGGGTTTTCCATGTAGCAAGTGGACCTGTTGCTTATGGCATGGCATAAGGACACCTTCGGGATTTTTTGTTGTTATTTTGAGATGGAGTCTCACTCTGTCGCCCAGGTTGGAGTGCAGTGGCACAATCTTGGCTCACTGCAACCTCTGTCTCCCGGGTTCAAGCGACTGTTCTGCCTCAGACTCCCGCGTAGCTGGGATTATAGGTTCGTGACACCATGCCCAGCTAATTTTGTATTTTTAGTGGAGACAGGATTTTACCATGTTGGCCAGGCTGGTCTTGAACTTCTGACTTCAAATGATCCGCCCGCCTCAGCCTCCCAAAGTGCTGGGATTACAGGCATGAGCCACCACGCTTGGCTATTTTTTAATTTTAATTTTATTTTAATATTTTAATTTTTTATTTTAATTTAATTTTTATTTAAAATTTTATTTTAATTTTGAGACTGGGTCTTGATCTGTCGCCAGGCTAGAGTGCAGTGGTGTGATCATAGCTCACTGCAGCCTCAAACTCCTGGGCTCAAGTGATCCTCCCTAGTACCTGGGACCACAGGTGTGCACCAGTACACCTGGCTGATTTTTAAAACTTTTTTGTAGAGACAGAATCTTGCTGTCATGTTCAGGCTGGTCGTGAATTCCCGGCCTCAAGCAATCCTCCTGCCTCAGCCTTCTAAAGTCAAAGTGCTGGGACTACAGATGTGAACCACTGTGCCTGGCAATACGTTGGTTTTAGTTTAAGCTTCATCACTTGCCTTTCTTAACTCTGAAACCCTCTGACCTCTGTTTGTTCATATGTAAAAGGGGAACAGCTGCACTTCTTCAGTCATGTTCATGGGAGAGTAGTAAATTTTAAGTGAAATAATACATATAAAAGATGTTTGAAAATGGCTAGACAGCTGTGCAGAAATGCTGGGGATAATTCACCCAGCCCGAGCTTTTCATCTCTGATCTGCCCGAGGTCTGGTTTGGCATCTCCAGGCCATGTACTGGAAAGTGGCCACTTCCTTCGCTGCTTCGTGGCTCTGAGTTGAGTAGGACTCATGGTCAGGGTCAGGACTGCTCTTCTTCCTCAGATCCCACAAAGGCAGGTGCCTGGGCTGATAGATGATTCCTGTGTGGGTTTGATTTCAGGATTTATTTGTATCCCAGAGAATGACAAGTACGTGGTTCTTGACTTTATAAAAAAATGATTTCTCTTTCATAGGCAGGGAAGCCCACGAGGAGATAAACATCACCTTCACCCTGCCTACAGCGTGGAGCTCAGATGACTGCGCCCTCCACGGTCACTGTGAGCAGGTGGTATTCACAGCCTGCATGACCCTCACGGCCAGCCCTGGGGTGTTCCCCGTCACTGTGTAAGTGTACCCGGCACCTGATGAACGTGCGTAACAAGCTCCACTTGCCGTGAGTACGGCTGGGCTGCTTCAGCTGTAAATTCTCAGGATGGCTCACTTCACATTTCTTTATAGAATTATCTCTACTCGGACCTATCTAAAGGATTATTTAATTTGTCTAAAGGATTATTTAATTTGGAATTCTAAAGATAGAACTTCTGCATATAAAATCAGAAAGTTAGTGCCCCCTCGAGGCAGTAAAAGCACCTGGCTGTTGTTGGACATTCATAGGCTGTCTTTCCCGCAGGAGTAGAAGCAGCAAGTTACAGAAAAGAGGCTCACTGTGGCCGGGTGCCGTGGCTCAGGCCTGCGATCCCAGCACTGTGGAAGGCTGAGGTGGGAGGATCACTTGAGCCCCGGAGTTCAAGACCAGCCTGGACAACATATAGGGAGACCCTGTCTCTATTTAAAAAAAAAAAAAAAGAAAGAAAAAGAAAAAAGAAAAGAGGCTCTCTAAAGATAAAGGTTTTCAGCCAGGTGCGGTGTCTCATGCCTATAATCCCAGCACTTTGGGAGGCCAAGGTGGGCAGATCACCTGAGGTCAGGAGTTCAAGACCAGCCTGGCCAACATAGTGAAACCCCATCTCTACTAAAAATATAAAAATTAGCCAGGCATGATGGCACATGTCTGTAATCCCAGCTACTCAGAGGCTAAAGCAGGGAGGCAGAGGTTGCAGTGAGCTGAGATCGCGCCACTGCACTTCAGCCTGGGCAACAGCAAGACTCTGTCTCAAAAAAATAAATAAATCAAATAAAACAAAGATAAAGGTTTTGTTCATCTCCATTATCCAGAAAGATATTTTAAAATCGTTGATTTTAGTTTATCTTGATTTTAGTTTTAAATCAAGTATAAATCAAAACTTATTTTCTGTTAATTAACTAATTTTAAAATCTAACATTTTAAATCATTTCCCATTAAACAGTTACTTTAATTTTACCTGCGAATTTGAAAATTAGTTTTAAAATCAAATATAAATTGAACTTTATTTTCCATTAAACAATTAAGGTTTTTGAAGCTTTTCCTTCAGTGTTTTTGAGCAGCATTCAGTGTTACTGCTTTGCATTTTAGGTTTTTTTTGTTGTTGGTTTTTTTTGGTCTCTCCTGTCTCTATAAAGGAGATAATTATCTATAAATAAATAGGTGAAATACATAAGATATAGCCTATTTAAAATAATTCTATGGTGAATCCTTTTTAAATAAGAATTATCTCAGGATTTGTCTATTTTAGACATTTGGAGGTTTGTAGGACAAGATCAGATTAAGTTAAACATTACTTTGTGTTGCAGTGACTGATATAGAATTTTGTAGGTAAAGCTTCCAGTTGTAACTAAGTGATATGCTTTGGGCTGGGCGCAATGGCTCACACCTGTAATCCCAGCTACTTGAGAGGCTGAGGCAGGAGAATCAGTTCAACATGGGAGGTGGAGGTTTCAGTGAGCCGAGGTCACACCGGCCTGGGCAACAGAGCAAGACTCCGTCTCAAAAAAAAAAAAAAAGATGATATAGTTTGGCTGTCTCCCCACCCAAATCTCGTTTTGAATTGTAGTTCCCATAATCCTCATGTGTCATGGGAGGGACCCAGTGGGAGGTAATTGAATCCTGGAGATTGTTACCCCCATGCTGCTGTTCTCATAGTAAGAGAGTTCCCATGAGATATGATGGTTTTATAAGGGGTTTTCCACCTTTTATTTGGCACTTCTCTTTGCTGCCGCCATGTGAAGAAGGATGTGTTTGCTTCCACTTCCGCCATGCTTGTAAGTTTCCTGAGGCTTCCCTGACCATGCTGAACTGTGAGTCAATTAAGCCTGTTTCCTTTATAAATAACCCAGTCCCGGGTATGTCTTTATCAGCAGCATGAGAAAGGACTAATATACTAAGAGTTTAGCTCATTTGAGAAGATAGGCTTAAAAGGAGCTTATGTGCTTTGCATCACATGTGAGAGGACTGTAGGCTGAATTCTGAAGGCAAAAATCCAACACCCAAACTCCTAAATGTCAGGCACCTATTTATTTTTCTGTTATATTTTTATTTTTTAAAAAAGACCCTCAAACTAAAATATAATGGTATTTATCTCAAAGAAGCATGAACGTGTAAGTTACATTTTTCCTTTCCATGTGTGTTGCCGTGTTCAGTGTTTTACCAGCTGCTGTGGGGGTGACACAAGTGAATGACTCAGGCCACTGAGCACGTGTCTTTCCTCCTCCTCTTCTCCTGCAGACAGCCACCGCACTGTGTTCCTGACACGTACAGCAACGCCACGCTCTGGTACAAGATCTTCACAACTGCCAGAGATGCCAACACAAAATACGCCCAAGATTACAATCCTTTCTGGTGTTATAAGGGGGCCATTGGAAAAGTCTATCATGCTTTAAATCCCAAGCTTACAGTGATTGTTCCAGATGTAAGTGAGAAAAATTGTGTGTGTGTGTGTGCGTGCATGCATATGCACATGTGTGCGCATGTGCTGCAACCGTTGGTGTAGGCCCTGCTGACTTCCCTGGGTAAGCGTATCCTCTGCCACTTTAGATTTCCAGGTGAGTTAGGACACTAGGCGGAGTGGTGGATGCTTGGAAAAACATGTTACCCATTGGTTAAGAAAAATCTGGTTTTTCTCTTCATTTTCTCTGTTGTTCAGCAGCAGTTATTTCTTGAGCAACTGCCTAATCCCTGGGGGGGGTTACAAGGGATCCTTCTATTAATATTATCTTAGAGGGATGTTCACAGACGTTCATAGAAGACTATCTAGTTAGTGTCCGTGTGAACAAGAAATAGTGCTGCTTAGAGTTCTGAAAGATAGAAGGGAGTAGTAGGAGGAGATGAATCTTCGGCTAGAGAGTGAGGCCTGAATAGGATTTAACTTAACCAAGAGGCAAGGGGAACAAAATACTTACCTATCTCATCTAGTAGCTGTGTGCTGCTAGCTCAGCTTCCTACTTAGACTTGAGCCCACTTACTTTTTTAGAGACAGGATCTTGCTCTGTCGCCCAGATTGGGGTCTAGTGGCGCAATCATAGCTCACTGCAGCTTCAGCCTCCTGGGCTCAAGCTTCCCAAGTGGCTGGGACTACAGGTGCATGTCACCATGCCGGGATAATTTTTAAACTTTTTGTAGAGACGGGGGTCTTGCTGTGTTGCCCAGGCTGGTCTTGAACCCCTGGTCTCAAGCGATCCTCCTGCCTTGGCCTCCAAAGTTTCTGGGATGACAGGTATGAGCCGCTGCACCTGGCCCAAGCCCACTTTTTAACACTGCTTTGATATTTTATAAATATGTTCCTTTCTGGCAGTGTGTGTTAGCTGGATCTCTCTTCTTTTGGCCTGGCCCTTTGCCCTTTTCTTTTTTTCTTTATTTTAATTTTTTTTTATTTTTATTTTTTGAGATTGAGTCTTTCTCTGTCACCCAGGCTGGAGTGCAGTGGCACAATCTCGGTTCGTTGCAACCTCTGCCTCCTGGATTGAAGTGATTCTAAGTAGCTGGGATTACAGGCACCTGCCAACACGCCCAGCTAATTTTTGTATTTTTGGTAGAGATAAGGTTTCGACATGTTGGCCAGGTTGGTGTTGAACTGCTGACTTCAGGTGATCCTCCCACCTCAGCCTCCCAAAGTGCTGGGATTATAGGCATGAGCCACTATGCCCGACCTTTGCCCTTTTCTGGGGCTCATTTGTAGGCCAGGGTCCTGCAGGAGCCAGCTATGGAGGTCAGGCTGGATGGTGGGCTGAGGCCCTTAGTGCCTGGCCAAGGGCAGTCCCTGCCTGTGTTTGGGGCGTGGGTGTTGGTAAAGCAGTGTGTTGAGAAGACTGAGCTGCCCCGCTATGTTATAAATGACCTGGGGGAGCCCAGAGCTGTCCTGAGGCCTGGAGATACTAGAGGGTAAAGGAATGGAACCATGTCTGGGGTCCCTTTAGTAACTTGCAGGGTCTGGGAATTGACTGCATGTGGGAGGTCAAAGGGTAGTGAATCACGGATGATCTCAGCATTTTCATCCAAGGACTTAGGGAAATAGAGAAAAGCAGGAGGAAGGGCGTGACCCCTGGGGAGGGGTGAGGTGCCGAGGCCTTCCTGGTGGGGGCATAGTCAGGAGTTAGGAATGCAGCCTCGGCTGTCAGCCATGCAACCTGAGGGCAGTCTTGTGACGAGGATGTGTCCAGAAAGGAGTGGGGCTTAAAGATGGAGTGTCTGCAGCATTTGCAGGGGAGGAAGCCTGCTGGAGGGGCAGGGTTCAGGCAGTGTGGGGGTGCAGAAGGCAGGGCAGAGGACAGCGCTAGGAAGGCGTGGTGCTCTCCAACAGAGGCTCGGGAGCACCATGTCTTCACTTAATGAGACCCAGCTTTGGTCATTTAGGAGGCAAAAGGAGAAACCTCCTCTTGCAGCTTAAGAAGAAAAGTTGTGGCAAGTCTGGAGGCTGTCAATCCTGTCTCTCAAAACCCAGCATTAAAACCTTTCAGTCACTCAGAGCAGATGTTTCTGATTTTTTTTCTCTTCTTTATTTAGGATGACCGTTCATTAATAAATTTGCATCTCATGCACACCAGTTACTTCCTCTTTGTGATGGTGATAACAATGTTTTGCTATGCTGTTATCAAGGGCAGACCTAGCAAATTGCGTCAGAGCAATCCTGAATTTTGTCCCGAGAAGGTGAGCGGTGGATGGGGTCCGGGCCAGCATTTTACTAGAGGTCTCTGTATACAGAAAGTCCCAGTTATCCTTATTCTATTTATTGTGGGTGGCACCTTTCGTCTAAAGAAATGACAGTCATCCCTTGGTATCCGAGGAGGATTGGTTCCAGGACCCTGGTGGATATCGAAATTCATGAATGTCCAAATCCCTTCTGTAAAATGGTACAGTATTTGCATATGACCTCTGCACATCCTCTGTAACTTTTTTTTTTGAGATGGAGTCTCGCTCTGTCTCCCAGGCTGGAGTGCAGTGGCACTATCTTGGCTCACTGCAGCCTCCGCCTCCCAGGTTCAAGCAGTTCTCCCACCTCAGCCTCCCGAGGAGCTGGGATTACAGTCGCAAGCCACCGCGTCCCACTAAGTTTTTGCATTTTTAGTAGAGACCGGGTCTCACCATGTTGGCCAGGCTGGTCTCAAACTCCTGACCTCAAGTGATCCACCCGCCTTGGCCTCCCAAAGTGCTGGAATTACAGGTGTGAGCCACTGTGCCCAGCTCATCCTCTGTAACGTTAATCTCTAGATTACTTTCTTTTTTTTTTTTTTTTTTTTTTTTGAGAGAGTTTTGCTCTGTCACCAAGGCTGGAGTGCTGTGGCACGATCTTGGCTCACTGCAACCTCTGCCTCCTGGGCTCAAGTGATTCTCTTGCCTCAGCCTCGAGAGTAGCTGGGATTACAGGCATGTGCCACCACACTCAGCTAATTTTTGTATTTTTAGTAGATACAGGGTTTCACCATGTTGTCCAGGCTAGTCTCGAACTGCTGTTATCAAGTGATCCACCTGCCTTGGCCTCCCAAAGTGCTGGGATCACAGGCGTGAGCCACTGGGCCCAGCTTCTAGGTTACTTATAATACCTAATACAATGTAAATACTATGTAAATAGTTGTTACAGTGTATTTTTAAAACTTGTGTTATTTTTATTGTTGTATTCTTATGTATTGGTTTTTTTTCTTTTGAGTATTTTTGCTTTTTTAATTTTTTTTTTTTTTTTTTTTGAGACAGGGTCTCACTTTGTCACCCAGGCTGGAGTAGAGTGGTGCGATCGTAGCTCATGACTCAATCATAGTTCACTGCAGCCTTGACCTCCCAGGCTCAAGCGATCGTCAACCTCCTGAGTAGCTGGGACCACAGGCATGCATCACCACACCTGGTTAATTTTTGTATTTTTTGAAAAGACAGGGTTTCGCCACATTGCCTAGGCTGGTCTTGAATTCCTGGGCTCAAGCAATCCACCCACATTGGCCTCTCAAAGATTACAGGTGATTACAGGTGTGAGCTACCATGCCCAGCCCTCTTTTGTGTATTTTTGGTTGAATCTGTGGATATGAAACCCACAATTACAGAAGGCCAGCGGTAGTTTCTGTCTTCATTAGAAGTGTCTTTACTCTCAACCTAAATTATGTTGTTGGATTTTTAATCATATACCCAAGCCTCTGTTGCTATTAAAGGGAGTGACTTGGCAGTTGTTCTCAAGTCTCCACTGGAGCACTACTGACTCTGGGTAGCTGCCTCCTCTGTAGTTCCATCAGCATAAGAAGTCTTCTAACAGAATGCTTATCAAGGTTTAAAGACAGTTACCTCAGCTAGGTGGACCTGTAATCCCAGGACTTTTAGGAGGCTGAGGCAGAAGGATCACTTGAGCCCACGAGTTCAAGACCAGCCTGGGCAACATAGTGAGAACCCTTCTCTACTAACAGTTAAAAAATTAGCCAGATGTAATGGTGCATGCCTGTATTCCCAGCTACTGGGGAGGTTGAGGAAGGAGAATTGCTTGAGCCCAGAAGTTGGAAGCTGCAGTAACCTACGATTGCACCACTGCACTCCAGCCTGGACAACAGAGCGAGACCGTGTCTCAAAAAAACAAAAACCAGTTAATTCTGTCTCCGCACAGTGGTTCCAGATGGGCCGCGTCTTGCAGGAGACTTTGAGATTTCTAGTAATTTCTTCCTAGGTGAGATTTTCTTTTTAGGGATTTAGTAACTTCACTGTCTGGTTGATATGTGCAATTAGTGTGGCATCCTGGTCTTTGGGTAGGGGCTGAGTTACCTAGGCTTCCCTTTTTTGACTGGTTTCCCTGGCTTGCTGTCTTCCAGGTGGCTTTGGCTGAAGCCTAATTCCACAGCTCCTTGTTTTTTGAGAGAGACTGAGAGAACCATAATCCTTGCCTGCTGAACCCAGCCTGGGCCTGGATGCTCTGTGAATACATTATCTTGCGATGTTGGGTTATTCCAGCCAAAGACATTTCAAGTGCCTGTAACTGATTTGTACATATTTATAAAAATCTATTCAGAAATTGGTCCAATAATGCACGTGCTTTGCCCTGGGTACAGCCAGAGCCCTTCAACCCCACCTTGGACTTGAGGACCTACCTGATGGGACGTTTCCACGTGTCTCTAGAGAAGGATTCCTGGATCTAGCTGGTCACGACGATGTTTTCACCAAGGTCACAGGAGCATTGCGTCGCTGATGGGGTTGAAGTTTGGTTTGGTTCTTGTTTCAGCCCAATATGTAGAGAACATTTGAAACAGTCTGCACCTTTGATACGGTATTGCATTTCCAAAGCCACCAATCCATTTTGTGGATTTTATGTGTTTGTGGCTTAATAATCATAGTAACAACAATAATACCTTTTTCTCCATTTTGCTTGCAGGAAACATACCTTAAGTTTTTTTTGTTTTGTTTTTGTTTTTTTGTTTTTTGTTTTCCTTTATGAAGAAAAAATAAAATAGTCACATTTTAATACTACTCTAGTTAGGACAGACTTGTGCTTTTATCCTGACTAAAAAGTTAAATATTTAAGTCACATACATGGTAAAGATCTAAGTTTCATTTTCCACATGGATGACCAGGAACCTGGTCTTGTTGGAGCTGGCATAGGAGGTTCTACTGTCTTGTCGTCCACTCTTGTCCCTCCCTTCTGTTATCAAAGTTAAAGCGCCTCTTCACTCAAAAGGGCTTCAAAATGTAAATGGCTCTAGAGTTAGAGTGACTGTTTGCTCTTCTGCTTTCTGGAATGCAGATGACAGTATGGAAAGAAAGAATAATGATTCTATCTAATAGGAAAGGATTTCTTCTTTCTTTTTTAAAGAGTGGGTGGATTTTCTCCCTTTTGTTTTGCTTTTATTTTCATGCTACTAACATATCTTCAGAAGGAAATGGCAACTAGTAGATCAGTAAAATTACGAAAACGATGCCTGCAAAATTTGAAGGAATGCAATTCTGATTTGCCATTTATCAGGGAAAACTGAAAGCATTTTTCTTATAACTTTTTTTCTTTTTCTTTTTTTTTGGAGGGGGGAGGCAGGGTCTTGCTCTGTCCCTCAGGCTGGAGCTTAGCTCAGTGCAGCCTCCAACTCCTGGGCTCAAGCAATCCTCCCACTTTAGCCTCCTGAGTAGCTGGGACTACAGGCGTGTGCCAGCGCGCCTGGCTAATTTTAAAATTTTTTTGTAGAGACAGAGTCTCCCTCTGTTGCCCAGGCTGGTCTGGAACTCCTAGCTTCAAATGATCCTCTCACCTCGGCCTCCCAAAATCCTGGGATTCCAGGCGTCAGCCACTGCTCTCGGCCCTCTTACACCATTTTGTTTGATTGTCTAGTCCCTGTTTCTTTTTCTTTCTAATCCTTATTCATTTAAGCAAAACCATACATTATCTTTTCCAGTCCTTTCTTGTATTCTTACTGTTTTTTTAAAATAACTTTTTGCCTTAATAGCTCATTGTCACTAATAACTTCTGTGTTCTCCCAGGCAGTGTTATAACAGAAGGGCAATGAAAACATTGGACATGACCATGAGTGCTTCCTTTCCTTAACTCTAGGTTTGTAGTCTGTTTTAAATTAGGATTAGTTCCTGCATTCTGAAATACATTGGCCTAGAACATTTTATCCCAGGCATTTTTGAATAGAAAACAGTTGCGTGCTTTTATTGAAGATTGTTAAAATAATCACCATAGTAACTTGATATGTTAGTATTTTTCTTTTTCCTTTTAGTATGTTTCAAGTGCAGTAATCGTACTTGTCTATCCAGTTTCTATGTATGATACGAGTTGCTTACACGATGCATGGCTAACTTGTTAATTTAGTTTTCTCCTTAGAGACTTTGAGACCCTTAAGAGACAAGATTGAGAAAGAGCCATGTGGCTTGGCTCTAGAAACGTCATTATCATTAGGACCATCAGATTTTAGATTAAGCTGCTATTGAATTAATAAAATCCCAATGAAGCAGAGTTATAGGGATAGATTTATAGCTGGCAGAGTGGTATCAAAGGAGAAAAACAGTGAAAAAGCCAATTTCACTGGTTCGTTCAATCCAGCTTGTTGCTAATATTAGTTACCCTTGTTTTAATGACAGAGAGTGGCTGGAATCTGTAGCTAGGGGAGGGGCAACACTGTTAGATGTGAGGAAAGGAAGTGCCAAAAATGCCTGGACAGATGGCTTGTCCCAAGGCCAGGACACACACTTTAAAATCCAACATTCACCTAAGCAAGTAATTCTTAAAGATCTTACAGAAACGCAGAGTCAATCAGGTTTATAAAGGAAGGCTGAGGGGAGAGAGGAGGCCTGGGGGCCTGGACGAAGAGGCCTAGGACCTGAAGAGACTCCAGCGAGTCTCGGGAAGCCCAGGGGACCTGTCACCATCTGGGCACTTCCCAGGCTCAATGCTCAGCCAGAGTTTGCTGGTGGACCTCAGGATTCGAAGTGTGCAACAGACGGAGTGCGCTTGCTGTTCAGGGCGGCCCCGTGCAGGAGCACCAGCTCACCCTCAGGCATCTCGGACTGGAGGGCCAGCAGAAGGTCAGCAACTTACTCTTAAAACGATTGTTTCGGATCATATTGATCTCTTTCCTTTTTCCTTTTGTCCTTTCACTGTATGACTTGAATCAGTTTTGATTCTATTTGTAAGTGTTTCTTGTCGTGAGGCACCTGCCATGTCTGTTGCGTTTTCCTCGGCAGCGTGTAGGGCTTCAGCTTCCTGGGTTTTCACCCTTCCTGCAGGCACTGTGGGGTCCTGAGGGCCAGTGGGTCCATTTCACCTCTTGCTGCATGATGGTCAGTAGCTGATCTGTTATGGCATTCACTTCCAGATTAATTTTCCGTGTTTGAAGTATGTGCATATGTGCTTTACAGAATAAAACATCTGAATTTATTTGCTCCGCGTCTTCTTCCTCCAGCCGGATGGGTGTTTTCTAAGGGAAGAACGTGTGCGATCAGCAGCTGAGGGTTTTTTGCAAGCTGCTGCTTTGAAATGTCACTTCTCATTTGGACGAGGGGTGGTCATTATTCTGCTGAAGGCAGCCTCACCCAGCACATGCATCTTCCCCCTGAGGGTACAAAACCTCCTGTAGCTTGCTAGACCAACAAGTGCTTGCAGGCCTGACCCTAATCCTGCCCAAGGAAGTAAATAATAAATACCAGCAGGGAGCACTGAATAGACATAGGAGTTCCAAGACACCCCTCTCGGTGACATAAACCCTCAGCATGCACTAAGCCTGTATGCCCAGCCGCAGGTGCCCAGCCCGCTCTGCGGTCTCCTGTTGCAGAGCTCTGGCCCGCTCTAGACCTCCTTTGCCAAGACAGTGCATCCTCTGCAGTTTCCATAGCTAAAGGGAGATCGTATTCACTAATGTGAATCCTTCCCCTTTCCAGCAGCCAGAGGCTCTGTGTCCCTTCCCTTCCCTCCCCAGCAGGTGCTGGGGTCGCAAGGTCAGTCTCATGGTTGAGGAAGGTGCTACTCAATGAGCTCTTTGTTCCTTCTGCCTCCACCTCTCCCTGCCTCCTGCCTGGAACAGGCAAACTCTGCGTGGAGCGCAGTGTTATTTCCTGCTCTCTCCTTGGACTCAAGTATTTGTGTAGGTGGTGATTCCCCTCCATCCCAGTACAGAATACGCCTTGGAGGAGAAGAACTCATGTCTCTCTGCTGTCTTAGCCTGGTAAAACCTGATACGTGCCAGGTTCTCAAGTCAGGTCAGAGGTTTTGCTTTAAAATCATTTCATTTTCCCGGTGGGCCCCCTGTGCTTCCAGTTCCCTCACACTCACGGATCTGTAAGGATTCCCCCAAAAGTGGAATGAACGCACAGACTATAGCACTCCGGAGTCTACTCAAGGTCATTGTGAACTTAGTTGCTGTCTCAAAGAAACATTCTTGCCTGGAGTTCGAGACCAGCCTGGCCAACATAATGAAACCTTGTCTCTACTGAAAATATAAAAATTAGCCGGGCGTGGTGGGGGGTGTCTGTAGTCGCAGCTACTTGGGAGGCTGAGGCCAGAGAATCACTTGAACCTGGGAGGCGGAGGTTGCAGTGAGCTGAGATCACGCCACTGGACTCCAGCCTGGGAAACAGAGCAAGACTTTGTCTCAACAAAATAAGCGTATCCCTGCCCATTTGAGAGCCCACATTGTTTCCACCTCTGAAGACCACGCACACTTCACGTATCACGCTAGTTGTTGATGATGGGAGAACTAGGGTGGTTTGAAAAACTGCAAGAAGAGGCTGGCCATGGTGCTCACACCTGGAGTCCTAGCCCTTGGGGAGGCCAAGGCGGGAGGATCACTTGAGCTAAGGAGTTTGAGACCACCCTGGGCAACCCCGGCTCTGCAAAAAATGCAAAAATTAGCCAGGCGTGGTGGTGGCACATGACTATAGTCCCAGCTACTTGGGAGGCTGAAGTGGGAGGACCACTTGAACCTGGGAAGTCAAGGCTGCACTGAGTTATGATCACACCCCTGTACTCCCTCCTGGACGACAGGCTGAGACCCTGTCTCAAAAAAAAAATGCTAGAAGACTTGGCAGTAAATCATGCTACATCCAAGGGGAAAGAAGCAGGGGTTGAGTTTTGCTGTTGACATTCAGTCTCTTTTCTCCAAATTCTTTTTTCTTTTCTTTCTTTCCTCCTTTACTTCTCTCTCTCTCCTTTCTTTTTTGAGACAGGGCCTCACTCTGTCACCCAGGAGGCTGGAATGCAGTGGTTCAGTCATGGCTCACTGTAACCTTGAACTCCTGGGCTCAAGCAATCCTCCCGCATCTGCCTACTGAGTAGCTGGGACCACAGGTGCACACCACCATGCCTAGATAATTTTTTACATTTTTTTTGTAGAGACAGGGTCTGCTGTATTTCCCAGGCTGGTCTCGAACTCCTGTGCTCAAGCGATTCTCCTACCTTGGCCTCCCCGAAGTGCTGGGATTACAGGCGTGCACCACCACACCTGGTGCCTCCAAACTTTTTTGCTCATTCAATAACATTTCCCAGGATCCTCTTATTGCTGGTCACTCTTCTAAGAGCTGGAGATACAACAGTTCACAGACAGTGCTTGCCCTCTTGGCACTTACCTTCTAGTCATAAGGAGACACAAATACATCATCTGATGGCAGATCATGGGGAGGTGAAGAGGAGCAGGATAGAGAGGATGGACATGATACTTCAGTTGAGGTGCTCACAGAAGGCATCTTGGGGCCAGGCATGGTGGCTCACGCCTATAATCCCGGCACTTTGGGAGGCCGAGGTGGGTGGATCACCTGAGGTCAGGAGTTCGAGACCTGCCTGACCAACATGGCGAAACCCCGTCTCTACTAAAAATACAACAATTAGCTCGGCATGGTGGTGCACATCTGTAATCCCAGCTACTCGGGACGCTGAGGCAGGAGAATCACTTGAACCCGGGAGGCGGAGGTTGCAGTGAGCCAAGATGACGCCATTGTACTCTGCCTGGGCAACAGAGAAAGACCTTGCCTAAAAAAAAGAAAAAAAAAAGACATCTTGGAAGAGGCTCCATTTGTAGATGAACATGGGGAGTTCTGGACCCAGGCACTCCATGTGGAGGCGGCGGGCTGTGCTCCTGGTGCACAGAAGCCATGCTCAGGTGCCCTGGGTCATTGCTAAGTGGAGACTAGGAGTCCTGTAGGGACGTGTCTCCCCATCTGAGGACAGGATTCCCCCAGGCTGCTGCCAGAGGGACCCCAGGGGGTGGTCAGCAGGAGGACGCACAGGGAGACGCTCCTCCAAAGACAGTCCAAGAAGGGAGCTCCCAGAGCTGAAGCACAGCATGGTGGGTGTGAGCTTAGACCCTGACTCCTACAGGCCTGTAACTGTTGCCAAGTGGCTGAGCCTTTTGTTTTGTTTTTGAGACGGAGTCTTGCTCTGTCTGTTGCCTAGGCTGGAGTGCAGTGGCGCGATCTCGGCTCACTGTGACCTCTTCCTGGGTTCCAGCAGTTCTCCTGCCTCAGCCTCCTGAATAGCTGGGATTACAGGCAACTGCCACCACACCCAGCTAATTTTTATATTTTCAGTAGAGACGGAATTTCACTATGATGGCCAGGCTGGTCTTGAACTCCTGACCTCAGGTGATCCACCCGTCTCAGCCTCCCAAAGTGCTGGGATTGCAGGCATGAGCCACCGCGTCTGCGTCTCTGCGTCTATCTGTGGCTGAGCCTCTTGTGCCTCAGTTCCCTCATCTGTAAAACAAGGATGGTGGGACTCATTTTAATGTGGTGAGGATTCAGCACGTCAACACAGTGTGTGGCACACAGTGAATGTTTATTTATTTATTTTTAGAGATAGAGTTTCATTCTGTTGCCCAGGCTGGAGTGCAGTGGCACGATCATAGCTCACTGCAGCCTCGACCTCCCAGCCTCAAGTAGTCTTCCTGCCTCAGCCTTCCGAGTAGCTGAGATTACATCCAGGCACCATCACGTCCAGCTAAGTTTTTTATTATAATTATTTTTTAGAGGCAGGGTCTCGTATTACCCAGGCTGGAGTGCACTGGTGTGATCACAGTCACAGCTCACTGTAATCTCAATCTCCTGGGCTCAAGCGATCCTCCTGCCTCGGTCTCCTGAGCAGCTGGGACTACTGGTGTGCAACACTGAGCCCAACTAACTTTTTTTTTTTTTTGAGACAGAGTCTTGTTCTGTCGCCCAGGCTGGAGTGCAGTGGCACAATCTCAGCTCACTGCAACCTCCACCTCCCTGGTTCAAGTGATTCATCCTTCCTCATCCTCCTGAGTAGCTGGGATTACAGGCACACGCCACCACGCCCGGCTAATTCTTGTATTTTTAGTAGAGACGGGTTTCACCATGTTGGTCAGGCTGGTCTCAAACTCCTGACCTCATGATCCGCCCGCCTCCGCCTCCTAAAGTGCTGGGATTACAGGCGCAACTAATTTTTTAAAGAATTTTTTGGCTGGGCATGGTGGCTCACACCTGTAATCCCAGCACTTTGGGAGGTCAAGGTGGGCAGATCACTTGAGCCCAGTAGTTTGAGACCAGCCTGGCCAACATGCAAAACCCCGTTACTAGAAAAAATAAAAAAAATGAGCTAAGCATGGAGACGCACACCTGTAGTCCCACCTCCCTGGGCGGTTGAGGTGTGAAGATCATCTAAACCCGGGCGATCCAGGCTCCAGTGAGCTATGATTGTGCTACTGCACTCCAGCCTGGGTGACAGAGTGAGATCCTGTCTAAAAAAAAAAGAAGTATTTTTTGGTAGAGATGCAGTTTCGCAGGCTGTTCTCAAACTCCTGGCCTCAAGCAATCCTGTCACCTAAGCCTCCCAAAGTGCCGGAATTACAGGAAATGGTAAGTGGAGGTGTCCGAGAATGCAGCTGGTGTGTCAACCTTGGTTACCCTTTGGAGAGGAGAGTTCACCAAGCAAAGAGAATCTTCCCTAAGCCCTAGTCCTTCATCACCGTGATGCTATCTGTGCTGTGGCTTCTTAACATTCGTTGTGGGGGTATGAGAACCAGTCTCTGAAAGGATGTGTATGTAACAGAAACAAGTTTCACTACATGATAATCACCCTCACTGCATAGGACACACACTGACACGTTTCCATTTAGTCTCTTTTCGTTTAACTAAAACACAGGGCGTGACCAGTACATTGATCGCATGGCCCACAAATGGAAGGCAGCCTGCAGTTTCAAGACACTGATCTAGAAAAAATCTTTTACAGCTGGGAGAGTTCTGACTCTGAATGCCAACATGCTAGCTATCAAGAATTTTGTCTTTTTATTTTTATTTTTTATTTTTTTGAGATGGAGTCTCGCTCTGTTGCCCAGGCTTGAGTGCAATGGCACAATCTCAGCTCACTGCAACCTCCACCTCCTGGTTCAAACAATTATCCTGCCTCAGCCTCCCAAGTAGCTGGGATTACAGGTCCCCACCACCATGCCCGGCTAATTTTTGTATTTTTAGTAGAGACGGGGTTTTGCCATATTGGCCAGGCTGGTCTCAAACTCCTGACCTCAGGTGATCTGCCCACCTTGGCTTCCCAAAGTGCTGGGATTCCAGACGCGAGCCACCACACGCAGCTCCTTTTTTTTTTTTTTTTTGAGACGGAGTTTCACTCTTGTTGCCTAGGCTGGAGTGCAATGGCCCGGTCTTGGCTCACTGCAACCTCCGCCTCCCTGGTTCAAGCGATTCTCCTGTCTCAGCCTCCCAAGTAGCTGGGATTACAGGTGCACGCCACCACACCTGGCTAATTTTTGTATTTTTAGTAGAGACGGCGTTTCACCATGTTGGTCAGGCTGGTCTTGAACTCCTCACCTCAGGCAATCTGCCCACCTTGGCCTCCCAAAGTGCCGGGATTACAGGTGTGAGCCACTGCACCCAGCCCTTTTTTGAGACAGTCTTGCTCTGTCACCCAGGCTGGAGTGCAATGGCGCGATCTCAGCTCACTGCAACCTCCACCTTCTGGGCTCAAGCGATTTTCCTGCCTCAGCCTCCCGAGTAGCTGAGATTACAGGCGCCTGTCACCATGCCCAGCTAATTTTTTTTTTTTTTTTTTTGTATTTTTAGTAGAGACAGGGTTTCGCCATATTGGCCAGGCTGGTCTCAAACTTCTAACCTCAAGTGATCTGCCCCCGTCGGCCTCCCAAAGTGCTGGGATTACAGGCGTGAGCCACCGCAGCAGCTGGGGCTGGTTGAGATTCTAAAGAAAGAAACACTAACTGCCAGGGTGATCAGGCCAGAACATTTATTAGGGGAATTTACTTAGGAGGGCTGCAGTGATCCTCACAACAGTGAGAGAAAAGGGAGGTTCTACCTAGGTATGTCTTCAGTGAGGGGCTCAGGGACAGGAATTTTTATGAGAGTATGAGAAATTTGGCTCAGGACCAGTTTTTTTTTTTTTTTCCAGTGTTTCGAGCAACAATCTAGATGCCTTTATCAGTGTCTGAGAATGTTCAAGGGAACATTCTGCTGGGAAGATCCTGCAGCTGCCTGGGTCACAGCATGGTGAAGGCATGCTGATGTTTAGTCAGGATGCAGGCTCCTTTAAAAAAAAAAATTCTAAAAAAGATATCCCTTAGCAAACTAAACGCAGGAACAGGAAACCAAATACCGCATGTTCTTGATTATAAGTGGGAGCTAAATGATGAGAACACATGGACACATAGAGGGAAACAACACGCACTGGGGCCTATTAGAGGGCGGAGAGTGGAAGGAGGGAGAGGATCAGGAGAAACAACTAATGGGTACTAGGCTTAATACCTGGGTGATGAAATAACCCCCATGACACAAGTGTACCTACGTAACAAACCTGAACCTGTACCCTTGACCTTGAAAGTTAAGAAAAATTTGGGCCAGGTGCGGAGGCTCATGCCTGTAATCCTAGCACTTTCAGAGGCCGAGGAGGGTGGATCACGAGGTCAAGAGATTGAGACCATCCTGGCCAACATGGTGAAACCCCATCTCTACTAAAAATACAAAAATTAGGGCCAGGCACGGTGGCTCAAACCTGTAATCCCAGCGCTTTGGGAGGCCGAGGCGGGCGGATCACGAGGTCAGGAGATCGAGACCATCCTGGCTAATGCAGTGAAACCCCGTCTCTACTAAAAATACAAAAAAATTAGCCAGGCGTAGTGGCGGGCGCCTGTAGTCCCAGCTACTCTGGAGGCTGAGGCAGGAGAATGGCTTGAACCCGGGAGGCGGAGCTTGCAATGAGCCGAGATCTCGCCACTGCACTCCAGCCTGGGTGACAGAGCAAGACTCCATCTCAAAAAAAAACAAACAAAAAAAACCAAAAATTGACTGGGTGGTGGTGGTGCATGCCTGTAGTCCCAGCTACTCAGGAGGCTGAGGCAGGAGAATCACTTGAGCCTGGGAGGTGAAGGTTGCAGTGAGCCGAGTGTGCCACTGCACTCCAGCCTGGTGACAGAGCAAGACTCTGTCTCAAAAAAAAAAAAAAAATTCAAAAGGTATCAACCCAGCCTGGGCAACACAGCAAG
Organism: Homo sapiens; assembly: GCF_000001405.40. NCBI lineage: Eukaryota > Metazoa > Chordata > Mammalia > Primates > Hominidae > Homo > Homo sapiens. The sequence continues at coordinate 66,965,627 of NC_000007.14, forward strand.
ACCCTATCTCCACAAAAAATAAAAAAATTAGCCGGGTGTGGTGGCATACACCTGTAGTCCCAGCTACTTGGAGGCTGAGGTGGGAGGATTGCTTGAGTCCAGCAGTTTGAGGCTACAGTGAGCTATCTTTTTGGCACCAGGGACTGGTTTTGTGGAAGACAGTTTTTCCATGGATGGGGAGTAGTAGGGGATGGTTTTGGGATGAAACTGTTCCACCTCAGATCATCAGGCATTAGATTCTCATAAGGAACATGCAACCCAGATCCCTCCAATGTGCAGTACACAATAGGTGCTCTTATGAGAACCTAATGCTGCCACTGATCTGACAGGGGGTGGAGCTCAGGTGGGAATGCGAGCAATGGGGAGTGGCTATAAATACAGATGCAGCTTCACTTGCTTGCCCGCTGCTCACCTCCTGCTGTGCAGCCTGGGCACTGGAGACCACTGAGCTATGATCACCCCACTGCACCCAAGGCTGGGTGACAGAGCAAGACCCTGTCCCAAAAAAGAAAAAAAGACTGGGCACGGTGGCTCACACCTGTAATCCCAACACTTTGGGAGGCCAAGGTAGGTGGATCATCTGAGGTCGGGAGTTTGAGACCAGCCTCGCCAATGTGGCGAAAACCTGTCTCTACCAAAAATACAAAAAATAGCCAGGCGTGGTGCTGCATGCCTGTAATCCCAGCTACTCGGCAGGCTGAGGCAGGAGAATTGCTTTGGTCCAGGAGGCAGAGGTCACTCTTGTCTCCCAGGCTGGAGTGCAGTGGCACGATCTCGGCTCACTGCAAACTCTGCCTCCCCGGTTCAAGCAATTCTTCCGGCTTCAGCCTCCCGAGTAGCTGGGGTTACAGCACCTGCCACCACGCCTGGCTATAATTTTTTTGTATTTTTAGTAGAGACGGGGTTTCGCCATGTTGCCCAGGCTGGTCTTGAACTCCTGACCTCAGGTGATCCACTCACCTCGGCCTCCCAAACTGCTGGGATTACAGGCATGAGCCACCGTGCCCAGCCCCAAACAAAGTACACTTTTGCTTCAATTTAGTTTCATTGCTGGAAAATACAATGTATGTTAAGACTGTGCAAAAAATCCTTTCTGCAAAATAGAGTTCAGTTCAGGGCTCAAATGAGGATGAACATTTTTCATCTGTGTGAATGTTGGATACGACACTGGAGCCACATGGAACTTGGGACAGATCTTTGCAGAGTCTATGTCTGTATCCCAGGAGTGGGTTGCTATTATTAATATTATCTTTTAGATAGAGCCTCACTCTGTTGCCCAGGCTGGAGTACACTACAGTGGCATGATCATAGCTCACTGCAGCCTCAACCTCCCCAGCTAAAGTGATCCTCCCGCCCCAGCCTCCCAAGTAGCTGGGACCACAGGCAGGCACCACCATGCCCAGCTAGGTTGTTTTGTTTTGTTTTGGCTTGCTATGTTGCCTAGGCTGGTCTTGAACTTTTGGGCTCAAACAATCCACCTCCCTCAGCCTCCCAAACTGTTGGGATTACAGGTGTGAGACACTGCGCCTGGCCACAGGTTGCTATTACATTATTGTGATGATCAGAAAACCCCAAATTTCCAAAGTGACCTCAAGGGGGTGGCATCACCCACCACGGTTCTAGCATCCTGCCCAAGACAGAGCGGTTCCTGATTGCCTCAGCCTTTGACTTTCGACCCACCCTGGGCACCTAGGGCAGCTGTCACCCCCTACCCCCGCAGGCCAGGTCCACCAGCCTGAGGTCTGTTCCTCTTCCTTGGGGTTTACCTGACTGCCCTGCACCTCAAGATGATGATGGCGGCTGAGGAGGGACTGCCCTCTTCCTAGCCCTCCTGGAGGGAGAGGGAATGGATCCAGAGGATGGACCAGCCCTAAAGATGTCCATTTGACACCCAAGGAAGCCCAGTGTTGGGCGTGGTGGTTCCCGCCTATAATCCTAGCACTTTGGGAGGCCAAGGCAGGAGGATCACTTGAGGCCAGCAGTTCGAGACCAGCCTGGCCAACATGGGAAAACGCCGTATCTACAAAAATTACAACAATTAACCGGCCGTGGTGGCGCATGCCTGTAATCCCAGCTACTTGGGAGGCTGAGGCAGGAGAATTGCTTGAATCCAGTAGGCAGAGGTTGCAGTGAGCTGAGATCACGCCACTGCACTCCAGCCTGGGCCACAGAGCAAGACTCCGCCTCTAAAAAAAAAAAAAAGGAAGCCCAGGTTCCACCCAGGCAGCCATTGATGCTGGGAGACAAATGGTATACTTCTTTTATTTCCATCTTGTTTTCTGCATGTATCCTTGCCCCCCCCACCACACACACACACACACACACACACACACACACACACACACACACACACACAAGCAAATCACAGAATGCTGTGGGAACTAGAAGAGGGAGTAACTGTACCCACTGTCATGTGCATTTTTTTCGCACCCAGATACATAATGATAGCCCATACTCTGGGGTGTGGGAAATGCCACCCACAAAGTTGGTAGCACAACACGGCCATGCCATGGATTGGACGAGATGTGCGGCCCGTGTTGGATGATTCACAAATGGCGTGAATTGGAAAGAATGAGCCAAAAATACACAGTGGGAAACCAAAAGGTTGGCCAGAAGTGTGTGATATCTAGAGGATGTGGGATATGCAACTTTTAGTGACAGCGACATTAGAGATCTTGGCCTGGGTTAGATTCCAGAAAAATGAGAGATGTCAAAAGTCTAAGCAAAGCAAGCCAGGCAAAGAAAATCCTGGAGGTGGGTCTGGCCACAATTCGAGTGTCAGCAACAAATGGATGAAGTGTGTGTGTTTGTGTGTGTGCATGCGTGCACGCGTGTGTGTTTCTTAGATGGGACCTTCCAGAGTATATCTTCGGCCAAATTTTTTTTTTTTTTTAGAGACAGGGACTTGCTCTGTCACCCAGGCTGGAGTGTAGTGATGTAAGCATAGCTTACTGCAGCCTCAAACTCCTGGCCTCAAGTGATCCTCTCGCCTTGGCCTCCCAAAACACAGGGATTATAGCTGTGAGCCACTCCACCCAGCCCACTTTCATGTGTCCTATTTATTTTATTTTATAATTTTTTTTTTGGAGATGGGGTCTTGCTATGTTGGCCAGGTTGGTCTTGAACTCCTGGTTCCAAGCAATCTTCCTGCCTTGGCCTCCCAAACTGCTGGGATTATAAGTGTGAGCCACTATGCCCAGACAATCTTCGTGTATCTTTTCTTTTTTTTTTTTTTGAGATGGAACCTTGCTCTGTCACCCAGGCTGGAGGGCAGTGGCGTGATCTCAGCTCACTGCAATCATTGCCTCCCGGGTTCAAGTGATTCTCCTGCCTCAGCCTCCTGAATAGCTGGGATTACAGGCACCCACAACCACGCCCAGCTACTTTTTGTATTTTTAGTAGAGACGAGGTTTCACCATGTTGTCCAGGCTGGTCTCGAATTCCTGACCTCAGGTGATCTGCCTGCCTCGGCCTCCCAAAGTGCTGGGGTTACAGGCGTGAGCCACCACACCTGGCCTCTTCTTTTTTTGAGACAAGGTCTTAGTCACTCAGGCTGGAGTGCAGTGGCTCAATCATAGCTCACTGCAGCCTTGATCTGCTGAGCGATCCTCCTGCCTCAGCCTCCCAAGTAACTGGGACTACAGGTGAGTGTCACCACACCTGGCTTTTCTTTTTTCTTTTTTTTTTTTTTTTTTTTTAGAAACAGGGTCTTGTGATGTCATCCATGCTGGTCTTGAAGTCCTGGGCTCAAGTGATCCTCTTGCCTCAGCATCCCAAAGTGCTGGGATTATAGGCGTGAGCCACTGTGCCCAGCCCATCTTTGTGTATTTTAAGCCCCAATTCTAAAAACCTGAAACATGCATACCTTATTTAGAGCAAACAATGGTGCTTTTCTCCTTGGTAGCCAGTTCTGATTCCTGGTAGCCAGCAATTACTAATGTCCAGGTCATGGACAGGGAGTGGCTTACTGGGAGACAGGAGAACCTAGTGGTTAGCAGGTTGGGTTTAGGATTAGGAGCTGGCTTGCCTGGGTTCAAAATCTGGCACTGATGCTTCTTTGGGTAATTTTGGGCAAATTTCTTTTTTTAAAAAAATAGAGTTGGTTGGGGGGGGGGGTGTCTCACTATGTTACCCAGGCTGGTCTCGAACTCGTGGTTTCAAGTGATCCTCCCACCTCCACCTCTCTAAATGGTGGAATTACAGGCGTGAGCCACTGCCCCCAGCCACAAATTTCTTTTCTTCTTCTTTTTTTTTGAGATGGAGTCTTGCTCTTGTTGCCCAGGTTGGAGTGCAATGGCATGGTCTCAGCTCACTACAATTTCCGCCTCCCAGGTTCAAGCATTCTCCTGCCTCAGCCTCCCGAGAGGCTAGGATTACACGTGCCTGCCACCATGCCTGGCTAATTTTTGTATTTTTAGTAGAGACGGGGTTTCACCATGTTGGCCATACTGGTCTCCTGACCTCACGTGATCCACCTGCCTCGGCCTCCCAAAGTGCTGGGACTACAGGAGTGAGCCACCATGCCCGGCCGCAAATTTCATTTGTACTCTGTATGCCTCCATTTCATCATCTGTAAAAATAGGGATAATAATAGCACTTACTACCCAGCGTTCTTGTGAAGATTAAATGAATTAAGATATGTGAAGCCTGTAGATGGTCATTGTTTTCTGTAATTGGAGGAAGGGTGGTTAGAGTCAGCCTGCCTACCTCACACTCAGTCCATCCAGGGAATTACGTGTGTGCGTGGGACAGTTTTTGCAGGTCAAAACTGCAAAACAGTTTGGCAGAGGCAGGAACAGAGCTGTGTTTACAAGCCCCGCCCCTGTCCTATTCAGGCCCTTCCTACCTCAGTCCCTGTGATACTGGAGGAGGGCAGGGAAGTGCTGGGTAGAGAAAGGCGGGTCCCTGCTAGGGCTGCATCCCCATGGACCTAGGTGAGGACAGGCACATCTGCCTTCATGCCCAAATGTTGCATTTTCCACTTCTTATGACCTTCCTGCTGAAGGATGCAGAGGGCTTGGAGCTCACCCAGCTGCAGTTTCGAGCCCCCATTGGTAATGCCAGTACCTTGGAGTTAGGGCAGGGGAGTGAGGTCGTGGCTGCCCAGCCCTGCCAGAGGTTGCAGGGAGCAGTCAGATAGTTATGTATTGAGTTCTGGTCCTGCAAAGCCAGCCCAAAGCTGCAGGAACCTGGCTGGAGCTGGATGTGGAGGGTGTTTGGGACTGGCCAGCCCTGTGGCAGTCTTCGGCTGGCACAATGGCATGGGTACAAACATGGCATCTGTATCAGCCCATTCTTGCATTGCTATAAAGAGCTACCTGAGACTGGGTAAGTTATAAAGAAAAGAAGCTAAATTGGTTCACGGTTCCACAGGCTGTACAGGAAGCATGGCTAGGGAGGCCTCAGGAAACTTACAATCATGGCAGAAGGCGAAGAGGCACGTCTGCATGGCTGGAGCAGGAGGAAGAGAGTGAAGGGGGAGGTGCCACATACTTTTTTTGGTTTTGTTTTGAGATGGAGTCTCACTCTATTGCCCAGGTTGCAGTGCAATGGCAAGATCTTGGCTCACTGCAACCTCCACCTCCCGGGTTCAAGTGATTCTCCTGCCTCAGCCTCCCAAGTAGCTGGGATTATAGGCATGCGCCACCACACCCAGCTAATTTTTGTATTTTTAGTAGAGATGGGATTTCACCATGTTGGTCAGGCTTGTCTTGAACTCCTGACCTCAGGTGATCCAGCCGCTTTGGTCTCCCAAAGTGCTGGGATTACAAGTGTGAGCCACCACGTCCAGCTGGTGCCACATACTTTTAAACAACCAGATCTTGCGAGAACTCACTATCATAGGAACAGCAAGAGGGAAATCCGCCCCCATGATCCAATCACCTCCCACCAGGCCCCTCCTCCAACACTGGGGACCACAATTCAACATCAGATTTGGGCAGAGACACAAATCCAAACCATATCAGCATCTCAACACAAAAATACCCCTAAAACCTCTGGGCACAGGTGGCAGTGAGCTGAGATCGTGCCACTGCACTCCAGCCTGGGTGACAGAACGATACTCTGTCTCCAAAAAAAAAAAAAATTAAAATTAAAAGGAAGAATAATCTTAGGAAAGAAGTTTTCACATTATATTCAGATTTTTTCTTTTCTTTCTTTTTCTTTTTCTTTCTTTTTTTTTTTTTTTTTGAGATGGAGTCTCACTCTGTCACCCAGGCTGGAGTGCAGTGGCACAATCTCGGCTCACTGCAAGCTCCGCCTCCCGGGTTCACACCATTCTCCTGCCTCAGCCTCCTGAGTAGCTGGGACTACAGGCGCCCACCACCACGCCCAGCTAATTTTTTGTATTTTTAGTAGAGATGGGGTTTCACCATGTTAGCCAGGATGGTCTCCATGTCCTGACCTCGTGATCTGCCCGCCTCGGCCTCCCAAAGTGCTGGGATTACAGGCGTGAGCCACTGCGCCCGGCCTGCAGATTTTTTCTTTACTTCATTTATTTATTTACTTATTTTAAGAGACAGGGTCTCACTCTATTACCCAGGCTGGTCTTGAACTCCTGGGCTCAACAGATCTTCCTGCCTTGGCCTCCCAGTGGGTGAGCCGGTGGACCTGGCCATCTTCAAAAATTGAAATCACTGAAAGGCACCTGGTCATCATTTTCTTGTCAAACTTTTCAATCAGAGCAAGTAATCTGTGGTTGCCCAGCCTTCAGATTAGTAGACTCGAGTGGAGACCAGGCCATATTCCAGGGAGCCACCTCAGGCCTTTTGACCTGGAACGCACAGGTGATTACCACAGCCCAGGGTGATAAAGAACTCATTCCTATGACTTGAAAGGGTGATTTTAATGTGTGCTGGACATTGCCCTAAGTATTTACGCACATTATCTCACTTAGCTCTTTACCAGTGAATGAGGTACCTATTAGCAGCCTCCTTCCACAAATACATTGAAGTTGAGTGAGATTAGATAAATTGCTCACCTGTCTTAGCAAAGGCTTTCTGGTATGAGTTACAGAAACGAACTTCAGCTGAATCTTTTGCAAAGAAAAAGAATATGGGACCCGGGGCGTGGCTCACGCCTATAATCCCAGCACTTTGGAAGGCAAAGGCAGGCGGGTCACCTGAGGTCAGGAGTTTGAGATCAACCAGGCCAACATGGTGAAATCCTGTCTCTACTAAAAATACAAAAATTAGCCAGGCGTGGTGATGGGCACCTGTAGTCCCAGCTACTCAGGAAGCTGAGGCAGGAGAATTGCTTGAACCCGGTAGGTGGAGGTTGCAGTGAGCTGAGATCACGCCATTGCACTCCAGCCTGGGCGACAGAGCGAGACTCCGTCTCAACATAAATTAATAACAAATAAGAAAAAGAATACAGGTGGGCAGCCAAAGTTACTTGTAGGCTCTCAGGATATCTCGCTGAATCCAGGGGCTGATTTGCTACGAGACAGAGGAAGGTGCTGAACCTGGCTCAGGAGACAGCTGGAAACTCAGGTAACAGACCCCAGAGTCCTCTTTTTCTCCACCTGCAGAATGGGTTCTTTCTCTTGGTATCTGTATCCTTGTAGAGAAGCATGGCTGCCCCACAACTCCTGGAATCACAGAAGACAGGTTCAGCCATCTGCAAAAATCCATGATTATTGTTCTGTCCATATTCTAAACTCCTTAGAGAGACAATCGTTATCTTCTTAGCAAAGGTTATTCCTTTTATGTGGTTGCATAAGAGTCTGTCTGTCTCGCTCTCTCTTTCTTCCCCCTTGTGTTGAGAGACAGAGATTCTAGAGAAGAAATGGAAGAATCGTGGGCTGGGCAGATATCCTAAAATGTGCCTGCTGCATACCAACTTTACACAACTAGTAAGGTTTAAATTCCTGTCTTTCCAACTCTGTTTCAAATAGACTCTGGACTGGTCAGCCGCAGTGGCTCACACCTGCAATCCCAGCACTTTGGGAGGCTGAGGCGGGCAGATCACTTGAGGCCAGGAGTTCGAGACCAGCCTGTGCAACATGGCGAAACGCGGTCTCTACTAAACACACAAAAATTAGCCGGGCGTGGTGGCGGGCGCCTGTAATCCCAGCTACTCAGGAGGCTAAGGCGGGAGAATCACTTGAACCTGGGAGGCAGAGGTTGCAGTGAGCAGAGGTCCCATCACTACATTCCAGCCTGGGCGACAGAGCAAGACTACTCCAGCCTGGGCAATAGGGCAAGACTCCGTCTCAAAAAAAAAAAAAAAAAAAAAAAAACACTAAACAGGCCAAGCGAGGTGGCTCCCACCTGTAATCCCAGCACTTTGGGAGGCTGAAGGGGGCAGGTCACCTGAGGTCAGGAGTTTGAGACCAGCCTGACTAAAATGGAGAAACCCCGTCTCTACTGAAAATAGAAAATTAGCCAGGCATTGTGGTGCATGCCTGTAATCCCAGCTACTCGGGAGGCTGAGGCAGGAGGATCATTTGAACCCGGGAGGCGGAGGTTGTGGTGAGCCGAGATCGCGCCATTGCACTCTAGCCTGGGCAACAAGAGTGAAACTCTGTCTCAAAAACAAAGCAACAAACAAATTAAGGAACAAACACCTCTGGCTGGGCTATTCCCACTTCCATAGTACTTTAAAACAAATCTGATACTTTTTTTTTCTTCCCGAGAGGGAATCTCGCTCTGTCGCCCAGGCTGGAGGGCAGTGGGGCAATCTCGGCTCACTGCAAGCTCTGCCTCCCAGGTTCACGCCATGCTCCTGCCTCAGCCTCCCGAGTAGCTGGGACTACAGGTGCCCACGACCACGCCCGGCTAATTTTTTGTATTTTTGGTAGAGACGTGGTTTCACCGTGTTAGCCAGGATGGTCTTGATCTCCTGACCTTGTGATCCACCCACCTCGGCCTCCCAAAGTGCTGGGATTACAGGCGTGAGCCACCGCGCCTGGCCTGATACTTAAGTCTCTGTCAGCCTCTCAAGAGGGCCATCCCATCTATAGCCATATCCCTCTGAAACATCCCATCTCACCAAAAGGACCACCAGGGTTTGAGAAAATCTGCGGCAGATCTTGCTGGGCTGAAGTCTTACGTACGTTTGATCTCTCGGCATTTCTGTTGTGTTCCTCCCTACGCCCCCAGCTCTGAACTGTCTAAATGCCTGTTCTTACCTTAAAATATTGATCTACAAACTAGAATAGTGGTTCTGAAACTTTAGCGTGCATCAGAGTCACTTGGAGAGTTTACTGACTTATAGATTTACAGTTTATTGAGATTAAAAATTGCTGGGCCCCGTCTCTGATTGATTAGGTTTGGAATGAGGTTTAAGATTTTTCTTTTTTGAGACGGAGTCCCGCTCTGTCACCCAGGCTGGAGTGCAATGGTGCGATCTCGGCTCACTGCAACCCCCGCCTCCCAGGTTCAACCAATTCTCCTGCCTCAGCCTCATGAGTGGCTGTGATTGCTGGCGTGAGCCACCACACCCGGCTAATTTTTGTATTTATAGTAGAGATGGGGTTTCGCCATTTTGGCCAGGCTGGTCTCGAATTCCTGACCTCAGGTTATCTGCCTGCCTCGGCCTCCCAAAGTGCTGGGAATCCAGGCGTGAGCCAGCGCGCCCGGCCAAGATTTTGCATTTGTAACAAGTTCTTGTTACCTACGCAGTGGATGAGTTCAGTCGCTTGGTGGATTACAGACAGCTCCCAAAACAGTGCCACTTGGAGAGTGGGGGCTGGGTTGGCTTTTATAGGCCTAGGCTAATGAGTCATGATATGATTGGATCTTGTAGTCAGGTGATGCCAGGAGGTGTGATCTGACTGGATGCTGCAATGGGGTGATGCCAGGGCTCAATCTGATTGGATCCTGGATCCTGGTGGGCTGTGTCTGTTTCTTAATTTAGTCCCCATGCCCCGATCCTAGCACTTAGGATCCCCCTGTGGGTGCAGGCTTGGTTCGTCTGGACGTGCTCAGGTTACATAATCTGAGGGTTCCAGGCAACTGATAAACTAACGACTTTGTTACATAAAAGTTGAAGCAGGCCGGGCGCGGTGGCTCATGCCTGTAATCCCAGCACTTTGGGAGGCCGAGACGGGCGGATCACGAGGTCAGGAGATCGAGACCATCCTGGCTAACACGGTGAAACCCCATCTCTACTAAAAATACAAAAAATTAGCCGGCCTGGTGGCACACACTTGTAGACCCAGCTACTCAGAAGGCTGAGGCAGGAGAATGGCGTGAACCCAGGAGGCGGAGCTTGCAGTGAGCCGAGATTGAGCCACTGCACTCCAGCCTGGGCAACAGAGCGAGACTCTGTCTCAAAAAAAAAAAAAAAAAAAAGTTGAACCAGATTGGTCTAGTGCAGCTACAGGCGCGGTGGCTCACGCCTGTAATCCCAGGACTTTGGGAGGCTGAGGCAGGCGATCCTAATGGTGTATCCCCACTTTGAGAACTACTTAACTAGAAGAAGCCAAAGTCACGAATACATCCCCTAATGCAAAGCCTCACAACTAGCAGGCGATCAATACATGCTTATTTTATAAACTTCCTAATGCAGAGAGTCCAATTTTTCTCTATTTCTTCACGTCGATTTAATTACTTAGATTGGAGTCTTTGTCAGCCGGGCGCAGTGGCTCACTCCTGTAATCCCAGCACATTGGGAGGCTGAGGCGGGGGGATCACCTGAGGTCAGGAGTTCGAGACCAGCCTGACCAACATGGAGAAACCCCATCTCTATTAAAAATACAAAATTTGCCGGGCGTGGTGGTATATGCCTGTAATCCCAGCTACTTGGGAGGCCGAGGCAGGAGAATCGCTTGAACCTGGGAGGCGGAGGTTGCGGTAAGCTGAGATGGCGCCATTGCACTCCAGCCTGGGCAACAAGAGCGAAACACCGTCTCAAAAAAAAAAAAAAAAAGATTGGAGTCTTTGTCCAAAACATGCTGTTTCAGAATTAAGCGGTGGGGGGGGGGGGGGGGAATAATTGTAATAAAAAGTTCTGTTTGCCTTTATTATTTATGCATTTATTTATTTTCAGGACGGAGTCTCTCTCTGTCACCCATGCTGGAGTGCAGTGGCCTGATCCTGGCTCACTGCAACCTTCGCCTCCAGGGTTCAAACGATTCTTCTGCCTCAGCCTCCTGAGTAGCTGGGATTACATGATGTCTGGAATCTATGAATAACATTGGTTTCTAAGTTATGAGTTGAGTTTTAACTACTGGGTTTAGACCAGGCAGGCCCAGGCGTGGTTTCGGGCATGGCGCTGGGCTGCCTGTCTTTGGTTTTACTTCCTTGTTGTTTTTTCTTAAAACAGGTACTGAGTATAAAACAATATAAAACAATATGAGAGGATCTCTCTCTTCCCTCATCACTGTGTTAGCCAGGCTGGTCTCGAACTCCTGACCTCAGGTGATCCATCCACCCTTGGCCTCCCAAAGTGCTGGAATTACAGGCGTGAGCCACTGCACCTGGCCCTATGTTTGCCTTTATAAATAAGATTTATTTTAGCTCTTCTTTCTTTCTAATGCAAAGTACTTTAACAATTTTAAAAAATTAAGTGTTTCAATCGGGTGGGTATGGTGGCTCATGCCTGTAATCCCAGCACTTCTGGAGGCTGAGTCAGGAGGATCGCTCGAGCCCAGGGGGTTGAGACTAACCTGGGAAACATTGTGAGACCCCATCTTTATTTTTAAAAATGATTTCAATACAGAAAATGCCTGTTATTGCCATAAAGAGCTATCTTGATAGCTGGACCATTGCACTTCAGGAGTAGCTGTTGTATGGCAGCCGTGGAAATTGTGCAGTGCTCAGCCTGTGCAACCACATGTGGCAGCCTGGTGGAGAGTTTCTCTGCGATAAATAGTAATGAAATATTTCTCTCCCTCCCCACTTTTCAAAGCTTCTTTTTTTTTTTTTTTTTCTGAGACAGTTTCACTCTTGTGGCCCAGGCTGGAGTGCAATGGCGTGATCTCAGCTCACCGCAACCTCCGTCTCACGGGTTCAAGCAATTCTCCTGCCTCAGCCTCCCGAGTAGCTGGAATTACAGGCATGCGCCACCATGCCCAGCTAATTTTGTATTTTTGGTAGAGACAGGGTTTCTCCATGTTGGTCAGGCTGGTCTCGAACTCCTGACCTCAAGTGATCCGCCTGCCTTGGCCTCCCAACTTGCTGGGATTACAGGCCTGAGCCACCGCCTGGCCTCAAAGCTTCTTTTGTTAAAGGTTTGGGCTATTTTTTAGTAACTTTTAGTCTCATTGCATTTTTTCCCAGCTTCCTTTCCTTTTTTTTTTTTTTTAATTGAGACCGAGTCTTGCTTTGTTACCGAGGTTGGAGTGCAGTGATAAAATCTTGGCTCACGCCAACCTCCACCTCTCAGGTTCAAGCGATTCTCCTGCCTCAGCCTCCCAAGTAGCTGGGATTACAGGTGCCCACCACCACGCCCGGCTAATTTTTGTATTTTTAGTAGAGATGGCATTTCACCATGTTGGCAAGGCTGGTCTCGAACTCCTCACCTCAAGTGATATGCCTGCCTCAGCCTCCCAAGTGCTGGGATTATAGGCATGAGCCACCGCACCCAGCGCTTTCCTTTTCTCTTGATGTGACTTGCTAAACCACTTGACAAAGAAGCTGAGGTTATTAGGCTTTTCTTTTCACAAATAAGGTGAATGAATCATAAGCCCATGTCTGCTGCTTTATTTACTGAATTAGTGTTCTAAAAATAAAACAGCACTCTTTAAGTCCAACATTTATACCTAAATTCTGGGCCCTGAAATGTAATTGTGCACCTGGGCCCGTATTTAACTTCAAATTCTCCATCTGTGTAAGATGCATAATACCAGGTCTACTATGCAGACAGTTACGGTAAGTCAGACGATGTCTGAAAAACACTTGAGACACACAGTTGCCATGTTCTGTGTACTGACGGAAAGTATGAAATTAGCAAAACATGCAGGGAATATTCAGCTGTATTCATTACTGTGTTTGGGCAAAATACGGTAAAGAAATTGCTCAGCATAGTTTCTCTGAAGATGTTTGGGTATACTTAGTATGCTTTGCAAACCTTGGAATTGGATTTAATTTTTACTTAGAGAATTAAGCATCTAATTATTGCCACAAAAAATAGTAGATTAAGGCCATGCACAGTGGCTCACGCCTGTAATCCTAGCACTTTGGGAGGCTGAGGCAGGTGGATCACCTGGGTTCAAGGGTTCGAGACCAGCGTGGCCACTGTGATGAAACCCCGTCTCTAATAAAAAAAAAAAATTTAGCTGGGCATGGTAGGGGGCGCCTGTAATCCCAGCTACTTGGGAAGCTGAGGCAGGAGAATCACTTGAACCCAGGAGGCGGAGATTGCAGTGAGGAGAGATTGCCCCACTGCACTCCAGCCTGGGCAACAGAGCGAGACTCTGTCTCAAACAAACAAACAAAATAGTAGATTAAGTTTGGGCAACATAGGAAGACCCTGTCCCTACAAAAAGTTAAAATAATTAGCTAGGCGTGGTGGCACAAGCCTGTAGTTCCAGCAACTCTGGAGGCTGAGGCAGGAGGATTGATTGAACCTAAGAGTTCTAGGCTGCAGAGAGCTATGATTGCACCACTGCACTCTGTTACAGATGTATACATGTACTGAGTCATGATGGAAAATGGATTGATTTAGAAATGTTTGGGTATGATGGCTTGCTCATTGCCCTTCTATGGTTCACTATAGCTTAGGCTATTTGGAGAAAAGCAAAACATTTGAAAGCTGAAACATTCAAAACATTCAAAGATTCAAAGCTGAAATCTGTGATCCATGCCATGAAACTCAAGGAAAAAAAAATGCGGCAGTTATTTTAGTGGCACCAAGTCCTGGGGCTCCTGGATCCCAGCCTAGGAGGAGAGGGACGTGAAGAAAAGTAAGGGCCAGCACATTTTGACTGTTCTGGGGAAAAGGAACTGCAGCAAGAAGTAACTGCTCTGCTCAAAACATTCCTATTCTCTCTCTCTCTCGTCTCACTCTGTCACTCAGGCTGGAGTGCAGTGGTGCGATCTCGGCTCACTGCAACCTGTGCCTCCTGGGTTCATGTGATTCTCCTGCCTCAGTCTCCCTAGTAGTTGGGATTACAGGTACCTACCACCACTCCCAGCTAATTTTTTGTATTTTTAGTAGAGAAGGGATTTCACCATTTTGGCCAGGCTGGCCTCGAACTCCTGACCTTGGGTGATCCGCCTGCCTCAGCCTTCCAAAATGCTGGGATTATAGGCATGAGCCAACGCGCCTGGCCAGCCTCTCTTTATTGGGAGCTTTCCATCCACTCTCCATCTCTTCTGCCTTTTCTTTTTAAATCTCCTCATCACTTCCTTGCAAACTCTCCATGCCTCCTAGTGCCTGAGGTAGGTATAAGACAGCTTGAAACCAGTAATCTACAATTCTTTCCTGGGCTTTCCGTTCTCACAACAGAGTCTGTGTCACCTGCTAAGGTACTGAAACTGACTCAGTTCTTTCATAGAGCAGATGTTTATGGTTTCTTTTGAATAAACATAGAAATTGACACTTCTAGCCTGGTGTGGTGGAGTGTGCTGGTATTCCCAGCTACTTGGGAGGCTGAGGCGGGAGGATCCTTTGAGCCCAGGAGTTCTGGGCTGTAGTGCGCTATGCCAATCAGGTGTCTGCACTAAGTTTAGCATCAACTTCCTGGGAGTGGGGGACCACCAGGTTGCTTAAGGAGGGGTTAACCAGTTCAGGTCGGAGACTGAGCAGGTCAAAACTCCTGTGCTGATGAGTAGTGGCATCACGCCTGTGAATAGCCACTGCACTTCAGCCTGGGCAACATAGTGAGACCCTGTCTCAAAACAAAACAAAAGCAAAAGCAAAAAGAGAAACAAATTGACCTTTCCAGTCTTGAAATTTGAGAAAGTGACATTTGCCTTATCTGAGTTCCTTTCTCAGGAAATCAACCATCAAGCCTCCCAGATGGTATCAAGGAACTGAAACTTACCAGATCACTGCATTTGGACAATGAGATGCAGAACCCCTCATCTGTCATAATGGCCTAACAGACCACCTGCTGCCTGTTGATCAACTCCTCTTCCTTACCCCTCCCTAATTCCTGTTTTACTGCATGTAGTTACATTTCTTCCTTCCTATATAAACCTCTAATTTTAGTTGGTCAGGGAGACAAATTTGAAACTGATCTCCCATCTCCTTGGCTGGAGCACCCAATTAAAGCCTTCTTCCCTGGCACTACTGATTGGCTTTCTGTGCAGCAAGCGGCAGGACCTACACCAAACCCCTGGCATTTTGGCAACAGCACTGGTCATGCTAGGGAAAAAGTTCAAGATCTCAACTTCCAAGACCCAGGGAAGCCTCTCACAATTTCTAAAGGGCAGGGCAGAAGAGATCTTTGAAAGTGAATCTGAATGAGAATAAAAGTGCAGTTTCACTTTAAATTTTCCAAAAAGCTTATTAAATTGGTATTTTCATATGCTTTTGAAAACTTTATTTATTTATTTATTTAGAGACAGAGTCTCACTCTGTCACCTAGGTTGGAGTGCAGTGGCGTGCTCTCGTCTCACTGCAACCTCTGCCTTTCAGGCTCAAGCGATTCTCCTGCCTCAGCCTCCTGAGTAGCTGGGATTACAGGTGGCACCACCACCATGCCCAGCTAATTTTTGTATTTTTTTTTTTTTTTGAGACAGATTTCGCTAGTTTCGCCCTTGTTGCCCAGGCTGGAGTGCGATGGTGCAAACTTGGCTCACTGCAACCTCCACCTCCCTGGTTCAAGTGATTCTCCTGCCTCAGCCTCCCAAGTACGTGGGATTACAGGTGCCCACCACCACATCCAGCTGATTTTTTGTGTTTTAGTGGATATGGGGTTTCACCATGTTGGCGAGGCTGGTCTTGAACTCCTGTCCTCAAGTGATCCACCAGCCTTGGCATCCCAGAAGGATGGGATTATAGGCATGAGCCACTGCGCCTGGCCTAATTTTTATATTTTCAGTAGAGATGAGGTTTCACCACATTGGCCAGGCTGGTCTCGAACTCCTGACCTCAGGTGATCCGCCTACCTCTGCCTCCCAAAGTGCTGGGATTGCAGGCATGAGCTACCGTGACTGGCTGAAAACTTTATTTCAAAACTAATCATGCTGGTTGTAATATGCTTGTGTAGGTTACATGTATATTTTTCCACAGATTTTTCTATGCTCTTTCAACCGTATATACACCTGTACACACATATTTAGGGTTTTTCCTCCAAAAAAGTGACAAAAATGGGATCACGCCATAATACATTCCTCCATAGTTTTATTCCCTCTTCCATCTCTACCCCTCCTCCACTTATTACCATGGACATCCCTGTAGGACATACGGGAAGATGTCTCATTTGTTAAAATATACTTAATATTCCACAATAGGCTGGGTGCAGTTGCCCACACCTGTAATCCCAGCACTTTTGGGAGGCTGAGATGGGCCGGATCACCTGAGGTCAGGAGTTCAAAACCAGCCTGGCCAAAATAGGGATACCCTGTCTTTACTAAAAGTACAAAAATTAGCCAGGCATGGTGATGCGTGCCTGTAGTCCCTGCTATTCAGGAGCTGAGGCAGGAAAATCACTTGAATCCGGGAGTTGGAGGTGGCAGTGAGCTGAGATTGCACTACTGCACTCCAACCTGGGCAACAGGGCGAGACTCCATCTCAAAAAAAAAAAAAAAAAAAAAAAAAAATCCACAATAAGTAGATGTTACAATTCATTTAACTATAGGTTGAGTATCCCTAATCTGAAAAAAACCCCAAATTAGAAACATAATGCTCAAAGGAAATGGTCCCTGAGCATTTTGATTTTTGAATTTTTGAATTAGGCATGAAAATATGCCAAAATCTGAAAAAATATCTGAAATTTTAAATACTTATTTCCCAAGCATTTGGAATAAGTGATACTCAGCCTATATTTGCTATTGATGGCCATTTTCAGTTTTTACTAATACAAGCAGAAAATAACATTAGAATTTAGGTAATTTTATTTCTGGCAGATAGATGCCTAAAGAGCAATCAATTGCTGTATCAAATGGTGCACATGGCCAGGTACAGTGGTTCATGCCTATAATCTCAGGGCTTTGGGAGGTCGGGGTGGTAGGATTGCTTGAGGCCAGGAGTTTGAGACCAGCCTGAGCAACATAGCAAGGCTCTGTATCTACGAAAAATAAAAAAAAATTAGCCGGGCATGGTGGTGCCTGCCTGTCTTCCCAGGTACTCAGGAGGCTGAGGTGGGAGGATCACTTGAGCCAGGGAGGTTGAGGCTGTAGTGAGCAGTGATCTTGCTACTGCACTCCAGCCTGGGCGACAGAGCAAGACCCTCCTCCTGCAACAACAACAACAAAAAAAAGTGCACATATTTAAAAATTTTAAGATACCACCAGGCCAGGTGCAGTGGCTCATGCCGTAATCCCAGCACTTTGGGAGGCTGAGGCAGGTGGATCTCCTGAGGTCAAGAGTTTGAGACCTGGCCAGGCATGGTGGCTCACTCTTGTAATCCCAGCACTTTGGGAGGCTGAGGCAGGCGGATCATGAGGTCAGGAGTTCGAGACCAGCCTGGTCAACACAGTGAAACCCCGTCTCTACTAAAAATATAAAAATTAGCTGGGCATGGAGGCGGGTGCCTGTAATCCCAGCTACTGGGGAGGCTGAGGCATGAGAATTGCTTGAACCTGGGAGGTGGAGGTTGCAATGAGCCGAGATCACGCCACTGCACTCCAGCCTGGGTGACAGAGCTAGACTTCATTTCAAAAAAACAAAACAAAACAAAAAAACAGAGTTTGAGACCAGCCTGGCCAACATGGTGAAACCTCGTCTCTACTAAAAATACAAAAAAAAAAAAAAATTATCTGGGCGTGGTGGCATGCACCTGTAATCCCAGCTACTTGGAGAGGCTGAGGCAGGAGAATCGCTTGAACCCAGGAAGCAGAGTTTGCAGTGAGCCAAGATCGTGCCACTGTACTCCAGCCTAGGCAACAAAGGGAGACTCCATCACAAAAAAAGATACCACCAAATTACTTTCTTGAAAGGTTAGAGCCAGTTATGCTTCTATCAGTAAATGCATGAACGTGCCTGTTCCTTCACTTCCTTGCCAATATCACAATTAATCTCTTACCTTTTCTTCAATATGATGGGTAGAAAATGATTTCTCATTGTTTAGCATTTCTCTGAGAGAAGCTGAATATCCTATTTTGCATTTAATTTTAAATTAATGTGTCAATTTTCCCCATGCTTAGGGGTGAATATTAGACCTTTTTCTTGGTTGGTCATAACTTATTGGCATTTTACCTGTCTTACCTGTTGCACATATTTTCTCCTAGCCATAATTTTTTTTTTTTTTTTTTTTTTTTTTTTGAGACAGAGTCTTATTCTCTGTCGCCTAGGCTGGAGTGCAATGGCACAATGTCAGCTCACTGCATCCTCCGCTTCCTGGGCTCAAGAGATTCTTCTGCCTCAGCTTCCTGAGTAGCTGGGATTACAGGCGCGTGCCACCATGCTCAGATAATTTTTTTTTTTTTTGTATTTTTAGTAGAGACAGGGTTTTACCATGTTGCCCAGGCTGGTATTGAACTCCTGACTTAAAGTGATCCACCAGCTTTGGCCTCCCAAAGTGCTGGGATTACAGGCATGAGCCACTGTGCCTAGCTGAGCCATAATATCTTTAAACTTTTTTCTTGAGACAGGGTCTCACTGTGTTGCCTAGGCTGAGTGCAGTGGCCTGATCATGGTTCACTGCATCCTCAACCTCTCAGGCTCAAGCAATCCTCCTACCTCAGCCTTTCTAGTAGCTGGGACTACAGGCATGTGTCATTATACCCAGTTAATTCTTTTTTTTTTTTTTTTGAGACGGAGTCTTGTTCTGTCGCCTAGGCTCAGGCTGGAGTGCTATGGTGCAATCTCAACTCACTGCAACCTTTGCCTCCCGGGTTCAAGCGATTCTCCTGCCTCAGGCTCCCAAGTAGCTGGGACTACAGGCACGTGCCACTACACCCGGCTAATTTTTTGTATTTTTAGTAGAGATGGGGTTTCACCGTGTTAGCCAGGCTGGTCTTGAACTTCTGACCTCAGGTGATCTGCCCGCCTCAACCTCCCAAGTGCTGGCATTACAGGCGTGAGCCACTGCACCCAGCCTACACCCAGTTAATTCTTTAATTTTTGTACAGACAGAGTCTTGCTATGTTGCTCAGGCTGGTCTTGAACTCCTGGACTCAAGCGATGCTCCTGCCTTGGTCTCCCAAAGTGCTGGGATTATAGGCATGAGCCACTGTGCCTGGACTCTTTAAACTTTCTTTAAAGTGTCTTCTGTCATTCTGAAATTTTACATTTTTATGTAGTTAAATCTGTTGGTATTTTCCTTGATAATTTTTAGGTTTCTGTTTTTCTTAAGAAAGTCTTTTAACCCTTAGGTTAAATATTTCCTTATATTTTCTACTAACTCACAGTTTTTTGTTGTTGTTGTTTGTTTGTTTTTTGAGATGGAGTCTCGCTCTGTCGCCCAGGCTGGAGTGCAGTGGTGTGATCTTGGCTCACTGCAATCTCCATCTTCCAGGGTCAAGTGATTCTCCTGCCTCAGCCTCCCGAGTAGCTGGGACTACAGACACGTGCCACCACTCCCGGCTAATTTTTTGTATTTTTAGTAGAGACGGGGTTTCACCGTGTTAGCCAGGATGGTCTCCATCTCCTGACATCGTGATCCGGCAGCCTTGGCCTCCCCAAGTGTTGAGATTACAGGTGTAAGCCAGTATCTGATAGTTTTATGTTTACATTTAGTTCTGATATAAAATATATTTTTTTTGAGATGGAGTTTTGCTCTTGTCACCCAGGCTGGAGTGTAGTGGCAGAATCTTGGCTCACTGCAACCTCTGCCTCCTAGGTTCAAGAGATTCTCTAGCCTCAGCCTCTTGAGCAGCTGGGATTACAGGCGGCCGCCACCATGCCCAGCTAATTTCTTTTTTTTTTTGAGTCAGCGTCTCGCTCTGTCACCCAGGCTGGAGTGCAGTGGCTCACTGCAACCTCTGCCTACCAGGTTCAAGTGATTCTCCTGCCTCAGCCTCCTGAGTAGCTGGGACTAGAGGCATGCGCCACCGTGCCCAGCTAATTTTTGTATTTTTAGTAGAGACAGGGTTTCAGCATGTTGGCCAGGATGGTCTCGATCTCTTGACCTCGTGATCTGCCTGCCTTGGCCTCCCAAAGTCTTGGTATTACAGGCGTGAGCAACCACAGCCAGCTAATTTTTGTATTTTTAATAGAGACTGGGTTTCGTCATTTTGGCCAGGCTGGTCTTGAACTCCTGACCTCAGGTGATCTGCCCACCTGGGCCTCCCAAAGTGCTGGGATTACAGGCATGAGCCACTGTGCCTGGTCCACGTGTTTATTATTTCAGACATTTACTCCACATCTGCTAGGTCCAAAGCATGGTGGGATATACACACACATTGCTAAGTCCCTTGCCCTTAAGGAGCTCACAGTCTAGCCTGAAGGCAGATAATTAAGCAGCTCTAATACAAGTTTGAATAAATCCAGACCCATGAAGGAATTTAAGTAGAGTACTGGCTTCCAGCAACTGGAGCAAATACTTGTGTATGGGGTACAAGGGAAGCTTCAGAGAAAAGAACTGTGGTAAAAGAAGAGGCCTAAGTCTGAAATGTCATTGTGACCAAATGCACACACCATCAGCTTGCATTGAAAAAGTCAAACCAATCCTTAAAATAATCCATTATGGCTGTGGTACTGGGAAGATGATCATGAACCAAAAAATGTTAAGTTCTTTGATAATGAAATTAGTATAAAATTAAAAAAATAAGTTTAGATGATGACTCAGATGTGATCCACATTTGACATTTCTTGAAGTTCCAGCTTTTTAGAAAAAATGAATATTCAGAATCAGAAAATCTTTGTTTTGAGATGGGGTCTGGCTCTGTTGTCCAGGCTGGAGTGCAGTGGGGTGATTTTAGCTCACTGCAACCTCCGCCTCCCGGGCTCAAGTGATCCTCCTGCCTCAGCCTCCCAAGTAGTTGGGAAAACAGGTGCACACCACCATGCCTAATTTTTTGTATTTTTGTAGAGACGGGGTTTCACTGTGTTGCCCAGGCTGGTCTCAAACTCCCAAGCTCAAGTGATTCACCCGCCTTGGCCTCCCAAAGTGCTGGGATTACCGGTGGGAGCCACTGCGCCTGGCCCCAGAAAATCTTAAGGAAATGTTCTATTAAATGTTTATATTTTTTTACTAAGATAGAACTATTGATATATTGAACAAATAGCTGTATCAAAACAGCAGCCTAGCTTTAGCATTAACAGAAAAAGTGTTCATTCCCATGTTATCAATGTATTTTGTTAACAATATAAGAAAAAATTTTGACTTTATAACCTCAATGTTAGTTATTTTAAACTAAAGGGACATTTCTGAGAGCTTGTATTAGCAGGGAGTTGTGTGTGCTTATAAACCAATCAGTACCTTTTCAAGTCAAGAAGCCTGTCTTCAGTTAAAAACTGCTGTCCAGAAATACATCTGTATGTTTATTTTGAGTGAATTTAATTTATATTCTAGAATGTATCTTTTGAAATAGATTTTTTTTCTTTTTTTTGGAGACCGAGTTTCACTCTGTCACCTAGACTGGAGTGCAGTGGCACATTCTCAGCTCATTGCAACCTCTGCCTCCTGGGTTCAAGTGATTCTCCTGCTTCAGCCTCCCGAGTAGCTGGGACTACAGGCGTGCACCACCATGCCTGGCTAATTTTTGTATTTTTAGTAGAGACAGGGTTTCACCATGTGGGTCAGGCTGGTCTCAAACTCCTGACCTCAGGTGATCCGCCTGCCTCGGCCTCCCAAAGTGTTGGGATTGCAGGTGTGAGTCACCTCCCCTGGCCTTGAAGTAGATTTTTAAAAGCTTGCATCTTGTCCATTTAAGTGTTTAAATACTAAAATAATTCTTCCCAATTACATCCCAAGTGTTAGCAAAAATTTTTCAGGTGTTTACAAGTACAGGCCCTGTTCTAAGCACTCTTCATATGGACTTATTCAGTTCTCCTGACAACTCCCTAACCCTACCACAGACACAGGCAGAGAAAAGAAAGGGAGTTAGGAAGTTGTCTAGAAACACAAGCCATAGTTTAATAAACATAAGAGTGGTTTTATTGATTACATACAATTTTAGCTATATTAATATATATTATAAACTTTAAGAATTAGAAATAAGTGACTTTTATTTTTTAACCAAGAATAATCTAAGTTATGGCAGCATGTTCAATGAAAGGTAAGTCCGGCACAATTTTTCTATATCTGTTTCTCAGATAATCAGGAACATCATCCAAGCTTTACATTACGATACCATAATGACCCTCAGAACACAAGTTCCATTAAGTAGAAATGAAGCATCATATGTTTTCTTTTTTAGGAAAGACCCCCCCTTTTGTTGTATAGACATACCCCTAATAATCTTACTCTACTGTACAAATAACTTTTCACCCACAAGAGCTGCCTCAAGTAACTTTCATTTTGGAAAGCTATCAAGGCATGAGACAGAGTAGCAAAATGCCACTCTGGACTTTGCATCTTGGAGTTTCAATTTTGCTTTAGGATTTAGACCCCAGTTTATAATTAAAACCAAATCATTCCCACATTATTATACTTATGTAGGAAAGCCTTGCTGTGTCCACTGTTAACACAAAGATAGAAAATGTCAAATAGTTTAAGCAAGTATTTGGCAGACCACAGACATGAAACAGTGCCGTCGGAAACGGAAACACTTTAGTGTTTTAGAGGTGAAGAGATTGATGGGTGTCATTCAAATTTCTCATCTCCTTCTTCTACATCTTTCAGATTGAGTACTTCCAAAGAACCTTTGCCTTTAGTTTCCTTTTTTATTAGCTCATCAATTTCTCGGAAGCAGCCCGGGTCAATCAGACATACCTGAAACATTTAACGTAGCAGATTACCACATGAGGATGAGCAAGACACAGAATAAACTCAGCTTTAACTTCCTTTGAGGCAAGCACAATGCTGTCCAGATCTCTAATAATACCACAGTTCTATGGTGCAATAGATAAGACAATGGGTAGGGCGGCACACTGGGTTCCAGTTTAGCCTCTGCCCTCAAGTGTCCATGTAGCCCCCTGTGACAAGGCATTAATCCCTATGTTTAAACACTTATTCTGATTCTTCAGCTGTAAATGGAAGGGACAAACTAGAAAACTCTGATTCTTCTCATACTAAAATTTAGCATTACATTTTATAGCTCAGTAAAGTCACCTCCACGTATGAAGGAGAAAAAGCAATGTGAAGACTTATGTAGACACCATGTGTATGTTAATTTATTTTTTTTTGAGATAGAGTGCAGTGGTGTGATCTTGGCTCACTGCAGCCTCCGCCTCCCAGGTTCAAGTGATTCTCCTGCCTCAGCCTCCCAAGAAACTGGGATTACAGGAACCCACCACCACACCTGGCTTATTTTTTGTATTTTTAGTAGAGATAGGGTTTCACCATGTTATCTGCTCACCTTGGCCTCCCAAAGTGCTGGGATTACAGGCACGAGCCACTGTGCCTGGCCCATGTGTACAGTTTTGCAAAGATTTTAGAACTTCAAGTAGTGTCAGATGAGTTAGTTCACATCTACAGTGGATACTCACATACTCAACACTTCTCTACAGCTCATTTACTTTTAAAAAGAAGCTGCAGACAGGGCGCGGTGGCTCAAGCCTGTAATCCCAGCACTTTGGGAGGCCGAGGCGGGTGGATCACCTGAGGTCGGGAGTTCGAGACCAGCCTGACCAACATGGAGAGACCCCGTCTCTACTAAAAATACAAAATTAGCTGGGCGAGGTGGCACATGCCTGTAATCCCAGCTACTCGGGAGGCTGAGGCAGGAGAATCGCTTGAACCCGGGAGGCAGAGGTTGCAGTGAGCTGAGATCACGCCATTGCACTCTAGCTTGGGCAATAAGAGTGAAACCCTGTCTCAAAAATAAATAAATAAATAAATAAATAAATAAGCTGCAAAGCCTTGAAAACATGAATTTGTAGACAGCTCAATTTACACTGTGTTTGAAGCTGTGGGGTGAGGTCATAAGGACATAATGGTTTCGCTGCTTCTTTAAAATGTTCTGTGTTTAGTGTCACCAGGTTCACACACTAATATCCTCTGGAAACACCCTCACAGACATACCCCAAACAATGCTTTATCAGGCTTCTAGGGATTCCTTTCCAGTCAAGTTGACACCTAAAATTACATCCACAATTCCACCCCTTATCAACTTGGCACCCAGACTCATCTCTTTAAACCATTTTTAATTTTCAAATGAAGACAATAACAAGGTCCTAGCTTTTCCTCACATGATGCAATTAACCAGACGCGACTATCCTGCATACAACTCAAAGAGTGCTAATCCTTTTGCCAGAATTCAGCTTTCAGAATTTCATCATTCAGAATTCAATCTTTTTTTTTTTTTTTTGAGATGGAGTTTCGCTCTTGTTGCCCAGGCTGGAGTGCAATGGTGCAATCTTGGCTCACCGCAACCTCTGCCTTCCAGGTTCAAGTGATTCTCCTGCCTCAGCCTCCCGAGTAGCTGGGATTACAGGCATGTGCCACCACGCCAGACTATTTTGTATTTTTAGTAGAGACAGGGTTTCTCCATGTTGGTCAGACTGGTCTCGAACTCCCGACCTCAGGTGATCCACCTGCCTTGGCCTCCCAAAGTGCTGGGATTACAGGCATGAGCCACCGCGCCCAGCCAGGATTCAATCTTTTGGAACTGTGATTTTCAAGATATTAGAAGTTCAGGCTTTGGACTTTAGAGATTTTGATTTTTTTATGATTTCAACATTGGGATTGTGGCATTTGGGATTGTCTTTTAGGATTATGATCAGCACTGGAGTAAAGCATGCAATTGAGCTATCTCTGAAAACTCAATGTAAATTTCCATAGTGTGCTTTGTACTAATTTTTGCAAAATTTTTAAGGTAATTGGAATTATCAATCTTCCACTAAAATAGCAATTTTTAAGTGGCTTATTTTAAATAGTTGCTAAATTTGCTAAAATCATGTATCTAAAACACTACGCATAATATATGACAAAAATAAATGCTGGGAAAAAAATAAAAGGATTTGTGGTAAACAAGGCTGACCAACCTTTAGTCTTAAGAAAATATCTGGCTGGGCGCGGTGGCTCACGCCTGTAATCCCTGCACTTTGGGAGGCTGAGGCAGGTGGATCATGAGGTCAGGAGATCAAGACCGTCCTGGCTAACACGGTGAAACTCCGTCTCTACTAAAAAATACGAAAAATTAGCCAGGCTTGGTGGCGGGTGCCTGTAGTCCCAGCTACACAGGAGGCTGAGGCAGGAGAATGGCGTGTACCCGGGAGGCGGAGCTTGCAGTGAGCTGAGATAGCACCACTGCACTCCAGCCTGGGCAACAGAGCGAGACTCCATCTCAAAAAAAAAAAAGAAAAGAAAATATCTGACGTTTACAACATCTAAATGTTTGCTACAAATTTATTACTAGAGAATACAATATTTAGGTAACATGAAGCAAAGAAAATATTTGACTCTTACGATTTCTAACTGTTGGCCATAATCTTCACTTTCTATGACCTTGATCAGTGGCTTGAGCTTTTCTTTCAGCTTCTTGCCTTCATTGACTGGAAGGATGAACCGAAGCCTCATGTGAGCACGTTCTATCTTCATTTTCTCTTTTAACTGCTTTATCACTTCCAAAGCCTACCAAGACAAAATCGAGAATGCAATTTCTTCTACTATATTATTTCATAAGGTTTTCAAAAACAAAGTAGTTTCCATGTAGTTGGATTAGGTAATGGTTTCTTAGGTATAACATTAAGAACATAAGTGACCGTTAAAAAAAAAATAGAAAAATTGGACTTATCAAGAAGAAAAGCTTTTGTGTTTCAAAAAACTATGAAGAAAGTGAAGGCCAGGTGTGGTGGCTCACGCCTGTAATTCCAGCACTTTGGGAGGCCGAGGCGGGTGCATCACAAGGTCAGGAATTCGAGACCAGCCTGGCCAACATGGTGAAACCCCGTCTCCACTAAAAATACAAAAAAAGAAAAATTAGCCGGGTGTGGTAGTGCACGCCTGTAATCCCAGCTACTCAAGAGGCTGAGGCAGGAGAATTGCTTGAATCCGGGAGGCAGAGTTTGCAAAAAGAGGGCGGGGGGGGTGGGCAAAGAACCTGAACAGAGATTTCTCAAAAGAAGACAGACGAGGCACCAATAAGCACATGGAAATATGCTCAAATCATCATTAAGGAAATGCAAATCAAAACCACGACAAGATACCACCAGGATGGCCATCATCAAAAAGGCAGACAATGACAAGTATTACTGAGGATGTGGAGAAACTGAACTCTTAAACACTGATGGTGGTAAAGTAAAATGGTGCAGCTGTTTTAGAAATAGGTTTGGTAGTCACCAGGTATACAGAAATGAAAACATATGTCTACACAGAAACATACAAGAAATTTTATAGCAGCATTGCTCATCATAGCTCAAAAGTGAAAGCAACCCAATGTCTATCAACTGATAGATGAATGAACAAAATGTGTTTCTTTCCGTACAGTGGGCTATTATTCCGGCATAAAAAAGAAATGACATGCTGATGCAGGTTACAACATGTATGAACCATGAAAAGGCCACATATTGTATGATTCCATTTATATGAAATGTCCAGAATTGAGAAGTCCATAACGAGAGGAGATTAGTGGTTGGGAGGGGCCTGTGGGGGGAAAATGGGGGATGGCTACTAATGGATACTGACTTTCTTTTTGTGGTGATGAAAATGTTCTCGAACCAGGTAGCAGGGAAGGTTCCAAAACTTTGTTAATATACCACTTAAAGTGTACATACTTTATGAGTGTGAAATTTATGGTATGTGAATTATATATAAATTAAAAAATTCAAAAAGAAGTGTTAAAATGACCCTTTAAAAACTCAAGTTTTGTCTTTAAAAGTTTGATTTGGATAGGAAGAAGAAAGTCCTATATACATATTTGTGTTTACTTGAAAAAAAAAAATTACCTATCTTTACAACCCCGTCCTTTTCCTCCATCTCTTCCCCAAACCTCTACCCACTTGCTTCCATGCAGACCCATTTTTTTAAATTTAATTTTTTATATTAAAAAATTTAGAGGTAGGGTACGGTAGCTGATGCCTGTAATCCCAGCACTTTGGGAGGCCAAGGCGGACGGATCACCTAGGGTCAGGAGTTCAAGACCAGCCTGGCCAACATGGTGAAACCTCAACTCTACTAAAAATACAAAATTAGCTGAGTGTGGTGGCACGTGCCTATAATCCCAGCTACTCAGGAGGCTGAGGCAGGAGACTTGCTTGAACGCGGGAGGTGGAGATTGTAGTGAGCCGAGATCATACTACTGCACTCCAGCCTGGGCAATAGAGTAAGACTCTGTCTCAAAAAAAAAAAAAAAAAATTTAGAGATGGGGCGTCCCTATGTTTCCCAGGCTGTTTCCAGGCCTCAAGCAATCCTCCCATCTTGGCTCCCAAAGTGCTAGGATTACAGGCATGAACCATTGTGCCTGGCCCCAGACCCATTATTTTAATGATTTCTTCAGAGAAAACTGATTTCCATGGCTATATTTTGATGACATGAGAAACCACTCACCTGCTGTTTTGTACTCTTGTTGGTTTTCACCGAATAGTGGATGTCCTTCATGGCTCTCTCAATAAGGATCACGGTGTATGGTCTCTTTGTTTCAGGATTCACACATTTGTCTGCCACAATAGTTGCAATGTCCCTAAACATCTGCTCCAGTTGTGTGTGTCTTTCTTTATCTGATACTTGAACTTCTCCTTTAGTCAAAATCTAAAAAAATGCCAACACATTTAAGAAATCACTATCTTTCTCTATCACACACTATTTATTAACTAACCATAAAAAATGAGTAACTGGATGGAGAGAAAATTAAATTTCATCCTCTCCAGCTATCAATATGTAAGTAATGGTTTGAGCTTTGCCCAAAAGATGCAAGAATCTTTTGGCTGGGCTCAGTGGCTCACATCTGTAATCCCAGCACTTTGGGTGGCTAAGGCGGGCATATCACCCAAGGTCAGGAGTTTGAGACCAACCTGGCCAACATGGTGAAACCCCATCTCTACTAAAAATCCAAAAATTAGCCAGGCAGGGTGGTGGGCACCTGTAATCCCAGCTACCCTGGAAGCTGAGGCAAGAGAATCGCTTGAATCCAGGAGGCAGAGGTTGCAGTGAGCTGAGTGCAGTGAAGTGCACTGCACTCCAGCCTGGGCAACAGAGCAAGACTCTGTCCCCCCACCCAAAAAAAAAAGGATCTGAAAGATGAAATACTTGAAAACAAATTCAGTTTTCAGGTATACCACATTCTATAAATGGGGCAATTTATAGAAAAATGAGGTAATTTAGTAGAAAATCTGATTTCAGGAGGTTTTGGCAAAAAAAAAAAAAAAAAAACCACAAAAAACAAACAAAACCACCAAGTTCTTTATTATTAGAAGTGACACTGTGCAGTTCACATTATTGCTTGGTTAGTCTTTCCTCCAGAAAAACAGCCTTTAATGTTTAATATATCTACAAATACGTTATAAATGGTTATTAGGGTTAGCTATGCTGCAGCTGTTACCCACCTGCTTACAGATTTCAGTTTGGTCATCTGTTCCAAACGCACTGATGAGATCTTCCTTTTTGGCAACCTGACCTTTAGAAACATTTACAAACACTGAGTGGGTCTGCAGAACTTCATCGAGGTCTTTTTCCCTTGTGAGGGCAGGAGAGAAAGTCCTATGTGAATATACTTGAAACTTGGACATGCATTTACATTTAAATACGAGATGGCAACAACATGAACGGCAAGACACAACAAATCCCCCTGATGACCTTTAGTGTAGAGGGCAGTTTTCTTTTTCTTACCCCCCAACCCCCGCCCCTAGATGGAATTTCACTGTTTTTGCCCAGGCTGGAGTGCAATGGCGCGATCTCGGGTCACTGTAACCTCAGCCTCCCGGGTTCAAGTGATTCTCCCGCCTCAGCCTCCTGAGTAACTGGGATTACAGGCATGCGCCACCACACCCGGCTAACTTTGTATTTTTAGTAGAGATGGGGTTTCATGTTGGCCAGGCTGGCCTCGAACTCCTGGCCTCAAGTGAACTGCCCGCATCGGCCTGAGGGAACATTTTCAAAACTCAGAACCGTATTTGCCTTACCATTTGCTCACTGGAGAAAAATGTCATGGGAGGACGTAAGAAACACAAGGGTGGGGTGGGGTGCAGACAGCTGCTGCCACGGAATGCCAGTCCCTAGATGGCAGCAGTGAAGACACTACGCACTTTAAACTGCTAGGGCTACTGAGATCTATGACACCAGATGTACCCACAACTATGACAGTATTCGTAAGACTAGGTTCTCAGCCATCATTATTCTAGGAAAAGGACCACAATTACGAGATTTCTTGGCTGCAGCTTTTATGACACCAACAAAACAAAACCCCAAACCAACAACCCAATCCGAACCAACCAAATAAAGAAGAAACCCTTGGCTTAGGCGCCAAGCTCGGACAGCGACGTCTCATGCTCACAGCAGGAATGTTCCATTTCCTCCCCGGCCAACACCCCAGCCTGGCCCATTCACTCGACTTGGGCAGAGACAGGCCGCCTCGGAGGTGACGGCTCAGGCCCAGGCCCAGGCCCGAGGGAGGGGGCTACTCACACGCCGCTCCGCCAGCCGACGACCTTGTTTTTGTAGCAGGCGATTTCGAAGCGCTTCCCGGCACGCTTCATCCGTACCACGGCCACATTGGTTAGGCGGATCTGGTTGGTGGGGGTGAAGATCGACATCGCGGCTGTTCAAAGACCCAGAAGCCGGCGAACCAGGGCTGACCCGCGCCGTCCAGCCTGAAGGCCACCAGCGCCTCGCGGTAACGACCGATCGGCGCGCGGCACTGACCCAACCACCAGTGCGCGGCGCCGCGACTCACTAGCTTCAGGCAGCCGTCACAGTGTGTCTGGCAGGCTTACTTACTGCGCAGGCGTCAGGTGGAGCAGAAGCCGGGAGGGGAAAAGTGAGCGATGACGCCTGCGTATTGTGGCTTTTTACGCCATCTTTCCACGCCCAAAAAGGGAGGTGCTTTTCCTTGGCGTATTTACTTTCGCCAATGAGCTGAGAGCTCTGACAGGATGCTCGCGGATGTTTAGTGACCGGGTTAAAACACAGCGTTGGCACCACCTCGTTCCGCGGAATTCAAGGGCCAGACCCACTTTATAATATAAATATTTTTTATAATAGAATTATTTTATAATAAATATTTTTATTTACTCACCCTTTTATAATAGAAATATTTTAACATAAAATGTAGACAAAAAAGTGTAATGAACCTTCTATGTACCCATCACCCCGCTATCAACATTTTGCCATCCTTGTTTTATTCTTTTTTCATTTTTTTGTTGCTTTTTTATTTACAGTTTTTTTTTTAAGTCAGTCTCACTCTGTCACCCAGGCTGGAGTGCAGTGGCAGGGTCATGGCCCCACTGCAGCTTCGACCTCCTGGGTTCGAGCGATCTTCCAGCGTTAGCTTCCCAAGTAGCTGGGACTACAGGTGTGAGCGGCCACGCCAAGCTAATTTAATTAAATAAATAATTAAAAAAAATTTTTTGTACAGACGAGGTCTCACTATGTTGCTCAGGCTGGTCTCGAACTCCTGGGCTCAAGCGATCCTCCCGCTTCGGCTTCCCAAGTGCTGGGATTACAGGTTTGAGTCACAGCGCCCGGCCGGTTGGGGGTATTTTAAAGAAACCATCATATGGTTTCAGCATTAAATACTTCAGCCTATAGCCCTTAACAGATACACGCGACGAGATTAACTACAATTCCTTAATATCATCTAATAGCGAGTCCATCCTCGGGTTTCCCAAAAATAATGCCTTTCTACAGTCGGTTTATTTCAGTTAAGATCCAAACAGGCCCACATAGCATTTCCCCCGCTCCCCGCTCCTTTCCTCTTTTAATTTTCCCATGCCAATCATTTCTCTCTGGGCCCGCCTTTTCCCAGTCTGAGCCAATCCAAATGGAGGCGGAAGCGCTCCGCCTTCATCGCCTGGAACTCTGGGAGGTGCTTATTTCTGGGCACGCCCCCTTTCCCCTCTGAGCCAATCGGAGCAGGGCCGAGAGCGCACCGGGCACTGGCTTCCTTTCCCGGAGCTCTGGGCTTTCCTCTGGGCCCACCTCTTC
Organism: Homo sapiens; assembly: GCF_000001405.40. Taxonomy (NCBI): domain Eukaryota; kingdom Metazoa; phylum Chordata; class Mammalia; order Primates; family Hominidae; genus Homo; species Homo sapiens. The sequence continues at coordinate 66,996,808 of NC_000007.14, forward strand.
GTCCTCTGAACCAATCAGGACCGGCCTGGCAGTGTCATGGCTGCCCACAGGTCTGCAGGCACTCGGTACGCCGCTAACGCGGCGAGGTAGCTCGGTGCGTCTCGCGGTACCAGTGCGAATCATCGGGCTATCCAGGTCCGAGATCCTAGTCTCCTGTCGGCTCTGAGGAGGATGGGTAAGGGCACTCGGCGGGCAAGGACCCTGGGGCGGCAGGGGAGGTAAACGTTTTACTGAGACCCTCTCCGGGCGGAGTGGCGTCCTCGGTCCCTTTCCTTCGGAGACTGTTGCACTTGACAGCACCGGCTAGTCGCCGCTGAGAGCAAGGAGGACTGATCCCTACTTTTGACCTGGCTTTTGCCTTTTGAGGCTAGGGGGTTAGACAGAAAACTACCCCTCCCACTTTACCTACGTGTATTAGGACTTTTGCACCTGTAAAGCCTAAATTTCAGGCCTCGACTTTTGAAATTGCTCCCAGGTTGAACGTTTGAAGCCAGGTCCCTGCATATCTCTCTTAAAAAAAAAAAAATGAGGTGTAAGGTCAGTTACTTGAGAATCTTTTACAAGTTTAACCGTGAGCCTTTGAAAGTACAGTTAGTAAAAAGAGTGCTTTTACTACTTAAGCTTTTTTTATGGAGCAAGCACAACAAAACAAAATTAATTTCACATGAAGTATTTTTACTTTGTGTTCCTTCTCTTGCTTCTAAATGCTCATTTCGAAGTGAAGATACAATTTTATATTCTGTTTTTTCTTTGAGTTAGTGTTAACAGTGTGATAATTTTATTACGTTACTACATAGTGTGTTATTTTTATTACAGTTGTTCCCCACCCCCCCGCCCCCGAGATGGAGCCTTGCTCTGTCGCCCAGGCTGGAGTGCGGTGGCGCAATCTTGGCTCACTGCAACTTCTCCCTCCCAGGTTCAAACAGTTCTCCTGCCTCAGCCCCCCGAGTAGCTGGGATTACAGGTGCGCGCCACCACGCCCGGCTAATTTTTGTATTTTTAGTAGAGGCGGGGTTTCACCATGTTGGCCAGGCTGGTCTCGAACTCCTGACCTCAGGTGATCTGCCCGCCTCAGCCACCCAAAGTGCTGGAATTACAGGCATGAGCCATCGTGCCCGGCCAACAGTTGATTTTTAAATTAGATTTCTTAGCTGGGTTGTTGAATGTAAGGTTGGTTTTATTTTCTTCTTAAAATTGGGATGGATATCTTTGTATATGTAGCTTTAAATGAAATTGTGTGTGTCATTTTAAATTTAGATCCTTCTGCGGATACATGGGACCTCTTCTCACCTTTAATATCATTATGGATAAACAGGTTTTACATTTATTTGGGCTTTGCTGTTAGCATTAGCCTTTGGATTTGTGTCCAGATTGTCATCAAGACGCAGGTAAGTGGAGTTATTTTTTTTTTAATGGAGTATTTAGGCATCAGATTTTATAGAGGATTTAAATACTAAAAGGAACCTTTAATTACTTTTGTGTTTGGTCTTTAGACATTTTAATGAAATGCCTAAAATAAATTTCTTCTCTAAGTTTTTGGAGACTAAGTTATCTTGGATTAAGTTCTTTACTTTTTCTTTGATAGGTGTGTCTCATTTTTAAGATACAGGAAGATTTTTGTAATGAAAAGTGAACCTTTTATATGAAAAACAAATTTGTTTTATACCTTTAAGGGTCAGTAGTCCTCTCTTTCCATTAATTAAGGATCAGAAAATAAGTTCCTACTATTATTCTACTAAAATACCTTATAGGATAAAAGTATGTAAAGTTTTTTCTTGGAGGGAAAGGAAATCATGAGCCTTAAAAATGTGGGTCCTGCCTATTAAAGGACCTTATTATACCAAGGGGCTAATATTTGAGGAATACAACCAGAAAGATTAAGAGAAAAATACAGTGTGTCAGATTAAGAGAAAAATAAAATGTGTCAGTATCTGTGCTAATTTTCATCCCTGCTGAAGTTGGGAAACGATTTAGACTTGATGGATTTTGTGTAATTATTTGTCTTCAAGGGCAAGAACTTACAGGAAAAATCTGTTCCAAAAGCAGCTCAGGATTTGATGACAAATGGTTATGTCTCCCTTCAAGAGAAAGACATCTTTGTGTCTGGAGTGAAGATTTTTTATGGTTCTCAGACTGGAACAGCGAAGGTAAGAAATTTATATGATGCTTTTCCTTTGGTTTCCTGACATTTTAAGAAAATCCCTTTAGCAGTGAACTTTAGCAGTGAACTGTCCTTTAGCAGTGAACTGAATTGGTCATCTAACCTTCTTTATTCTTTCTCCCAGCCTTTTCCCCTCAAATATTTTTCCATTCTGTGACGGTAGGCAGGTTTCATCTCCTGTGCCCAGTTAGAGCTGATTGGTGGTGTCTGATGGTCAGTGTCTTGAGGGGGCCTTTGTTCTGAAGTTTGCTTCTGCCTCAGCAGGCTAGAGAAAGTTGTGAGTCCATTATCGATGCCCATGGGTATGGAAGTAGGGAATAGGGAAAAAAGGATGGCACTAATAGTTCCAATATGGGCCTGACTTTCACATCACACATCTATGTTTATTTTTTATTTTGTTTTTTGAGACAGAGTCTCACTCTGTCACCCAGGCTGGAGTGCAGTGGCACGATCTCGGCTCACTGCAACCTCCACCTCCACCTCAAGCGATTCTCCTGCCTCAGCCTCCCGAGTAGCTGGGATTATAGGTGCCTGCTACCATGCCTGGCTAATTTTTGTATTTTTAGTAGAGATGGGTGTTTTGCCATGTTGGCTAGGCTGCTCTCAAACTCCTGGGCTCAGGTGATCCGCTTGCCTCGGCCTCCCAAAGTGCTGGGATTACAGGCGTGAGCCACTGCACCTGGCCTCACGTCACACATCTATGTAATGAAACTTGTTTTGATTTCTAATAGTGCTAAAAGTGTTAAAGGTAGACACTAAAGTAAATACAGCTGATATCTAGTTGAAAGATGCTTCCCATTCTCTCTCTTTTTTGCGGGGGAACAGTGTCTGGCTGTAGTGCCATCTAAGCTTCAGTTGCTTATCTGTGAAATGGTAAATTGCAGATGGTAATAGTATGGTTATCTCAGGGTCACTGTGAGGATTTAGTGATATTATCTGGCATGTACTTTGATTTCTCCTTTTTGCTTTTTTTTTTCTTTTTTTAAAGACAGGGTCTCTCTCTGTTGCCCAGGCTGGAGTGCAGTTGTGCCATCTTCGCTCACTGCAACCTCTGCCTCTCGGGCTCAAGGCATCCTCCCACCTCAGCCTCCTGAGTATCTGGGACTATAGGTGCATGCCACCATACCCAGCTAATTTTTGTACTTTTTGTAGAGATGGGGTTTTGCCATGTTGCCCAGGCTGGTCTTAAACTCTTGGGCTCAAGCAATCTGCCCGCCTCGGCCTCCTAAAGTGTTGGGATTACAGTCGTGAGCCACCGTGCCCAGTCCCATTCTCTAATTATATCTAGATGCTACCTGTTTCTGTGTTACAAGGTCACAGCTATTTTAAAAAAATTTATTTTATTTTTGAGATGGTATCTCACTCTGTCCCCCAGCCTGGAGTGCAGTGGTGTGATCTCGGCTCACCACAACCTCTGCCTCCTGGGTTCGAGCAATTCTCCTGCCTCAGCCTCCCTAGTAGCTGGGATTACAGGTGCCTGCCATCACATCTAGTTAATTTTTGTATTTTTAGTAGAGACGAGGTTTCACCATATTGGTCACACTGCTCTCAAACTCCTGACCTCAGATGAGCCACCCGCCTCAGCCTCCTAAAGTGCTGGGATTACAGGCGTGAGGCACCGCTCCCAGCCAAAAAATTTATTTAATTTTTTTGTAGAGACAAGATCTTGCAATCTTGTCCAGGCTGGTCTTGAATTCCTGGCTTCAAGATATTCACCCACCTTGGCCCTCAAAGTGCTGAGATGATAGGCATGAGCCACGAGGCCTAGCCAGGTCACAGCTAGTTAGTGCTTTCTAGGAAAAGATTTTAAGGAAGGCTAGCATGAAAATAAATTAGAGGAAAAATCAAGGTCTGTTACTTTTGTGGACTACTTCAGAGGGTTCTACTGCCCTCTTGTGGAAGTTGCGCAGAATAGTACTTCTTAGGTTTTCACTACTTGAGTGCAGATACTTTGCTTCATTTTACAGTCGAAGGTCAGTTGTTAAGTTAAACCTTAAGCAGTGGAGGTGGGAAACCTGAAAAAAAGCAAAAAGGTGTCTGAGCAGCCAAAGCAAAGTCCTTTTAATGTTACTTATAAAAAACCTTTTTCAGAGCCTCTTTATGCATGTTTTTACCTTTTTAAAAAAAATGATCAAAAAGATCAAACGAATACTTGCAGATGGTAACAAATCCAGGTGTACAGAAAGTTCATAATGAAATGTACTCTCCAGAAACCTTTTAACTATTTCTATTTTTAGTTCCTCTGATGCTTATGCTGTGTTTCGAGATTTATCAACATTACACAAAAGTTATTGGCTCTTTATATTAATTAGTTTATACAAACAGCCCTCAAGTCTCAGTGGCTTAATGTTGCTGTCCATATCATAGTTGATTTTGGGGTAGATAGCCATCTTCCATCTTAAAGCTGCGCCATCTGAATTTATTTTTATTTATTTTATTTTATTTATTTATTTTTTATTTATTTATTTTTTTGAGATGGAGCCTCGCTGTGTCGCCAGGCTGGAGTGCAGTGGCGCGATCTCGGCTCACTGCAACCTCTGCTTCCCGGGTTCAAGCGATTCTTCTGCCTCAGCCTCCTGAGTAGCAGGGACTATAGGCGCCCACCACTATGCCCAGCTAGTTTTTGTATTTTTAGTAGAGATGGGGTTTCACCACGGTGGTCAGACTGTTCTCGAACTCCTGACCTCATGATCTGCCCACCTTGGCCTCCCAAAGTGTTGGGATTACAGGCGTGAGCCACCGCGCCCAGCCTTTATTTTTATTTTTTAAGAGACAAGGTCTTGGCCTGGCGTGGTGGCTCATGCCTGTAATCTCAGCACTTTGGGAGGCCGAGGTGGGCAGACCACTTGAGGCCAGGAGTTCGAGACCAGCCTCGGCAACAAAGCAAAACCCCATTTCTACTAAAAATACAAAAAATTAGCTGGGCGTGGTGGTGCACGTCTGTAATTCCAGCTACTTGGGAAGCTGAGGCAGAAGAATTGCTTGAATCTGGGAGGTGGAGGTTGCAGTGAGCCTAGATTGCACCACTGCACTCCAGCCTGGGCAGCAGAGTGAGAACCTGTCTCAAACAAAAAAAAAAAAGGAAAGAAGAAAAAAAGAGATAGGGTCTTGCTCTGTTACCCAAGCTGGAGTGCAGTGGCATGATTTTAGTTCACTGCAGCCTCGACCTCTTGGGCTCCAGCGATTCTCCTGACCCACCCTCCTGGGTAGATGGGAATATGGGCTTGTGCCACCATGCTGGGCTAATTAAAAAAATTTTTTTTGTAGAGATGGGGTCTCCTTATGTTGCCCAGGCTGGTCTTGACTCCTGGCCTCAAGAGATCCTTCTGTCTAGGATTACAGGCATGAACCACTATGCCCAGCCCATCTCAATATTGGGCTAGGATTACAGGTGTGAGCCACTGTGCCCAGCCCATCTCAATATTTCTTCATTCTGCTGTTGGATTTGATTGATTCATATTTGGTCGTGTGTAGAAGACTATTAAAAACTTTTGCCTCAGAAGGCGTAGCTTCATTGTCTTCCAGCATGTTAGTATTGCTAATGAGAAAGCGAATTTGTAGATGACTTGATTATTTTGTTTCTGGAAGATTTTCGGATCATTTCTTTGTCCTTGATTTCTGGAAATTTTATGGGAAGGTGACTATTTGGATCTTTTTCAGCTATTGTTCTGTATACTTGAATTTTTTTTGTTTTGACGATTTGTATGCATTTTGACGATTTGTGTGCATTAGTTCTGTTAATATTTCTTGGATGAATTTTTTTTTCCCCTTTTCATTTCTTTTTTTCTGGGATTCCTGTGGGATGTTCTACCTTTTGGATCGTCTTCTGTGTCTCAGATCTTTTCTCTTATATTTTTTGTAACTTTTTCTTTTTCTTTTTCTTTTTTCTTTTTTTTTTTTTTTGAGACAGGGTCTTACTCTGTCACCCAGGCTGGAGTGCAGTGGCATTGGCCTCCCAAAGTGCTGGGATTTTTGTATTTTTAGTGGAGACGGGGTTTCTGCATGTTGGCCAGGCTGGTCTCAAACTCCTAGCCTCAAGTGATTCACCCGCCTCGGCCACTGAAAGTGTTAGGATTACAGGCTTGAGCCACGCGCCTGGCCCTAAATTTCTGTTTCTAATCTTAACTGTTTCTCTCAACTCCAGACTTTCATATCGAGTTACCTATCTTAGAGCATCATATGAATGTCTAGTAAGCATCTTAACATCAGTGTGCTCAAAACTGAACTCCCAATTTTCTGCCCAAGCCTGCTCTACTTGTAATCCTTACAATTTCAGTAAATGACAACTTTATCCTTCCAATTGCTTGGTCCAAAACACCTTTTGACTTCTTTTTATACAACCCATGTCCAGTCTGTCAGCAGATTCTGTTTGTTCTACTTTAAGAATAGATTCAGTTTCCAATCACTTCTTACCACCTTCACTGCTACTCCCCTGGTCCATGCCATTGTCAACCTAAATACCATAGAGAGGCTCTCCAAAAGAAAAGATGTTTGTTTGGGAATAGCACGTACATTGCAATGGGGATACAATTGCCATAGTAAACTGCATGTATTCAGGGAAGTAAAGGAAGGCAAAGATTTGTAAGGGAAAAAATGAGGATTACAGAATTGTTTTGAAATAATTATTCTTGCCTACAAAGGTTAATAACAAAGGTGACACAATCCAAGGTTGGACATGAAGTTGCTGGGCAGATGTCCTTGCAGTAGTATTTTTTGTGTAAGGTTGCACTGGTCTTTGTGCAAGGTTGTATTTTTTGTAGAATCTTTCTCATTGTCAGGAATTTGAGTGTGAGGCCAGGTGTGGTGGCTCATGCCTGTAATCCCAGCAGTTTAGGAGGCTGAGGCAGGTGGGTCACTTGAGGTCAGGAGTTTGAGATTAGCCTGGCCAACATGGCAAAACCCCATTTGTACTAAAAAATACAAAAATTAGCCTGGTGTGGTGGCACATGCCTGTAATCCCAGCTACACGGGAGGCTAAGGCATGAGAATCACTTGAACCCGGGAGGCAGAGGTTGCAGTGAGCCAAGATGGCGCCACTGCACTCCAGTCTGGGGGACAGAGTGAAACCTTGTCTCAAAAAAAACAAAAAACAAAAAACAAAAAAAACAATCTAAGTGTGCGAATTCTTTGTCTTCCCTAGCTCTTATTGTCAGGGATATTTTAACATAAGTAACTCCATGTTGTTGATTCTGACAGCTTTGACACTGCCATGATATTTTGTCTGGATTAGGACAGTCATCTCACCATTGATTTCTGCTATAATTTGTTGTTTGTTCCCCCAAAACTGATGTTGAAATTTGATCCCTCGTGTTGGTGATGGGCCTAATGGGAGGTGTTTGGGTCCTGGGGGCAGATCCCTCCTGAATAGATGAATCCCTGGGGGAGGGGTGAGTGAGTTCTTGCTGTCTTAGTTCCCAAGAGAGCTTGTTGGTAAGAAGAGCCTGGAACCTCTCCTGCACTCTTGTTTCCTCTCTTGCTATGTGATCTTTGTGCTCGCCAGCTCCCTTTCACTTCTACTCTGCCAGGAGTAGAAGCAGCCTGGAGCCCTCACCAGATGTAGTTGTCCAATCTTGAACTTTTTCAGATATCAGAATTGTGAACCAAATAAACCTTTTTATGGTGGCCCATAACAATTTTTCCTTTACATAGTTAGCACTTCCTTAAGGACCTCTTGTAAGGCAGGTCTGGTTGTAATAAATTCCCTTAGCATTTGTTTGCCTGAAAGGATCTTGTTTCTCCTTCGCTTATGAAGCTTAATTTGGCTGGATATGAAATTCTTGGTTGAAATTTCTTGTTTTCTTTTTTGAGACAGAGTCTTTCTCTGTCACCCAGGCTGGAGTGCAGTGGTGCGATCTCAGCTCACTGCAACCTTTGCCTCCCGAGTTCAAGTGATTCTCCTGCCTCAGCCTCCCGAGTAGCTGGGACTACAGGTGTGCGCCACCACATCTGGCTGATTTTTGCATTTTTAGTAGAGATGGGGTTTCACCATGTTGGTCAGGCTGGTCTCCAACTCCTGACCTCAGGTGATCCACCCATCTTGGCCTCCCAAAGTGCTGGGATTACAGATGTGAGCCACCATGCCCTGCTTGAAATTTCTTTTCTTTAAGAATGCTCAATATAGGCCCCAATCTCTTCTGGATTGTAGGGTTTCTGCTGAAAGGTCCACTGTTACCCTGATGGGATTCCCTATGTAGCTGACCTGCCCCTTCTCTCTAGCTGCCTTTAACATTTTTTCTTTCATTTCGACTGGAGAATCTGATGATTTTGTGTCTTGGGGATGGCCATCTTACGTAATATCTCACTGGGGTTCTCTGCATTAAATAAACCTTTTTAAAACATAGATTGGGCTAGGCACAGTGGCTCACGCCTATAATCCCAGCACTTTGGGAGGCCAAGGCAGGTGGATCACTTGAGACCAGGAGTTTGAGACCAACCTGTGCAACATGGCAAAACTCTATCTCTACAAAAAATTCAAAAATTAGCCAGGCATGGTGGCATGTGCCTGTAGTCCTAGCTACTTGGGCGGCTGAGGTGGGACGATTGCTTGAGCCCAGGAGGTCAAGGCTGCAGTAAGCCGTGACTGTGCCACTGCACTTCAGCCTGGGTGACAGAGTGAGACCTTGTCTCAAAAAAATAAAAGACATAGATTACCCAGTCTCAGGTACTCCTTTATAGCAAAATGGACTAAGACAGTGTTTCTGATTCAGTACCACTTGGCCCTCTTCTGACTCCAGTGTACTCTCAACTCAGCAACCTCAGTGACTGTTTGAAAACTTAGGTGAAGTCACGTCATCCCTCTGCTTAAAACCCTGCACTGACCCCTTCATTCAAGAGTCAATGCTTGAGTCCTCACAGTGGCCCAGAGATCCTACACGTGTGGCTCTTTGTTAACTCTCTTACCCCATCTCCTTGGTTTCTTTTTTTTCAGTCTTAGTAACCTCCTCTGGGCCTTTGCAGTTCACTGTTCCTGCCGCCTGGGATAACCTCATGGTTCTCCCAGTTCCTTTGGCTTTGGCTCAAATCTCACTTTATCCTTGTGTTAGTCTGTTTTGCATTGCCATAAAGGAATACCTGCAGCTGGGTAATTGATATGGTTTGGATCTGTGTCCCCACCAAATCTTACGTCGGATCGTAGTCCCATTGTTGGAGGTGGGGCTTGGCGGGAGGTGCTTAGATCTTGAGGGCAGATTTTGCATGAGAGGTTTAGCACCATCTCCCTTGTACTGTCCTCGTGACAGTGAGTTCTCATGAGATCTGGCTGTTTAAAAGTGTGTGGCACTGCCTCCTTCTCTCTCTTGTTCCTGCCATGTCATGTGCCTGCCCCTCCTTTGCCTTCCACCAATATTGGAAGCTCCCTGAGGCCTCCTCAGAAGCAGATGCCGTTACACTTCCTGTACAGTCTGCAGAACTGTGAGCCAATTAAATGTCTTTTTTTTATAAATTGCCCAATCTCAGGTATTTCTTTTTTCCTTTTTTTTTTTTTTTTTTTGAGATGGAGTCTCACCCAGTTGCCCAGGCTGGAGTGCAGTGGCGTGATCTCGGCTCACTGCGGCCTCTGCCTCCCAGGCTCAAGCGATCCTTCCACCTCAGCCTCCCAAGTAGCTGGACCACAGGTATATGCCACCATGCCCAGCTAATTTTTTGTATTTTTGGTAGAGATGGGGTTTCACCATGTTGCCCAGGCTGGTCTCGATCTCCTGACCTCAAGTGATCCGCCCGCCTTGACCTCCCAAAGAGCTGGGATTACAGGCATGAGCCACCATGCCCGGCCAGGTATTTTTTTTATAGCAATGCAAGAATGGACTAATACTGTAATTTATAAAGAAAAGAGGTTTATTTGGTTCATGGTTCTGCAGGCTCTACAAGCATGGTGCCAACATCCACTTGGCTTCTGGTGAAGCTTCAGGAAGCTTCCACCCATGGAGGAATAGGTACCACATGGTGAGAGAGGGAGCAAAACAGTAGGGAGAGATGTGAGGCTTTTTTTTTTTTTTTTTTTTTTTTTTTTTAACAGCCATCTATGAACTAATAGGGCAAGAACTCAACACCAAGGGGAGGGCGGCAAGCTGAGGTAGGAAAGTAGAGTCTGGAGACAGAGCCTAAGGCCAACCTGTGGCTGACGTCCTTGAATTAAACTGAAAGGAAAGCTTTAGCCTCTGATGGGCTGTGGGCTAATTCTTTATTTGCATATGGTATAACTCCACTGCAGCCTCTGATTGGCCATGAGCCAATTCTTCATTTATATAGGGTGTAACCAATTGGAAGCCTCCCAAGGATACCTGGGGGTGTTACCAAATTCTTCTAGCTTAATAAAAACCTAAGCTTAATAAAAACAACTGGAGCTCTTGAGCCACTTGCTCAAGCCTGCTTCCTGACTGTAGAGTGTACCTTCCCATCAATAAATCTGTGTTTTTGTTGCTTCGCTTGTTGCATTTTTTTCAGTTCTTTGTTGAACATGTGAACAACCTGGACAACTCCTAGGCAAGACCCTCCACTGGTAACAAAGCCACTCCTGAGGGACCCACCCCCATGACCCAAACACCTCCTATTCGAGCTCACTTCCAACATTGGAGATTACGTGTTAATGATATTTGGAGGGGACGAATATCCAAACCGTATCAGTCCTTGAGGCCTGCTGCAGTACTGTTTTCTGACCCCCAAATACCTTTTCTCTTTTTTTTTGAGATGGAGTCTCGCTCTGTCGTCCAGGCTGGAGTGCAGTGTGGCACGATCTCGGCTCACTGCAACCTCTGCCTCCTGGATTCAAGCAGTTCTCCTCCCTCAGCCTCCCAAGTAGCTGGGATTACAGGTGCCCACCACCACTCCTGGCTAATTTTTGTATTTTTAGTAGAGATGGGGTTTCACCATGTTGGTCTGGCTGGTCTTGAACTCCTGACCTCAGGTGATCTGTCCGCCTCGGCTTCCCAAAGTGTTGGGATTACAGGTGTGAGCCACCACGCCTGGCCAACCTGTCCTTTTTCTATACCAGTTCTCATGCTTACTATTGGGAGTTATCATTAGCCCACAAGACTGCCCCCACTTCAGACACCAGTCACAAGTCCCGGCTTTAAATTTAGGGTTCTGCACCACTGCCTCCTCAGGTTCTATAGGATGACTCACAGACCTCAGGAAGTTGCTTGACTTATGTTTAGTGGTTTATCATAAAGGATGCAACTCAGGAACGGCCGAATGGAAGAGCTGCACAGGGCCAGCTATGGAGGGGTGGGGGTTGAGCAGGGCTTCCAGGCCGTTTCTGGCCGTGTCTTCTCCCCAGCACATTGGTATGTTCACCAAGTCAACAGTCTCCATTGTTCAGGGGTTTTTCTTGGAGGCTCCATTACATAGGCACGATTGATTAAATCATTGGCCTTGGTGATTAAACTCAATCTCCAGCCCCTCTTCTCTCCCTAGTGTTCCCTGTTGGGGCTGGGGTAGGAGGTGCTGAGTTTAACTTCTCATCAGTTTCTCTGGCAACGAGCCTCCATCCTGAAGCTATCTGAGGCCTCACTCCAGTAAGCCATCTCATTAGCGTACAAAAGATATTCATTCCATCTTTTGTTGTAGTGGCTGCTCCCAGCCTAGAGCTTCTCTGGGGTTCTGTTAGCCCTGTGAACTCTTCCCTAGGACTTTTTCCTGTCTGTCAACCGGCTTCTTTTCATGTTTCCCATTCTTTTCACTCTTCACTCTTTCTTTTATTTTATTTATTTATTTATTTTGGAGATGGAGTTTTGTTGCCCAGACTGGAGTGCAATGGTGCAATCTTGGCTCACTGCAACCTCCGCCTCCTGGATTCAAGTGATTCTCCTGCCTCAGCCTCCCGGGTAGCTGGGATTATAGGTGTGTGCCACCACGCTTGGCTAATTTTGTATTTTTAGTAGAGACGGGGTTTTACCATGTTGGTCAGGCTGGTCTCGCATTCCTGACCTCAAGTGATCCAACTGCATCGGCCTCCCAAGGTACTGGGATTACAGGTGTGAGCCACTGTGCCCAGCCCATTCTTCACTATTTCTTTTTGCACTTCTCTGTGTTTATTGTTTTTTAATATGTTATTTTCTTTATGAGACAGGATCTGAGTCTGTGGCCCAGGCTAGAGTGCATTGGTGTGATCGTAGCTCACTGTATCCTCTAACCCCTGGGCTCGGGGGATCTTCCCGTCTCAGCCTCTTGAGTAGCTGGGACTATAGGTGTGTGCCATCACACCTGGCTAATTTTTAAATTTTTTTATAACGATGAGGTCTCACTTTGTTGTCCAGGCTTGGCCTCAAGTGATCCTCCCACCTCAGCCTCCCAAAGTGCTGGGATTATAGGCATAAGCCATCTTGCCTGGCTGATATGTTTACTCTAGTAGGGCAAGGCAGATTGATCATCCAAAGCCAAATTAGATTCAGTCCTATGTAAACCCTGATCGGGTGAGAACAACACAAATGAATGATCTCTGTAATGGTGCCCAAGAAAATGGTAAGAGTGAGGATAGAATTTGTGTTCATGAAGATACATATCAGTCACTGAAAATATTTTTCATGAGGAATGCCACATTCTTGTGCCAACAGGGGTAATGAGGGTTATATTTGGCTCATTGAAGACTTTATTTGATGTTTTTTTTGGTCCTATTAGGGATTCGCAACAGTTCTTGCTGAAGCAGTTACATCCCTGGATCTGCCTGTGGCCATTATTAATCTAAAAGAATATGATCCAGATGATCATCTGATAGAAGAGGTTGGTAATTGTCTTTTTCTTCAGTCAAAACTCTCAAATTTAACTGATCTGCAATCTTCACAGTAAATTTAATTAGATAACTAGAATCTTCAGAATAAATTTAATTTTCGTGCTAAGGGATTTCAGTTAGTTGAATTCCAGTGTGAATCAGAGAATTGAATGTGGGGTAAGGTTCACTGATTCTCACGTGGTGTGGGGCTTGTTCTTCAGGCATGTTAAATTCTCCTGGGGCAGGGCTAGAGGTGAGAAAGCTTGGGTGGTTGGAAGTTCACTCCTTCCCACAATTTTCTTTTTTCTTTTCTTTTTTTTTTTTTTTGAGATGGAGTCTCACTATGTCACCCAGGCTGGAGTGCAGTGGTGCAATCTCAGTTCAGTGCAATGTCCGTCTCCAGGTTCAAGTGATTCTCCTGCCTCAGCCTCCCAAGTAGCTGGGATTTACAGGCATGCACCACCATGCCCAGCTAATTTTTTTTGTGTGTGTCTGTGTTTTTTGCTAGAGATGAGGTTTCACCATGTTGGCCAGGCTGGTCTGAAACTCCTGGCCTCAAGTGATCTGCCCGCCTTGGCCTCCCAAAGTGCTGGGATTACAGGCATGGGCCACTGTGCCTGGCCCCTACTATTTTTATTTTTTTAAAATTTATTTTATAGAGACAGGCTCTCACTCTCTCACCCAGGCTCTGGAGTACAGTGGTGCAATTTCAACCTCCCGGGCTCAAGTGATCCTCCTTCCTCAGCCTCCTAAAGTAGCTGAGACTACAGGCATGTGCTGCCATGCCCTGCTAATTTTAAAAGATTTTTTTTTTTTTTTTGACATGGAGTCTCGCTCTGTCACCCAGGCTGGAGTGTAGTGGCGCGATCTCAGCTCACTGCAAGCTCCGCCTCCCGGGTTCACGCCATTCTCCTGCCTCAGCCTCCCGAGTAGGTGGGACTACAGGCGCCCGCCGCCACACCCGACAAATTTTTTGTATTTTTAGTAGAGATGGGGTTTCACCGTGTTCGCCAGGATGGTCTCAATCTCCTGACCTTGTGATCCGCCTGCCTCGGCCTCCCAAAGTGCTAGGATTACAGACGTGAGTCACCGCGCCTGGCCAAAAGATTTTTTATAGAGATACGGTCTCACTATATTGCCCAGGTGGGTCTCGAACTCCTGGCCTCAGTCTCCCAAAGTACTAGGATTATAGATATGCCCAGCCCTCCCCGCTATTTTGAATCTCTTAATTAAGGAAGGGTTGTTATTGATGGCAGTGTGCTATACTTGTAGACCATGGGCAATCCAACCAAAAGGTCAAAAGCAGAGAGTATGGGTTTCGGAATCAGAGAAATCTCTTATTAGCTGTGTGACCTCAATGCATTAGTTAATGTCTTTTTTTTTAATGGAGTTTCGCTCTTGTTGCCCAGGCTGGAGTGCAGTGGTATGATCTTGGCTCACTGCAACCTCCAACTCCAGGGTTCAAGTGATTCTCCTACCTCAGCCTCCTGAGTAGCTGGGATTACAGGTGCCCACCACCATGCCTGGCTAATTTTTGTATTTTTAGTAGAGATGGGGTTTCACTGTGTTGGCCAGGCTGGTGTTGAACTCCTGACATCAGGTGATTTATTTGCCTCGGCCTCCCATAGTGCTGGGTTCACAGGCATGAGCCACTGCGCCCAGGCGCATTACTTAATATCTATGAGGGTTTAATTTCTTCATCTGAAAAGTGTTCCTCCCCTTTTTTCTCCAGTCATGCCCAGTTAGGGGATTTCACCCTACAGCAGTGGTTCTCAAGTGTGGCCCCTGAGCCAGCAGCATCAGCATCTCCTGTGAACTTGCTAGAAATGCAGAATCTCAGGTCTTAGCCTAGCTGCATCGTAGAGCTTAAACAGTGCTCCTGGTGATGCTGACACAGGTAGAGTTAGAGAAGCAGAGGCTGGGTGTGGTGGCTCACGCCTGTAATCCCAGCACTTTGGGAGGCTGAGGTAGGTGGATCACCTGAGGTCAGGAGTTCGAGACCAGCCTGGCCAACACGGTGAAACCACGTCTCTACTCAAAATACAAAAATTAGCTGGGGTTGGTGGTGGGCGCCTGTTAATCCCAACTACTCGGGAGGCTGAGGCAGGAGAATTGCTTGAACCTGGGAGGCGGAGGTCGCAGTGAGCCAAGATCGTGCCATTGCCCTCTAGCCTGGGCGACAAAAGCAAATCTCCGTCTCAAAAAAAAAAAAAAAAGAAGCAGCACATAGAGCTGGGGTTGACAAACTTTCACGTGAAGGGCCAGGTAGTATCTTCACCTTTGTGGGCTGGGCAGCTACTCAGTTTTGCCACTGAGGCACAAAACAGCCATAGATAATATGTAAATGAATGAGTGTGGCTGTGTTGCACTAAAACTTTCTTTAAAAAAAATAGAGGCCAGGCGTGGTGGCTCTCGCCTGTATAATCCCAGCAAGTTGAGAGGTCAAGGCTGGTGGATCGCTTGAGCTCAGACATGTAAGAACAGCCTGGGCAACATGGTGAAACCCCGTCTCTATTAAAAATAGAAAAATTAGCCATGGTGGTGCGCGCCTGTAGTCCCAGCTACTTGGGAGGCTGAGGCATGAGAATTGCTTAAACTCGGGAGGTGGAGGTTGCAGTGAGCTGAGATCATGCCACTGCATTCCAGCCTGGGTGACAGAGCGAGACTCTGTCTCAAAAAAAAACCGCAAAAAGGCAGCAAGCAAGATGTGGCTCGTGGATTGTAGTTTACCGGCCCCGTCTTAGTGGTTAAATATCTAGCTTTAACTCTGTCCATTTCTTTGTCCCCCAAGAAAATGTACTGGTGTGCACATGAGTGAGCTTGAATGTGCTCTAAATTATTTGTGAAAAATTATTAGCAAACTTTGATATTACTTATAACTTACCTCATGACTTGGAACTCTTAAGATGAATTCAAACACCAGGCTATCAAGACTAAGGATACACAGGTTGAGAATCCCTGAACCGCAAATTGGAAATGCTTTAAAATCCAAATTTCTGGAGCGCTGACAGGAGGCCACAAGTGGAAAATTTCGCACCTGACCTCCTGTAATGGGTCAAGGTCAAAACGCAGTCAAAAGTTTGTTTCATATATGAAATTGTGAAAAATATTGTATAAAGTTACCTACAGGCTATGTGTGTAAGGTGTATATGAAACAAAGGAATTTTGTGTTTAGACTTGATATATCCCCAAGGTACATCATTATGTATATGCAGATTTAAAAAAAAAAACCAAAACAGAAAAAAACCTCTAAAATCCAAAAAACTTCCCATCCCAAACATTTTGGATAACGGATACCTAGCCTGTATTTTGTATCCCCGGGATTTGCAACAGTTCTGTTTAGATAATGGTGCCAAGTGTTAAATTACTTTATGTTTAAAACTTTTTATTGCTTTAATTTATTAGATAATTTTTTAGAGATCTCTCTGTATTTTTTCTTTTCTTTTCTTTTTTTTTTTTGAGATGGAGTCTTCGCTTCGTTGCCCAGGCTGGAGTGCAGTGTGCAGGGGTGTGATGGTGGCCCACTGCAGCCTCTGCCTCCTGGGCTCAAGCAGTTCTCCTGCCTCAGCCTCCCGAGTAGCTGGAACTACAGGCACCCACTACCACGCTTGCCTAGTTTTTGTATTTTTAGTAGAGATGGGGTTTCACTGTGTTGCTTAGGCTGGTCTTGAACTCCTGATCTCAAGTGATCCACCCGCCTCAACCTCCCAAAGTCCTGGGATTACAGGTATGAGCCACTGGGCCCAGCCAACATCCACTGCCTTGATATGGATATTCACAGCTTCCTGCCTGAGGAGATGGTAATGGACCTAGAACATGGTTCCCCTATTCCTTGGAGACTTCAGAGATTTAAAACAATCTCAAACACCAAATACAACTCTTATTGGGTAAGCAAGGTCACCACATTCCTTGTCTTTCTGACACCACAGAGCAGCTTCCACTCTAAGGAAGCAGGAACATGAGCTGTTGTTTTCTCTTAAGGTTTGAAACTCAGGTGCCTTATTTTCCCCCAGTGTGTTCTTCCATTAGTAGCCACCGTGCCTGGCCATCTCTCTGCATTTTTTCCTTTTTTTTTTTTTTTTTTTTTTGAGATGGAGTCTTGCTCTGTCGCCCAGGCTGGAGTGCAGTGACGTGATCTTGGCTCGCTGCAAGCTCTGCCTCCTGGATTCATGCCATTCTCCTGCCTCAGCCTCCTGAGTAGCTGGGACTACAGGCACCCGCCACCACGCCCGGCTAATTTTTTGTATTTTTAGTAGAGACGAGGTTTCACCGTATTAGCCAGGATGGTCTCGATCTCCTGACATTGTGATCCGCCCGCCTCAGCCTCCCAAAGTGCTGGGATTACAGGCTTGAGCCACCGCACCCGGCCTGTATTTTTTCTTGATTGATTTGGATTTTGTTTCCACTGTGGCAAATTAGCGATGATGAGAATGTATAGTCTGGATAACGGAATGGCGTATATGGTGAAATATACCAGGAGGTATACTGGCAGGAGCAAGGGACTGGGTTTTCTCCCCCGTGCAAGCTGTTCTTGCTGTGTTTCTTAGTCATGCCCTTCACTTTTGAAGATGAACCATGTTTATGAAGGTGCCCTTTGTTCTTTGAGATGAGTATGCTTTTTTTCAAAGGATTTTCTTCATTGAGATAATTTATGCCTTGTATGTTCCACTGAAACAATTACTTTCTTGGTTAGGTGACTAGTAAAAATGTCTGTGTCTTCCTGGTTGCGACATACACTGACGGCCTACCAACTGAAAGTGCAGAGTGGTTCTGCAAATGGTTAGAGGAAGCATCCATTGATTTTCGATTTGGCAAAACTTACCTGAAGGGTATGAGATATGCGGTATTTGGCCTGGGAAATTCTGCCTATGCTAGCCACTTCAACAAGGTAGGTCTATATTGAATTATAGGAATAAATTCTCCCCATAAACACACACACACGCACACACACGTAAACACACACACGTGCACACACGCACACACACATAAACACACATGTATGTGAAATAATCCACAAACTTTGGTAGCTAGTAATAAATACATTTCTTCTATTATTTTATTAATTGATTGATTGAGATAGAGTTTTGCTCTGTCGCCCAGGCTGGAGTGCAGTGGCACCATCTCAGCTCACTGCAACTTCTAGCTCCCGGGTTCAAGTGATTTCTCCTGCCTCAACCTCCCGAGTAGCTGGGATTACAGGCATGTGCCACCAGGCTTGGCTAATTTTTGTATTTTTACTAGAGACGGGGTTTCACCATGCCAGCCAGGCTAGTTGTGAACTCCTGGCCTCATGTGATCCGCCCAAAGTGAGCCACCGTGCCCGGCCTCTTCTGTTTTTTTTTTTTTGGAAACAGAGTCTTGCTCTAATCCCCAGCTGGAGTGCAGTGGCGGGATCTCAGCTGACTGCAACCTCCGCCTCCCGGGTTCAAGCGGTTCTCATTTATCAGCCTCCCGAGTAGCTGGGATTACAGGCACCCACCACCATGCCTGGCTAATTTTTTTGCATTTTTAGTAGAGACAGGGTTTCACCATGTTGGCCAGGCTGTTCTCGAACTCCTGACCTCAGGTGATCCACCCACCTCGGCCTCCCAGAGTGCTGGGATTACAGGTGTGAGCCAGCATGCCCAGCCTGCCCAAGCTCTTTATGCAGGTGAACTCTTAAAAAAAATTTTTTTTTAAAATTATGTTTATTTTTTCAGGACAGGGTCTTGCTTTGTCATCCAGGCTGGAATGCAGTGACCTGATCAAAATTCTCTGAACCTTGAAGTCCTAGGCTCAAGGGATCCTCCCAAGTCAGCCTCCCTAGTAGCTGGAACTATAGGCGTGCACCACTACCCCTGGCTAATCTTTCAATTTTTTTAGAGATGAGGGTCTCACTGTGTTGCCCAGGCTTGGTTCAAACTCCTGGCCTCAAGCAGTCCTACCCACCTCAGCCTCCCAAATTTCTGGGATTACAGGCATGAACGTGTCCAGCCTGAGCTCAGTTTTAAGAAATCATGAAATTTTTGGCTGGGCATGGTGGCTCACGCCTGTAATCCCAGCACTTTGGGAGGCTGAGGCAGGCGGATCACGAGGTCAGGAGATCGAGACCATCCTGGCTAACATGCTGAAGCCCCGTCTCTGCTAAAAATACAAAAAAATTAGCCAGGTGTGGTGGCGGGTGCCTGTAGTTCCAGCTACTCGGGAGGCTGAGGCAGGAGAATGGCGTGTACTCGGGAGGCAGAGCTTGCAGTGAGCCGAGATCTCACCACTGCACTCTAGCCTGGGCAACAGAGTGAGACTATGTCTCAAAAAAAAAAAAAGATCATGAATTTTTCAAGGGAAATGAAGGAAAAAACATTCATTGCACTTTACATAATAAAACATTAAATTTTTTGGTTAGTTTTCCCGGGCTATTTTTCTAAATGAAATTAACTTGGCTCCTTTTGCATCCTGTTCTCTACACTTGAAAAAATGAAACGATGGAGCCTCTCAGTTTCTTGGTCATTTGCATTGTGTACCTCTTCCTAGGGATGGGCCCTGCCTAGCTGTCTGTCTCTGGTGGAGTGTGAGTGACGGTGGAGGTGGGGAGTTTTTTTTAAAAGCTGTTTACGGCCGGGCGCAGTGGCACACTCCTGTAATGCCAGCACTTTGGGAGGCAGAGGCGGGCGGATCACCTGAGGTCGGGAGTTCGACCCCAGCCTGACCAACATGGAGAAACCCCATCTCTACTAAAAATACAAAATTAGCCGGGCGTGGTGGTGCATGCCTGTAGTCCCAACTACTTGGGAGGCTGAGGCAGGAGAATCACTTGAACCCGGGAGGTAGAGTTTGCAGTGAGCCGAGGTCGTGCCATTGCACTCCAGCCTTGGTAACAAGAGTGAAACTCTGTCTCAAAAAAAATAAATAAATAAAATAAAAGCTGTTTTCATTCTATTGTTGTGTCACAATGTAGATTTTGCTCCATATTTTCATTAAAAACATTTTTGATTATGTGTTTTTTGAGAGAGGGTCTCACCATGTTGCCTAGGTTGGAGTTCAGTGGCTTGCTGCAGCCTCGACCTCCCTGGGCTCAGGTGATCCTCCCACCTTAGCCTACTGAGTAGCTGGGACCACAGGCGCCCACCACACATCCAGCTAGTTTTTGTATTTTTTGTAGAGATGGGGTTTTACTTTGGTGCCCAGGCTGGTGTTGAACTCGGGCTTGAGCATTCTTCTCACCCCGGTCTCCCAAGGTGCTGGAATTATAGGCGTGAGCCACTGCATCTGGCCTCTCCCCATATTTTCAAATAAATTAGACTATGATTGGGAAAATTCAGATATGTAAATTTTTTTTTTTTTTTTTTTTTTGAGACAGAGTCACTCTCTTGCCCAGGCTGGAGTGCAATGGCACAATCTCGGCTCATTGCAACTTCTGCCTCCAGGGTTCAAGGAATTCTCATGACTCGACCTTACAAGTAGCCTGAATTATAGGCATGTGCCACCATGCCCCACTAATTTTTGTATTTTTAGTAGAGATGGGGTCTCACCGTGTTGGCCAGGCTGGTCTTGAACTCCTGGCCTGAAACAATCTGCCTGCCTCAGCCTCCCAAAGTGCTGGGATTACAGACATGAGACACTTCGCCTGGCGTAGATACGTAAATATTTTGTTTAATGCCTTGCCACTCAGGAAGCTTATTAAGTTTTTGAACTCTTAACTATGCCTCTGATAACTCCTGTTCCTCAGCTTAATTGCTTCATATCACAGTGAAATAAATTACTGAGTTTAGGAAATTACGAATCTTGCCAAATTGATTACATTTTCATTTTATAACTGAGTAGGCTTAGGCCCCATAGGCTTTGTTACATTTTTGGAACTCATTTATTTTGTTAACTCCTGTTTTGTTCTTATCATGATATAGAATGGTAGGTTTCAAATTTTTTTTTTTAGTCATTAATCCTTCATTTGATAAAGGGGGTTTGTTTGTCCTTTTGTTTAAAAAAATAAATCTAAGGCAGAAAAGTAGAATACATAAAATGACCCTCTTCTGGGTCAAGGCTGGAGCTTGAAGGCTTGAAGGTCATTTTGCCAGCAATTTCCTCTTCCTTAGCGGCAGCCCATGACCAGGGGCCTCGGAAGGACTTTGGGCTTTTGCAGAGCAGTCTGGAAAACCCTGATTTAGAGAACCGTGCTTTTAGCCTATCTATCTTTTCCTCACAGGTTGGCAAAAATGTTGACAAGTGGCTCTGGATGCTTGGCGCGCATCGTGTGATGAGTCGAGGGGAGGGCGACTGCGACGTGGTTAAAAGCAAGCACGGCAGCATTGAGGCCGACTTCAGAGCATGGAAGACCAAGTTCATCTCCCAGCTGCAGGCACTTCAGAAAGGGGAGAGAAAGAAGTCCTGTGGCGGCCACTGCAAGAAAGGCAAATGTGAATCTCACCAACATGGCTCAGAGGAGAGGGAGGAAGGATCTCATGAGCAGGATGAATTGCATCATAGAGACACCGAGGTATACCGCCTGTGTGTTCATCTCTCGAGGCTTTCCTCTTCTGCTTGGAGATCTCGAGCTTGACCTCTTTCTCAATAAACCATCTCGTTGGCTTCTGGTTAGAAGGAAGATCTGGCTGAGTGCAGTGGCTCGCACTTGTAATCCCCACACTTTGGGAGACCAAGGTGGGGGTATTGCTTGAGTCCGGGAGTTCAAGACCAGCCTGGGCAACATAGCAAGACCCTATCTTTACCACAATAATTTTAAATTTAGCAAGGCATGGTGGTGCATGCCTGTTGTCTCAGCTACGTAGGAGGTGGAGTTGGGAGGATTGCTTGAGCCCAGGAGTTTGAGACTGCAGTGAGCTGTGATCATGCCACTGCCCTCCAGCCTGGGCAACAGAGTGAGACCCTGCCCCAAAAACAAAGACAGAAACAATAACAAAAAAAGAAGGAAGATGTGAAACTCATGTGGTGGTGTTTCAGAGAGAGAGAGAGGCCTTAGGAATTAAGCCATATCGTGCTAGATGCTTTCCAGAATCTCTTCTTTAGGCCGGGCACGGTGGCTCACGCTTGTAATCCCAGCACTTTTGGGAGGCCAAGGTGGGTGGATCACTTGAAGTCGGGAGTTCGAGACCATTCTGGCCAACGTGGCGAAACCCCATCTCTACTAAAAATACAAAAATTAGCCAGGTGTGGTGGCGGGCACCTGTAATCCCAGCTACTTGGGAGGCTGAGGCACGAGAATCGCTTGAACCCGGGAGGTGGAGGTTCCAGTGATCTGAGATCATGCGACTGCACTCCAGCCCGGGCGACAGAGTGAGACTCAGTCTCAAAAAAAAAAAAAAAAAAGAAAAAAACAAAATACTGGGCCTCCCAAAATACTGGGATTACAGGCGTGACCCACCGTGCCCAGCCTTAACGTTTTCAATTGCTTTACCTCTCACTCACTCTTGTAACCCGACTGGCCAAACCCCAAGCCAGGCTGAAACCATCCCCTTCACATCAGCCTTCCCCGTGTCTGCTGCTGATTGTTTGACTATAGATTCACGACCACGGGCTCAAGTTTAGACTCAGAAGTGCTCTACAGGCTCACACCTTCCCTTGCAGATTCCCCTTCTTACTCTCCAAGTTGACTGTTTCATACTCATTTCCTCCCCAACCCTTCCCCCAGCTCCCATCTCCTGCCTCAGCCTCCTGAGTAGCTGGGATTACAGGCACGTACCACTACGCCCAGCTAATTTTTGTATTTTTTTAATAGAGATGGGGTTTCATCATGTTGGTTAGGCTGGTCTCGAACTCCTGACCTCAGGTGATCTGCCCGCCTCGGCCTCCCAAAGTGCTGGGATTACAGGCATGAGCCACCATGCCCAGACCGTTTTGTAAATTAGAGACAGTGTCTCACTATGTTGCCCAGGCTAGTCTCTAACTCCTGGCCTCGAGCAAACCTCCCATCTTGGCCTCGGACAGCGCTGGGATTGGGATTACAGGGGTGAGCCACTGCACCTAGCCAAAATATATAAATATAATTTAAAGAGTTTATTTGAGCCAAAATGAGGGCAGCTGTCTCAGACACACTTTGCAGCTGAAGGGACTGCTCCATTAGCTTTTGTTACAAGCAGGTTTTTAAAAGCAAAGGGAACAAGGAGTGGTCGATACCAAGTTGTTGGACAGAAATTCTCATTGCTTTATAGCGATAATATTGATTAGTGATTAGCTATGCACTGTTGAATGACAGGATATGAGGTATGGTGTGCAATGCAAATAGCATTTTATGGCTACCTGGAGTCAGTCAGTCTGAGTCAAGCCCACAGAGCAGATGGCTTCAAGAGATAATTACTTAGCTCAACAGGAAGTGATATGACAGATGTTTCATTCCAATTTCATTTCAGTCCAAGCTATGACTGCAATGAAATTGGAATGAAACATCAATTTCAATTCAGGTTATGGGTCCCATAAGTTAAAGAGCTTACAGCCAGTGTGGAGGCTCATGCCTATAATCCCAACACTTTGGGAGGCCAAGGTGGGTGGGAGGATTGCTGGAGGCTAGGAGTTCAAGATCAGCCTGGGCAAAATAGTGAGACCCTGTTTCCACAAAAACAAAAATTAAAAGTAGACAGGATGGTGGCTCAGGCCTGTAAATCCCTGCTACTCAGGAGGCCGAGGCAGGAGGATCACTTGAGCTCAGGAGTTCAAAGCTGCAGTGAGCTATGATCAAGCAGTTCTCCTGCCTCAGGCTCCCGAGTAGCTGAGACTACAGACGCCCGCCACCACGCCCAGCTAATTTTTTATGTTTTTAGTAGATACCGGCTTTCACCACATTAGCCAGGATGGTCTCAATCTCCTGACCTCGTGATCCACCTGCCTCGGCCTCCCAAAGTGCTGGGATTACAGACGTGAGCCATTGTGTCCGGCCAAGTAATCTTAAAAATACAAATCAGACCATGTTAACCTCCTGTTTAAAAGTGATTTTTCATTGCTGCTGCTTTCATAAAAACTTCGTTGCTTAGTGTGACCTTAGCACCTAATCTGACTCTTGAATTTCTCCATTGTCATCCTATTATTCTCTCTCTTCCTCTCCAGCCTCTAGCTACGTGGTCTCCTTGGTTCTAAAAATATTTGTCAAGGCTGGGCGCGGTGGCTCATGCCTATAATCCCAGCACTTTGGGAATCCAAGGCAGGCGGATCATGAGGTTGGGAGTTCGAGACCAGCCTGACCAACATGGTGAAACCCTGTCTCTATTAAAAATACAAAAATTAGCTGGGTATGCTGGCAGGCACCTGTAATCCCAGCTACTCGGGAGGCTGAAGCAGGAGAATCGCTTGAACTTGGGAGGTGGAGGTTGCAGTGAGCCGAGATTGCGTCACTGCACTCCAGCCTGGGTGACAGAGCGAGACGCTGTCTCCAAAAAAAATAAAAAACAAATTTGTCAAATGAGTTTGAATATCCAACTTTGTGCTCACCTGTTACTCTTTAGTTCAGGCCAACATCTTTTCTTCCCTAGGGGATTGTCATACGTTGTTCAGATTTATCCTTGTCTATATTCTTGTTTCCCTTAAATTACCTTCTGTCTTCCCAGTTGAGTGAGCTATTGAAGTGCAGGTCTGTGTTACTTCTCTGTTCAGACCATGTTAGACGCTTCTCATTCTCTCTTTCCAGGACAGGCAAGATCCTTTGCAGTCCGGCCCACATCTTTCTCTGCTACATTTTCTTCCCATGTCATGTGCTTTATTCTCCATCTGCTGGTACTTTCTGAGTGACTGATAGTAGCTGCATGCCTCCTGGTGCTTGCCTAAGTGACTTTGCCCATCCCCTTCCAACAGCGTTCCCACATGTCTTTCCCTGGCTGGGCCTGTTTACTTACCCTTCACATTTGACTCAGGTATCGTCTCATTCGGGCAGCCACCCGTAGATTTGGAGCCCACTGCATGGCTCCTTTTCGTATTCCTAAACCCTTTCATTAAAGCATTTCCCCTTTCGATGTAGTATCTGTGTGTCTCTTACTGGATTGGAATCTTTGTGAGGACCAGGGGAATGTGTCGCATTAATTTTCAAGCACTACTGGCTACCATGAGTATATGCAGTGTTCAAGATAACTTTTGAAGTTTCCCAAGGTCACAGAACCAAGTTAGCAGTTTTGATTTGATTTGATGTGAAGATGAAATAGGTTCCTTTTGGAAAAAGTAAATTCTCGACATGAGTCTTTCCATTAGAAACTTGAGTCTAAGGAGAAGTTATCAAGAAGAGTCTAGGACAAGGACCAGCAAACAGGCTCACTGGCCAGATCCAGCCTATTGCCTGTTTTTCTTTTGAGACAGGGGCTGGTCTGTTCCCCAGGCTGGAGTGCAGTAGTGCATAGCTCACTGCAGCCTCTAACTCCTGGGCTCAAGTGATCCTCCTATCTCAGCCTCCTGAGTAGCTGGGCCTACAGGCATGCACCATCATGCCCAGCTAAGTTTTTTTAATTTTTTGTAGAGATGAGGTCCCACTGTGTTGCCCAGGCTGGTCTCAAACTGCTGAGCTCAAGCGATCCTCCTGCCTTGGCCTCCCAAAGTGTTGGGATTATAAGTGTGAGCCACTGCACCCAGCTTGTTTTTTAATTTTTTAAAATAAAAGTTTTGGAAGCATAGCCATGTTCATTCATTTATGTATTGTCATAGCTGCTTTGGTGTTAGAGGGGCAGATTTGCATAGTAAAGACAGGATTGTATGCCCCACAAGGTCAGAAATACTTACAATTTGGTGTTTTACAGTAAAAGTTTACTGACTTCTTGTCCAGGATAACATGGTGAGATTGGACTAGATGATCCCTGATGTCTCTTCTGTGTCTAATATTCTGAAATTTATTGGAAATGATGAGGTAGGAGCATAGGGCACATGGGCAATACGG
This sequence comes from Homo sapiens, assembly GCF_000001405.40. Classification (NCBI taxonomy): domain Eukaryota; kingdom Metazoa; phylum Chordata; class Mammalia; order Primates; family Hominidae; genus Homo; species Homo sapiens. The sequence goes on from NC_000007.14 coordinate 67,022,512, forward strand.
AACTTCTTGCAATTCTAGGAAAATGAGTGCATCAGGAGATCCTAATACTGAAGGTATTGTTATATATTTAGACAAACTGGTTGGGAGACACTGGACTAGAAGATCTAAAAATGGACTAATTGTTAGCAAGTATGTTTCACGTGGTGTACTTGTCTCTTCTTGACAGCTTGGGCATGAGGCTGGGATATCAGGGTGGAGTTAACTGGCAGAGACTTTCTGTTGAAGCTGGGCTAAATTAAAGAACACATTCATACACTTATTTCTGGGAACAATTTATTTTGTCATCTGGAAGCAAGGCAGAGAAGACTACTCATTTATTGACAAAGCAAAAGAGAACCAGAGAGCCAGCCACAGCGCCACTTCTGTAGTCTCAGGCTTGGTTTCAAATAGGAGAGCGTAAGATCGTCCGTGATAATCCTATCATCTGGCACAGGACAGGCGTGACCTCGTCTAAGAGGGGCTGTTTTATTTTGTATTGAACACTTATCAGCAGCATCTGATTATATGACATCTCTCTGCTATACTGTGGGGCATATTGGCCAGCATATGAAGGTTATTGACATTTTGTTTCTTTTAATTTAATTTTTTTCTTTTCTTTTTTTTGAGATGGAGTCTTGCTCTGTTGCCAAAGCTGGAGTGCAGGGTCACGATCTCGGCTCACTGCAACCTCCACCTCCTGGGTTCAAGCAATTCTCCTGTCTCAGCCTTTGGAGTAGTTGGGACTACAGGCGCATGCCACCACGCTCGGCTAATTTTTGTATTTTTAGTAGGGACAGAGTTTCACCATGTTGGTCAGGCTTGTCTCGAACTCTTGACCTCAGGTGATCCATCTTCCTTGGCCTCCCAAAGTGCTGGGATTACAGGAGTGAGCCACTGTGTCCGGCCCGTTTCTTTTAAAGTGACCCTTGAGTTACTGAGAAAGTACCTGCTGTTGAAAACAAAGAACTACTTCACCTCTTAAAAATCTCTTTATCAGCTGGGCACGGTGGCTCACATTTGTAACCCCAGCAATTTGGGAGGCTGAGGCGGGCGCGTCACCTGAGGTCAAGAGTCTGAGACCAGCCTGGCTGACATGGTGAAACCCTGTCTCTACTAAAAATACAAAAATTAGCTGGGTGTGATGGTGCATGCCTGTAGTCCCAGCTACTCTGGAGGCTGAGGCATGAGAATTGCTTGAACCAAGGAGGTAGAGGTTGCAGTGAGCCAAGATCACGCCACTGCACTCCAGCCTGGGTGACAGAGCAAGACTCAACAACAACAACAAAAACAACAACAACAAAGAACAAACAAAAAAATCTCTCTAACGTTTTATTCTGCCTTATCCTCAATTGGAGAAAGGGATGAAGGCTGCCACGTATTAGCTGTGATTTCTTAACTTCTCTACCTTTAATTTCCTCATCTATGAGATGATGTTGAACCTGTCTACATCATAAGTAGTTAAGGATGAAATGAATGGGTATATGAACATTGTGTTGGGGACGTAGTAGATACTCAGCAAATGTGTCTTCCCAGTGATGTCACATTTCCTCTACTTCTGCTTGGTATGTGTCTCGTTCCCCTGAGCCCAGCTCATGTCACTGTGACGTGAGAGGGCAGGTGAAGTGTTAGTTGTTCCCACTCCATCATGCCCTTTCACAGTTGTTAGTCTGATGCTAAAGACTTAAGATTTATTTCTTCATTGTTGTTGTTGTTGTTTTTGTAGAGATGAGGGTTTCACTATGTTGCCCAGGCTGGTCTTGAACTCCTGGCTTCAAGTGATGCTCCTGCGTCAGCCTCCTAAGTAGTTGGGATTATAGGCATGTGCTACCACATCTGGCTAATTGTATACATTTTTTTGTAGCAATGTGGTCTTGCTATGTTCCCCAGGCTGGTTTCAAACTCCTGAGGTTTCAAAGTCCTCCCATCTTGGCCTCACAGAGTGCTGGGATTATGAGTGTGAGCCACCATGCCCAGCCTAGATTTTATTTTTAAAGTAAGAATTTATAGACAGCCGAGCACTGTCGTCACGCCTGTAATCTCAGCACTTTGGGAGGCTGAGGTGGGTGGATTACCTGAGGTCAGGGGTTCGAGACCAGCCTGGCCAACATGGTGAAACCCTGTCTCTACTAAAACTACAAAAATTAGCCAGGCGTGGTGGTAGGCGCCTGTGATCCTAGCTACTTGGGAGGCTGAGGCAGGAGAATGGCTTGAACCTGAGAGGTGGAGGTTGCAGTGAGCTGAGATGACGCCACTGTGCTCCAGCCTGGGCGACAGAGCGAGACCCTGTCTCAAAGAAAAAAAAAAAAAAAGAATTTAGAGACATAGTGAATTCTCAGTGTGGGAGGGAGGGTAAGAGAGCTTTGCCTTTGCCCCTTTGAACAATGTATTTCTGAAGCATTTCTCTTCCAGGAGGAAGAACCCTTTGAGAGCTCCAGTGAAGAAGAGTTTGGTGGTGAGGACCATCAGAGCCTAAATTCCATTGTTGATGTTGAAGATTTGGGCAAAATTATGGATCATGTGAAGAAAGAAAAGGTACCGTTACTTTGGGAAATGTTGCACTTGGCTCCCGCAGTTGGTTAACATTTAGTATTTCTTTATTACTGTGTAGTCCATCTGAGCTCACAGAGGAGTTTCATTTCTCTAGCTTCTGTCTTGAGAGTTTTATAATTTTTTTGCCATTTTTCATGAGCGTGGTGAGCATCTCCCTTCTCAGGCCTGTGAAAGTCAGCTCATCAGAGGATAAGCAGGAGATTTGAGAACAAGGACTGAGGACATTGTAGATTGGGGGTGTCCAATCTTTTGGCTTTCCTGGGCCACATTGGTAGAAAAAATGTCTTGGGCTACACATAAAATACACTAATGATAGCTGATGAGCTAAAAAAAAAAAATCGCAAAATAAATCTCATAATGTTTTAAGAAAGCTTACAAATTTGTGTTGGGCCAGTGGGCTGTGGGTTGGACAAGCTTGTTGTAGATGGTTAGAGAGATTTTATTCAGGGCTATTTGAAGATGAACAGCATGATAGGATTTATTATGGTTGAGATTCCAAGTGAAACTCCAGTGTAAATTTGCTTCTCTGCTGTATAGACTAAGTGGTGTTGGGGCTTAAGGATGGCAGCCTGGTCTGTGGGTGTGGAGATCAGCATGACTGGGGCCCCTAGGAATCCAGGAAATACCAATCTGGGATGTGACTGTTTCAGTGACTAGATGAATGTGAGAATGTACGATGCAGTAGGATTTCATGCAGATTCCAGTGATCTAAAATTGAAGTAATATTGTGTATACTATACTATAAAAATAACAGCCTCAATTTAACTGTGAGTTTTGGAAAATGAGAATCCCCCAAATTAAAATTATATGTAGTCCATAAGCCTTAAAAAAAAAAGCTACTAGAAAATCCAAGAAAATCAATGCTAAAACCTATACAAATTCAAATGAACTCAGTAAGGTTAGCAGGATATCATAATGTAGAAAGTCAATAGACTTTATATTTCCAAACAATAGCCAGTTAGAAGCTATAGTAAAAGAGAACACCTCATTTAGACTAGCTACATAAAAGATAAATAATTACCTATCGATTAATTTATTTTTTATTTTTTTGAAATGGAGTCTCATTCTGTCACCCAGGCTGGAGTGCAGTGGTGCAATCTCGGCTCACTGCAACCTCTGCCTCCTGGTTTCAAGTGATTCTCCTGCCTCAGCCTCCCGAGTAGCCGGGACTACAGGTGCATACCACCACGCTGAGCTAATTTTTGTATTTTTAGTAGAGACGGGATTTCACCATGTTGGCCAGGCTGGTCTCGAACTCCTGACCTCAGGTGATCTGCCCGCCTTGGCCTCCTGTGGTGCTGGGATTACACACATGAGTTACCACACCTGGCCTACCTACAGATTAATTTAAAAAGAAGTGTCTTAAACCTACGTTGGAAAACTTTAAAACATTCCTGAATGGCATCAAAGTGGACTCGAACAAATGGAAAGACATTCCTTGTTTTAGGTAGAGTGACTCAGAATGGTAAAGATGTCAGTTCTCTTAATATATAAGTTTGATGGAATCCCAATAAAAATTCTAGTAGGTCCTCTAGACTCTTAGATCTAGATTGATCTATTCATGTGGAAAAAATAAACATGGAATAATAGTTATGAAAACCCTGGTGAAAGTAGTGATGAGAAGGATGAGCCACCACACCCAGCCAGGTCTGCCTATTTTTTTTTTTTTGAGACGGAGTCTTGCTCTGTCAAGACTCCCACATATTGAACCATACCACAAGGTATCTCTAATTAAAACTGTAGTACTGGCTCATGATGAGACAAAGACCCTTGCAACAGAATAAAATTCTAAGAATATGTAGGAATTTCATATATATTAAAGGTGGACTCTGAAGACCTGGAGTTTAAAAGGGACTCTAAAAATAAATTATGTTGGCTGAGTGCAGTGGCTCACCCTGTAATCCCAGCACTTTGGGAGGCTGACGTGATGGGAGGATTTCTTGAGGCCAGAAGTTTGGGACCAGGCTCAGCAACATAGTGAAACCCCATCTCTACAAGAAATAAAAAAAATTAGCTAGTTGTAGTGGCATGTGCCCGTAGTCACAACTGCTTGGGAGGCTGAGGTGGAAGGGTTGCTTGGACCTGGGAGTTTGAGGCTGCAGTGAGCTGTGATCATGTCACTGCACCCCGGCCTGCATGACATTGTGAGACCTTGTTTCAAAAAAAAAAAAAAGATGTGAAACGTCTGTTAGCTTGTATATATGTCAGAATAATTTCCAAATGGATGAGCGAGCTAAATGCTGAATGTTGAAAAAATCATATAGATAGTAGAATCAGATGGATTATTGTATAACCTGGAGAAAGCTTTTCTATATGATTCAAAATCTAGAAGCAATAAAAAAAATTAAATTTATGAATGATTTTAAAGTGTTTTACATGACCATAGTAGAATCAGATGGATTATTGTATAACCTGGAGAAAGCTTTTCTGTATGATTCAAAATCTAGAAGCAATAAAAAAATATTAAATTTATGAATGACTTTAAAGTGTTTTACATGGCCATAAGAAAAATCAAAAGGCAAAACAGGAGGAACTATTTGCCTCTTATATCTCAGACAAGGTGTTAATCTTTTTACTATGCAATGAACTCTTTCAAAAAAAGGCAGACCTGCAGGCGCGGTGGCTCACACCTGTAATTCCAGCACTTTGGGAGGTCGAGGCAGGCAGATCACGAGGTCAGGTGATCGAGACCATCCTGGCTAACACGGTGAAACCCCGTCTCTACTAAAAATACAAAAAATTAGCCAGGTGTGGTAGTGGATGTCTGTAGTCCCAGCTACTCGGGAGGCTGAGGCAAGAGAATGGCGTGAACCCGGGAGGCAGAGCTTGTAGTGAGCAGAGATCGCGCCACTGCACTCCAGCCTGGGTGACAGAGCGAGACTCCATCTCAAAAAAAAAAAAAAAGCAGACCTGACTGGGTGTGGTGGCTCATGCTTGTAATCCCAGCACTTTGGGAGGCCGAGGTGGGTGGATTGCTTGAGGTCAGGAGCTTGAGACCAGCCTGGCCAACATGGTGAAACCCCATCTCTACTAAAAAATACAAAAAAAATAAGCTGGGCATAGTGGCGCATATCTGTAGTCCCAGCTACTTGGGAGGCTAAGGCACGAGAATCTTTTGAACCCTGGCGGCAGAGGTTGCATTCAGCTGAGATCATGCTGCTGCATTCAAGCCTGGGCAACAGAGCAAGACTCTGTCTCAAAAAAAAAAAAAAAAAAGGCAGACCTGTCCAGGTGCCGTGGCTCACGCCTGTAATCCCCACACTTTGAGAGGCCAAGGCAGGTGGATCACTTGAGGTCAGGAGTTCGAGACCAGCCTGACCAACATGGTGAAACCCCGTCTTTTCTGAAAATGCAAAATTAGCTGGGTGTGGTGGCGCATGCCTGTAATTCCAGCTGACCAAAAACCTAGTAGAAAAAGTTGGCAAAACACACGAATAAGAATTTCTCAGAAATGGCTCTACAAAGAGATTTAAACATGAAAAGATGCTTAACTTTACTCATAATAAGAGAAATACAAATGAAAACTACACTGATAAACATTTCTCGCCTTTCAGAATATAATAACAAAACTCCAAAGCTGGATGACATACTCAGTTAGGCGAGGCTGTGAGTAAACAGGCACTCATACCTTGCAGGTGGGAGTCCAGGATGGTCTAGCCTGTATGGAAGGGCTTTTGACAGTTTTTACCAAAATCACATATGCATTTATCCATGATCCAGCAGGCCCAGTTGTATGAATTTGCCTTAAAGATACAGCTTCATTAATGCAAAACAGCATTTCCACAGGCTTATGCATTGCAGCATACATAGCAAACAACTCTGTCGAATACTGGTTGAAAAAAGCATGGTATATCCACACAATGGAATATTGTTGTGTGGCTCTGAATAACACTATGGTGGATTGATATGCATTAATGTGATTTCCAAGTGGTGTTGGATTTTATTTGGACGCTGATATGGACTTTTTTTTTTTTTTGAGACGGAGTCTCGCTCTGTTGCCCAGGCTGGAGTGCAGTGGCGCAATCTCGGCTCACTGCAAGCTCTGCCTCCTGGGTTCACGTCATTCTCCTGCCTCAGCCTCCCGAGTAGCTGGGACTACAGGCGCCTGCCACTGCGCCCAGCTAATTTTTTGTATTTTTAGTAGAGACGGGGTTTCACCGTGGTCTTGATCTCCTGACCTCGTGATCACCCACCTCGGCCTCCCAAAGTGCTGGGATTACAGGCGTGAGCTACCGCGCCCGGCTGGCTGATATGGACTTAAGATTTAAAAAAATGATGTGGACTTAAGATTTAAAAAAATGTGCATTTATATTTGCAAACTTAGTTAAATATGTGTGTGTGCGTGTGTGTGTGTGTGTGTGTGTGTGTGTGTGTGTATATATATATATATATAAATAGTATTTTCTAGCTGGGTTCACTGAAAGACTTTGCATGTTCTGACATCGATCTCTGGCACCAAATGGGTATCCTGTAGTTCAATTCAATTCTGATATATCCTACCCAGAGTTAGTGTCTGACTGGACAGGTTTAGGGCAGAGTCCTATAGAAGACTGCCCTGACTTCAGATACCTGCTGGAAGTCTCACGGCTATCTACTTTTTTGCCGGAATGACTCACAGAACTCCCTGAAAGCACTATAGTTAAGATTGCAGGTTTGTTTTTTGTTTTTTGATGTTTTTGAGACAGAGTCTCACTCCTTCATCCAGACTGAAGTGCAGTGGTGTGATCACGGCTCACTGCAACCTTGAACTCCTGGGCTCAAGGGATCCTCCCATCTCGGCCTCCTGAGTAGCTGGGACTACAGACACGCACCACCACGCCAAGGTCATTTTAAATTTCTTTCTAGAGACAAGGTCTCACCATGTTGCCCAGGCCGATCTAGGTTGCAGTTTTATTATAAAGGCCACAGATCAGAAACGGTCAAATGGAAGAGATACTCTCGGTCAAGGAAGAGATACTCTGGGGAGTGGGCATGAGGAAGAGACACAGAGCTTCTGTGTCCTGTCCTCTTGGAATCCAGGCACATCAGTGTGTTCCTCAACCAGGAAGCCCCACTGAGCTTCAGTGTCCAGGGTTTTTATTGGTATCCCATCATGCAAGCAAGATTGGTTAAATCATTGGGCAGTTGATTAAGCTGAATCTCCAGTGTATTTCCTTTTCTCAAAGGTCAGGCTGGCCCTAAATTCTAATCCTCTAATCACTGGTTTCTTTCTGGTGATCAGCCTTCATCCTGAATCTATTACTTAGGAAATGCCAAGGTTTTTTGAAGCTGTGTACCAAGAACCAGGGTCAAAGGTCAGATATATATGGCTGGGTGTGGTGGCTCATGCCTGTAATCCCAGCACTTTGGGAGGCTGAGGCAGGCGGATCACCTGAGGTCACGAGTTCGAGACCAGCCTAACCAACATGATGAAACCCCATCTCTATTAAAAAAATACAAAAATTAGCTGGGCGTAGTGGTACGTGCCTGTAATCCCAGCTACTCAGGAGGCTGAGGCAGGAGAATCGCTTGACCCCAGGAGGTGGAGGTTGCAGTGAGCCAAGATTGCACCATTGTACCATGACTGGCCCAGATATATTCTTTATTGTGCCACAGACCCAGAAATAATCAATGTACTAAGCACTCAGATCTTGTTTTTCTGAATAGCATTCCTTATGATAAAGGGCTGGTTTCAGGACTGGTGAAAGAAGGGTAACAGATGAGCCCTGGGACATCTTACTGAACAAGTGGGGCCTCAGAGACTTATGGACACCTGCCAAAAAGACGTAGGAACCAACTCGAAGGGTTTCTTACAGGCCAAACTTGGAACAATTAGAGCTTCAAAAAGATGAATGAACGTAATAGATTACATTACATCAAATTAAAAAAAAAATTAGTTGGCCTGGCACGGTGGCTCATGCCTGTAATCCCAGCACTTTGGGAGACCGAGGTGGGTGGATCACCTGAGGTCAGGAGTTCAAGACCAACCTGGCCAACATGGTGAAACCCTGTCTCGACTAAAAATTAGCTGGGCGTGGTGGCGCATACCTGTAATCCCAGCTACTCGGGAGGCTGAGGCAGGAGAATCACTTGAACCCGGGAGGCGGAGCTTGCAGTGAGCTGAGATTGCGCCATTGCACTCCAGCCTAGGCGACAGAGCGAGACTCCATCTCAAAAAAAAAAAAAAAAAAATCAGTCTGTGTGCGGCTCAAACAGGAGGCGTGTTGTGTAGGAGAAGGCTTCTAGATACTAACTATGTAAGGCATGAGAGAATTAGAAAATCAGCTGTTTGCAATTCCTAGTGTAATAATTGATTTAAGCAAGGATTCAGCCGGGTATGGTGGCTCACGCCTGTAATCCCAGTACTTTGGGAGGCCGAGGTGGGCGGATCACCTGTGGTCGGGAGTTCGAGACCAGTCTGGCCAACATAGTGAAACCCCGTCTCTACTAAAAATACAAAAATTAGCCAGGCGTGTTGGCACACACCTGTAGTCCCAGCTACTGGGGAGGCTGAGGCAGGAGAGTCACTTGAACCTGGAAGGCGGAGGTTGCAGTGAGCTGAGATTGCACCATTGCACTCCACCCTGGGCAACAGAGCAAGATTCCTTCTCAAAAACAAAACAAAACAAAACAAATTGGTTTAAGCAAGGATTGTGTGAAATGTCTTTGGGGAATAGATACTCAGTGTCTCAAAATATCATCCCACAAACTAAACCAACTAGAAATGAGGAATGAGTGGGGAAAACCCCCCACATATTAGTTTCTAATTACAGAGGGAACAATGTGCCTTTACAAATGGAGAGATCAGGTGATTCCCACCTACACCAACCAACCAAATTTAGCATCATCATTTCTACTAAAATGTGACCCATGTTCCTGCTGATATGATGTATAGCAAGACACATACACATCATCTCTGTAGTTTCTCGTCAAAAAATGTTTAGCTTGAATCTCATCATGGGGAAACAATGAGACAAATCCAGTATTTGCCACAAGCCTTTTAGACTTTGTAAATGTCAATATCATAAACAATAACAACAAAAAAACATGGTGAGGCGATAACCATTCTAGGATTAAAAGAGACGATGAGAAAATCCAAAAGCATTTTGTAAATTTTAGTCTTGGATCAAAGAGAAAAGACCATTGTCTGGACATTTTGGGAAATTTGCAGTGGATTTTTTTGTTGTATTTTTATTTTATTTTTTTTGGAGACAGGGTCTCACTCTGTCACCCAGCCTATTTGTTAGCTGCTGTTTTGGATCTCCGTAGGGTTTGGGAGCAGCTGCGGGGAGGCAGGACAGATAAACAGAAGTAGGAGGCCTGGCGTGCTGAATTGCACATGTAATCCCAGCACTTTGGGAGGCCGAGACGGATGGATCACTTAAGCCCAGGAGTTTGAGACCAGCCTGGGCAACATGGCAAAACCCTGTCTCTACCAAAAATACAAAAACAAAAATTAGCCAGATGTGATGGCGCCTGTAATCTCAGCTACTCGGGAGGCTGAGGTAGGAGAATCGCTTGAGCCTGGGAGGCAGAGGTTGCAGTGAGCTGAGATCGTGCCACTGCACTCCAGTCTGGGCGATGGGAGTTAGACCCTGTCTCAAAGAAAAAAAAGAAAAGTGGGGAAGTTCTTACTTGATCACTGCTGTCATAGAGGTCTTTGTGCTCACTCTCCTAGTCATGTGTTTTGAGTTGACTCTCTTTCCAGGGAATGTTTTCATGGCTTCTTTGGAGATATCTTCCATGACCATCTCCCTGGCAAGTCCCTTGCGCTGAGCAAAATGTACTCTGAGAAGCTGAGAAGTGTACTTGTCTTTCTTTTTCCTTCTTTTTTGAGCCCATTTTCCAGCAGCAGAGAAGTATACCTTTTTTTTTTTTTTTTTTTTTTTTTTTTTGAGACAGAATCTCGCTGTCTCATCCAGGCTGGGGTGCAGTGGCACAATCTCAGCTCACTGCAACCTCTGCCTCCCAGGTTCAAGCGATTGTCCTGTGTAAGCCTCCTGAGTAGCTGCGATTACAGGTGCGTACCACCACGCCCGGCTAATTTTTGTAATTTTAGTAGAGATGGAGTTTCACCATATTGGCCAGGCTGGTCTTGAACTCCTTACCTCAGGCGATCCTCCTGCCTGAGCCTCCCAAAGTGTTGGGATTCCAGGCATGAGCCACTGCACCTGTCCAAGAAGTATACTGATGGCTGCTTAGTCCCTCCTCTGTGCCCTGTCCCTCTGGCTTCTCTTTTGAAGTCTGTCACCTGCTGTCTGCTCTACTTGACCAATGGGTCAGGATCTGAGATCTCCCTTGCCCCCATCCTGCTGTCAGGGGAACACTCCTGAGTTCTTTATTTGGAGGGGACAGGCCAATTCCTACCCAGCAGCAGTGCTCACTTGCTAATGCAAGTAGCTGATCCGTTTGCTTCTGAATTTCCTAGGCGGCAGCCGTACGTCAATCTGTAATCCTCTGAGGGCGGGGGATACAGAGCAACTTCTTTGAGAGGCTGGATTGGCAGTTTTCTTGTGGGGCTAGAGGTAAGAAGCTGACAGCTCCCTGTAGCCTCTCTCCTTTTGAGGGAGTGGAGAGAACTTAAAGTACCTTACCAACATTCTCTAGAGAAATCTTCAAAAACCCTGTCCCATTACCTCCATGCTCTCTACTCTTTCATCTCTGTGATCTGGGGGACCCTTTTTTTTTTTTTTTGAGACGGAGTCTCGCTCTGTTGCCAAGGCTGGAGTGCAGTGGCGTGATCTTGGCTCAGTACAACCTCTGCCTCTGGGATTCAAGCAATTCTCTGCCTCAGCCTCCCGAGTAGCTGGGATTACAGGCGCCTGCAACCATGCCTGGCTAATTTTTATATGTTTAGTAGAGACGAGGTTTCACCATCTTGGCCAGGCTGGTCTTGAACTCCTGACCTTGTGATCTGCCCACCTCGGCCTCCCAGAGTGCTGGGATTACAGGCGTGAGCCACCGTTCCTGGCCAGGGGAGCCATTTTTAATGTTGTAAAACTGTTTCTCAGATATGTCTTTGAAAATTTTTAACTTGATCTGATCTTCTCTTTGTAGTTTCATTTAATTTATTTATTTATTTTTATTTTATTTTTTTTTTTTGAGATGGAGTCTTGCTCTGTTGCCCAGGCCGGAGTGCAGTGATGCGATCTCAGCTCACTGCAACCTCCTCCTTCTGGGTTCAAGCAATTCTCCTGCCTCAGCCTCCCGAGTAGCTGGGATTACAGATGTGTGCCACCACACCTGGCTATTTTTGTATTTTTTTTAGTACAGACGGGGTTTTGCCATGTTGGCTGGGCTGATGTCCAGTTCCTGGCCTCAAGATATCCACCTGCCTTGGCCTCCCAAAGTGCTGGGATTACAGTCGTGAGCCACTGTGCCCGGCCTCCTTTAATTTAAAACCCTGTTGACATGTGTTTTAAAATTTCACAGACAGCAGTCCTCTGTTCCTGTTTTTCCTGGATCCGCTTTTCATAGTAACCACAGTTTTCAGTTTGACAGTATTCTTGCAGGTATTTTATTGCCTTTTATAAACACATTTGTTTTGGTATAATTTTGTTTTTTGGCTACACAAATGGGATCATTTTGTACTCCTGGTCTACAGACTGCTTTTCTTTCGCTTTAACATGACAGCTTTCTGGTCCTGTCATATTAGATGAATTCAATGTAAGGTTCATTTTAAGGTAGTTCGTAATGATGTCCCACAATTTATTTGGCTCTTGTTCATTAACATTCAGGTGTTTTCTCATTTTTGTAATGGATACTCTTGCTCATATTTTTTGTGGCTGATATAAACTTATCCGAAGAATAAATTCCTAAAATTGAAATTCCGGCGTCAAAGGGAGTTTGTAGTTTTGATATTTCCAAATCGCCTTGTGAAAGTTGCAAAGAGTTTCCCATCTGTTTCCATTGTAGAAGAGAAATGAGAGTACCTGTTCTCTACATCTGAGATGTTATCAATCTTTCAAATCTTGTCAATCTGAAAAATAGTAGCTTTGTGTTAATTTGCATTTTTAAAATTTTGAGTGAGATTGGATGCATTTTGTGTTTATTGTTCATTTGCATTTTTTCTTTCTTTTTTCTTTTCATGTGAAACATTTCTTTCTTTTTTTTTTTTGAGATGGAGTCTTGCTCTGTTGCCCAGGCTGGAGTGTAGTAGTGTGATCTTGGCTCACTGCAACTTCCGCCTCCCAGTTTTAAGTGATTCTCCTGCCTCATCCTCCCAAGTAGCTGGGATTACAGGTGCATGCCACCATGCACAACTAATTTGTATTTTTTATAGAGATGGGGTTTCACCATGTTGGCCAGGTTGGTCTCAAACTCCTGGCCTCAAATGATCACCCGCCTCGGTCTCCCAAAGTGTTGGGATTACAAGCGTGAGCCACTGCGCCTGGCCTGAATCATTTCTTTCTGTCTGCCTGAAATTAGACAAACTGCAAGGTCTGAGACCACAGTCTCCAAGACTGCTCCCACTTTTGACACCAGCTACAGATTTGTTGCGGTCCTTAGACCATCCTCAGGTTGATAATTTGCTAGAAAAACGCACAGAGCTCCCTGAAAGCTTTTATACTCAAGGGTATAGTTCATTGTGAGGAAAGGATACAGAAAATCAGCTAAGGGAAGACATGCACAAGGCAATGCCTGGGAAGTTCCATTGTTCTTTTTGTTTGTTTGTTTGAGATGGAGTCTTCCTCTGTTGCCCAGGCCAGAGTACAGTGGCGCCATCTCGCTGACTGCAACCTCTACCTTCCAGGTTCAAGCGATTCTCCTGCTTTAGCCTCCCGAGTAGCTGGGACTACAGGTGCATGCCACCATGCCCAGCTAATTTTTTGTGTTTTTAGTAGAGACGAGGTTTCACCGTGTTAGCCAGGATGGTCCCGATTTGCTGATCTTATGATCCGCCCACCTTGGCCTCCCAAAGTGCTGGGATTACAGGCGTGAGCCACTGTGCCCGGCCGGTTCTATTGTTCTTAAGTCCAAGGCTCCCATTGTCCTCAGATCAGAATGGTTTTGATATTTCCTTTTTTTTTTTTTTTTGAGGTTTAGCATCAGTCTTTAATGCTGTCGCGCTGCATCGACAACTCACACACTTTGGTGTCATGTTGGCAGTGGCAACTTATAATGAGTCTAAAAGTCTGAGCACCAGACTGGGCTCCAGGGAATAGACATTTGTTCCAACTCCCCCTCCCTCCCCAAGGTTTCTTCGGAATCCTATTATGGCCCTATACAGAGAAGAGTGGCTGCTGGGGACTGGTATTATGTGAGTGCATACCAATTATACATGGGATTATAAAAACATGTTTACAGACGTTCCATAGCGCTCCTCTAATCAGAAGCAAAGACCCTTTTATCAAAAGAGATTATATCTAGGGCTGTGCACAATTCAAAAGGATCAGATCCCTTTGAAACAGTCCATAGTCCATGAAACAAAAATTACCTGGGCCACTGGTAAGCCCCAGGTGTGCCAAGATTCTTTACAGAAATGGAAAGAGTGTGACCCATAAAGTGAGGACATTCAGCTTCACTAGAGCCAGAGGTCAGGAGGGCCCCTTGCTGGGGCCAGGCTCCCAGACCCTCAAGGGAGAGGTGACCGCACTTGCTGGAGTCACTCACTGGAGGCTGGCTCCCTTGGTCGTGCTGGAACAAGAGGTATTGCTTGTGGGTGCCAGCCAGGCAGTTCTGCAGGAATAGTTTAGGATTTCAATTTGAGATGGCCAAAGAGAAGACAGGATTCTTCAGCGGAAAAGGAAGACATGAGAGACAAATAGAGAATAAACCATGAACTGGTCACACAACAGAAGCTGAGTTGTGTACAGGGTCTGGCAGCCAAGGCAGCAGGTTGACATCATTTACCAGCCAGAAGCAAAGAGACTACAGAGGGATCAAGTGCAGCTGCTGGGCAGGGACTGGAGGGAGGAGGGTGTGGGCCCATCCTGGGAGGGCTGCCAGACCCAGTGGGGCAGACCAGCAGCTGGTGACAGACGTCAGCCACTGTGCCTGGCCCAGTTTTTATTGAGCCTTCATTAGCTAGGCATGATTGATTAATTGATTGCCTCTGTGGTAAGGCTCAGTCTTGAGCACCCCCTCTTCCTCCTGAATTTTGGGCTGATACCACATTGCCCTAGGGGTCCGCCATGAGACACCTAATTAGCATAAAATATCAGATGTAGTCTGAAGGGCTCACCATGAGTAACAAAGATACTCCTAGCCGGGCGCAGTGGCTCACACCTGTCATCCCAGCATTTTGGGAGGCCGAGGCAGGTGGATCACCTGACGTCAGGAGACCAGCCTGACCACCATGGTGAAACCCCATTTCTACTAAATAAAAAAAAGAATTAGCCAGGCGTGGTGGTGCATGCCTGTAATCCCAGCTACTTGGGAGACTAAGGCAGGAGAATCCCTTGAACCCAGAAGGCGGAGGTTGCAGTGAGCCAAGATTGCACCATTGCACTCCAGCCTGGGCAACAAGAGCGAAACTCCGTCTCAAAAAAAAAAAAAAAAAAGATAATCCTATCACTTGAGAATGTTCAAGGATTTAGAGGTTAATTTTCCAGGAGCTGGGGACAAAGGCTAGACATCTTATTCTTTATTGTACACTGTGTTTCATCTATTTTTATATTGGATTATTTGGTTTCTTTTGTAAAGCTTATCATAAAAAAATATCCCAGGCTGGGTGCGGCGACTCTGCCTGTAATCCCAGCACTTTGGGAGCCTGAGGTGGGAGGATTGCTTGAGCCCGGGAATTTGAGACCAGCCTCGGCAACATAGCAACACTGTCTCTATTAATAAAAAAAATTTAAAAAATACTGTGATGAATATAATACTCTAACATTATAGTTATTTTCTAAATTTAAAATTAGCATCTTTCTCTTGTTTTAGCATTTTGTTACTTACTTCCTAATACATGTCATGTGTCCTTAATCCAAAAGTCTGAAATCCAAAATGCTTCAAAATATGAAACTTTTTGAGTCCTGATATGACATTCAAAGGAAATGCTCGGGCCGAGCTTGGTGGCTCATGCCTATCATCCCAGTACTTTGGGAGGCCGAGGCGGGCAGATCACCTGAGGTCAGGAGTTCGAGACCAGCCTGGCTAACATGGTGAAACCCTGTCTCTACTAAAAAAATATAAAAATTAGCCTGGCGTGGTGGCAGATGCATGTAGTCCCAACTACTCAGGAGGCTGAGACAGGAGAATTGCCTGAACTTGGGAGGCAGGGGTTGCAGTGAGCCTAGATTACGCCACTGCACTCCAGCCTGGGTGACAGAGTGAGACTGTCTCAAAATAAATTCACGTCCACACCAGGCCGGGCTTGGTGGCTCATTCCTGTAATCCCAGAACTTTGGGAGGCTGAGGTGGGTGGATCTCTTGACCCCTGGAGTTTGAGACCAGCCTGGGCAACATAGTGAGACCCTTGTCTCTACAAAACATAAAAAGTTAGCTGGGCATGGTGGCTGGTACCTGTGGTCCCAGCTACTTGGGAGGCTGAGGTGGGAGGATTGTTTGAGCCTGGGAGGTCAAGGCTGCAGTGAGCTATGATCGCACCACTGCACTCCAGCCTGGACAACAGAGTAAAACCTTGTCTCCAAAATACAAACATGTGGCCAGGCATGATGGCTCACACCTGTAATCCCAGCACTTTGGGAGGCTGAGGCAGGCAGATCACCTGAGGTCAGGAGTTCGAAACCAACCTGGCCAACATGGCGAAACCCCGTCTCTACTAAAAATATAAAAATTAGCCGGGTATGGTGGCGCATGCCTGTAGTCCCAGCTACTCGGGAGGTTGAGACAGGAGAATCGCTTGAACCCCAGAAGCAGAGGTTGCAGTGAGCCAAGATTGTGCCACTGCACTCCAGCCTGGGCAACACAGCAAGACTCCATCTCAAAAGCAAAACAAAACAAACAAAACAAAGGAAATACTCATTGGAGCAGTTCGGATTTTGGCTTTGAAGATTTGGGATGCTCAACTGTTAAGCAAAATGCAAGTATTTGAAAATCTAAAAAAAATTGTGAAATCTGAAAAACTTCTGATCCCCTAAGCATTTCAGCTAAAGCTACTCAACTTGTACTTCCATGTGGCCATGTGGTCTTTGTCATTTTTAGTAGCTTTTGTATTTTGAAGCCCGGGAAGAGGAGCTATTAAGAATGACAAGTAGGCCGGGTGCAGTGGCTCACTCCTGTAATCCCAGTCCTTTGGGAGGCTGAGACGGGCAGATCATGAGGTCAGGAGATCAAGACCATCCTGGCTAACACAATGAAACCCCATCTCTACTAAAAAATACAAAAATATTAGCCAGGTGTGGTGGCAGGCACCTGTAGTCCCAGCTACTCGGGAGGCTGAGGCAGAAGAGTGGCATGAACCCAGGAGGTGGAGCTTGCAGTGAGCCGAGATCCCGCCACTGCACTCCAGCCTGGGTGACAGTGTGAGACTCCGTCTCAAAAAAAAAAAAAAGAATGACAAGTAGATGGAATATGGGTACAAGGTCTGGTCCAGCCAGATTGTAACTTGGTGATCTAAAGGTACAGTTTAACCTTCCCTAGCTTTAATCTCCTTTCCTGAGGAACATAGAGTTGTTGTATATGAAAGTGCTTTATAATCTTGAAAAGCCCGACAGACATTGAAATGAGCATTTTATTATTTTTTTAATTACTTTTTTTTTTTTGAGACAGAGTCTCACTCTGTCATCAGGCTGGGGTGCAGTGGCGCGATCTCGGCTCACTGCAGCCTCTACTCCCTCTTTCAAGTGATTGTTCTGCCTCAGCCTCCTGAGTAGCTGGGACTACAGGTACGTGCCACCACGCCCAGCTAATTTTTGTATTTTTAGTATAGACGGGGTTTCACCGTGTTGGCCAGGATGGTCTTGATCCATTGACCTTGTGATCCACCTGCCTTGGCCTCCCAAAGTCCTGGGATTACAAGCATGAGCCACCATGCCTGGTCTATTTTTTTTTTTTGAGATGGAGTCTCACTGTGTCACCTAGGCTGGAGTGCAGTGGTGCAATCTTGGCTCACTGCAGCCTCCGCCTCCTGGGTTCAAGCAGTTCTCCCATCCCAGCCTCCCGAGTAGCTAGGATTACAGGCATGTGCCACCATGCCTGCCTAATTTTTGTATTTTTTGTAGAGATGGGGTTTTTACCGTGTTGGCCAGGGTAATTTTGAACTCCTGACCTCAAGTGATCCGCCCGCCTTGGCCTCCCAAAGTGCTAGGATAGCCACCGGGCCTGGCCTTGCTTAAACATTTAAAATTTGCTTATACATTTTCTTAGAGTTGGTCATTTGATGTGCTTTCAAGTTTTCTGCTCTTATAATTAACACTGGTCTGAGACCTTTCTTACTTTTGAAAAATGTATGAATGTTTTCCTACATTTACACATTCCCCATATTGATATACTGGGTCAACGTGAATGTGTAATGTTATGACTCTTAATTAAAAATCTGAGTAATTTTCATTGGTGAAATTGTCTGAAAATGATGCATGTGATAGCTGATTGAGAGATTTTTGTATTTTCTACCAGGTTAAGCTTTATTTAAAAGCTTTGTTTAGCAGGGCGCAGTGGCTCATGCCTGTAATCCTAGCTCTTTGGGAAGCCTAGACAAGTGGATCGCTTGAGCTCAGGAGTTTGAGACCAGCCTGGGCAACATGACGAAACCCTATCTCTACGAAAAATACAAAAATTAGCTGGGGGTGATGGTGCGTGCCTATAATCCCAGCTACTGGGAGGCTGAGGTGGGAGGATTGCTTGATCCCAGGAGGCGGAGGTTGTAGTGAGCCGAGATCACGCCACTGCACTCCAGCCTGGGTGACAGAGTGAGACCCTATCTCAAAAAAAAAAAGAAAAAGAATTTAAAAACTTTGTTTATAGTGGGTGAAGAGTTTGGGATAATTTGTGGGTATGTAATTTTCTTTGCTTTTTCATCTTATGGCCATTAGAGGGCACTGGAGAAAACACTAATGAAGATTTCAGACATCCATGTACATTATTTTTTTGAAATGAAATGATTTTGGGCTTTATGAGCTTTAAGCAGCTGGTTTATGATATTTCAGATTTCTCATAAAAATCTCTCATAAAATCATCAGGTCTTTGGGAAAAATACGTGTTTTTTCCCAATTTTGGTATGACACAAAATAAGCTACCAGTTTTCATTTTTCATGATTGTTAGGTTACAGCAGGGTGTTCAAATAGATCTTGTTTTCGATTTCTATGGGATATGGGATACTAAACTTGGCATTGGAGGTTTTTACTGCTTGGCTTTTCTTTTTCTTTTCTTTTTCTGGCATTTTGTTTTTTCTTTTCTTTTTTTTGAGACAGTCTTGCTGTGTTGCCCAGGCTGGAGTGCAGTGGCACAATATCATCTCATGGCAGCCCCCGCCTCCCGGGTTCATGCAATTCTGCCTCAGCCTCCCCAGTAGGTGGGATTATAGCACCCGCCACCACGCCCGGCTAATTTTTGTATTTTTAGTAGAGACAGTGCCTCGCCATGTTGGCCAGGCTGGTCTTGAACTCCTGACCTCAGGTGATCCACCTGCCTCAGCCTCTCGAAGTGCTGGGATTACAGGTGCAAGCCACTGAGCCTGGCTTTTTCTGGCATTTTCTTTGGGGCTGGCTCACACATTCCCCGAATGCTTTCCGCGTGATCATCCATGACACACCACATGAAATTGCCTTAGTTGTTACTGTCGAGGGAAGTAGTACGTGCCAGTGCTTAAGAGTTGGGTCGAAGCACTGTCATTGTAAGACTGGTTTTTGAGTAATACTCACTAACTTTCATGGAGTCATACGTCTCAGCTTGTGTATCTGGACAAATTATTTTACCCCTCTGTGCTTCCGTTTTCTCATTTGTAATGTGGGAGATAACAGTATCTGCCTTATAAAGTTCTTATGTAGATTGAAAAAGTTAATCCAGCCGCATTGTATTTTCTTGTATAGTAGTTAATATATTTTTTATATAATAACATTATATTCTAATTCTATTAGAATTAATGTATAATTATATTAGAATTATATAATTATATTAGAATTAATATATAATTATATTAGAATTATATAATTATATTAGAATTATATAACAATTATATAATTAGAATTAGAATATAATTTTAACTAATTATTCTGATATAATTATATATTATTAGTATAATATATAATTAGAATTAGAATATAATATTAACTAATTATTTCAATATAATTAGAATTAGAATATATTAACTATAATAGTTAATAATTAGCTTATATAAGTATATGTCTTCAAATAGGATAGATTTGGTCCTACCAAAACACCACCTTGGTATTCTACCTCCCTCCCTCTGTAGTACTATTTAAGACTTCTTCTAGGACTGAAGATAATTTGAAGTATGAGAGTGGTTTCTAAGAACTAGAGCACTAAAGTTTGAAACACTGGAATGTTAGGGAGACAGATGGAGATATGGGAGGAATAGGGTGTTAGGGGTGGCATGTTTGGGGAACCCTAAACAGTTTGGTGTGCCTAGAGTTGACTGGGGGTAGGGATATTTGGAGCTGTGACATAGAGAAGGAAGATGGGGTAGGATCCTAGAGGCTTCTCAAGTCCTGCAGTGGAGGGGGCTGAGCTTTCTCCTGAAGGCAGTGGGAGGCAATGTGATTTGATTGAATTGGAGAATGGGTTAGCGGGTGTGGGGAGAGAGGAGAGTTCCAGTGTAGGTTTAAAATATTAGGAGGCCGGGTGCAGTGGCTTATGCCTGTAATCCCAGAGCTTTGGGAGGCTGAGGCTGGTGGATCACCTGAGGTCTGGAGTTCAAGATCAGCCTGGCAAACATGGCGAAACCTCATTTCTACTAAAAATACAAAAGTTAGTGGGATGTGGTGGCACACGCCTGTAATCCCAGCTACTCGGGAGACTGAGGCAGGAGAATCGCTTGAACCTGAGAGATGGAGGTTTCAGTGAGCAGAGATTGTGCCTCTGTACTCCAGCTTAGGCAACAGCCTGAGACAACCCTGTCTCAAAAAATAAAGGAAAAAAGGAGAAATCAAAATACATACTAGATTATCTCACTCAATCCTCACAGTGACCTTGAGATGATCAAACTATTATCATCTGCAATTTACCATTTAACAGATAGCAACTGAGGCTTAGTTTAAGCAATTTGTCCATCGTCAGTTGGCTGGTAAGTTGACAGGCTCAAGCCTGGACTCCATCTGTCTGTGTCACTCCTCTTGGCTGCTTCCCCAGGGAGGAGTGGTTCTCAGAAGAGAAGCTGTAGTGTTTAGAGAACCATGAGTCAGGAGGAGCCTGATAATTTTTATATTGTTTATTTTCTCTTTCTCTTATGTTGTGGTTTGTAAATGTAAAGCCCATTGCTACTTTTTTTTTTTTTTTTCCTGCAGTAAATAAATGTTGCTAAATAATCCCCACAGCAATGTTCTGGCTAAGCAGACAAACACTAACATCAGCATCATTAATTTTGGAAATAAATGGCAAATGCTTGACAGTTACTCACTGGAGAAACATTTCCATTTGCCAGCTATTTAAATTGCAGAAGGATCTCAGTATGTCCAGTTCTGATTATAAATTTCTGTTGGTATTGCAGTGGAATAACAGGAAGCTAGTTTCAGAATTATTTTTAAGGCTTTGGAGTGTTTACTTCACCTAGAAACAAGAGGTGATATCCTTTCAACCCCAATACACTGCCCTTAAACCATCTTGACTCACCATGGTCTCTGTAGCTAGGAGCACTTAGCAATGAGTCCCCATGTTATCTTGTTAAGGTAGGTTATCCAAAATAGAATTACGGTGTCAGAGTAAAGCTCTTGACACGCTTGGGCACGCTGCTTTTCCACCAGTTCAAAAGGCATTTTTAGAACTCAGTATATACAAAAGCTTTGCGTAATGGTGAAAATTGGTCATTTTAAAACTGAACCATGACTAGTGAGTGATATCTTGGAGATTCATTTATTAAAGAAATAGGAATCTAAATGTGGGGTTAAATTGCAGCAAAAGTTATTAAATATTAATAATTTAATTTTTTACTGTGATTCCTTTTCAGTGATATAATTTTTATTAGTTTAGATTAATATTAAAACTCTACTTCATGTATAATTAAGCATGAATAAGAGTTTTTTTTTTTTTTTTTTTGAGATGAAGTCTTGCTTTGTTGCCCAGGTGTGATCTTGGCTCATTGCAACCTCTGCCTGCTAGGTGCAAGTGATTCTTCTGCCTCAGCCTCCTGAATAGCTGCGACCACAAGCGCATGCCACCACGCCTGGCTAATTTTTGTATTTTCAGAAGAGATGGGTTTCATCATGTTGGCCAGGCTGTTCTAGAACTCCTGACCTCAAGTGATCTGCCCGCCTCAGCCTCCCAAAGTGCTGGGATTACAGGTGTGAGCCACCACGTCCGACCTGAGTTTTTAATATTGAAAGTTACCAGGCTTAGAATTAGTTACTAAAAGAAGTATGGTCTAAGTTTCCGGGTCTGGAAATAGCTGTCTGATAGTTTTGAGGCATTTCTTCATTTATTCAACCAACATTTACTGAAGGCCCATCCTGTGCTGGCATGGCTCCAGGCCTAGCCAGGTTGACTGTCTAGAAAAATGACCTCTAGAGAATTTGGGCGTTCTGTAGCCAATCTTCTCTTTTTCTTTTCTTTGAGACAGAGTCTGTTGCCCAGGCTGGAGTGCGGTGGCACCATCTCGGCTCACTGCAACCTCTGCCTCCTGGGTTCAAGTGATTCTCGTGCCTCAGCCTCCCCAGTAGCTGAAATTATAGGCCTTTGCCACCATGCCCGGCTAATTTTTGTATTTTTAGTAGAGATGGGGTTTCACCATGTTGGCCAGACTGGTCTCAAACTGCTGACCTCAGGTTATCCACCCACCTCCACCTCCCAAAGTGCTAGGATTACAGACGTGAGCCACCACACCCGGCCAAGCCAACCTTTTCTATAGGAATTGATAAGAAAAGGAATCACTTGATGGTAAAAAAGGATCAAACAATCAGAAAGACTCTTTCCCAGGAGAAATGTATGTTTTGGTAAGAAAAAGCTTGTTTGTTGTAAAACTCATGTTTGTCAGTTTCCAACTATATAGCATTTTACCTTAAAGTCTTCAGCAAATCAGGTTTTGGCCTTGTTTTTATCCTAGGCAAAATTGGGTGGTACTGTGGTTTCTGGGATGATGGTATCAAAATGAATTAAGTGGTATCGTATGATTTTTTTTTTAAATTTTTTTTATTTTTAGAGACAGGGTCTTGCTTTGTAACCCATGCTAGAGTGCAGTGGTGTGATCATAGCTCACCACAGCCTTGAACTCCTGTGCTCAAGTGATTCTGCCACCTCAGCCTCCCAAGTAGCTCAGATGACAGGCACATGCCACCACACCTGGCTAATTAAAAAAAAATTTTTTTTTTGTAGAGCTGAGATCTCACTATGTTGCCCAGGCTGGTTTCCAATTCCTTGGCTCAACCAGTCTTCCTGCCTTGGCCTCTAAAAGTCCTGGGTTTACAGGCATGAGCCACTGTACCCAACCAGTATCGTATGATATTTAAAACAAAAACAAACAAAAAACATTAGCACCACTGCTTTATTACTATTATTCTGTAAGATTCATGTAGTCCTGTCAGTTTATAAAGAACGTTTTGTGTATTCATTGCCATTTTCATAAGTGCTTAGGAAGTTAGCTCATAATTGCCTTTCCTGGTTGCATGTCAGGCCACTGCAGCTTGGCGAGGACATGAGTTTTCTTTCAAGGCAAGTGTGATGGGTATGGGAGATGGGAGGAGTGGAAGTAGAGGTTGGAGACAGGGAGGCCATTTAGTTTGGCTTTTGCCATTGTCCCTTAGGAGAAATCAAGGCCGTGGACAAGAATGGTGGCATTGTAGATGGAGAGAACAGTTATGTTGGGAAATGAAACCCTAGAACTGTTTTACTGGGCAATGGGCTCACTGCTGGATGTATATAGAAGCCAATACTGTGGCACTGGCTTTTAAAAAAAGAAAGGCTTTATTGGGAGTCGACTGGCAAGGAGATAGGAAGAAACACTCAAATCTGTCTCCCTGAGTTAGAGGCTGGGGCAGGTTTTATAGGCAGAGGGATTAATATGAGGCAGTATAATTAGTGAAGTGTGATCTGATTGGATCTTGCAACGAAGTGAAGCCAGGAGGTGTGATTTGATTGGAGCATGCCGTGAGGTGATGCCAAGACATGATCTGATTGGCGCATGCCCTGAGGTGATGCCGAGGCTTGCTTCTTAATTCTCTCTTTTCCCTGATCCGAGCCCTTTGGTTCTGCTTGTGGTTGACTTTTTAGTTCTGATTGCCTCTGGTATCACGCATTGGGCACACTGGGTTCATCTGTGCTCGAGTTACCTGACCTACAACCTGGGGGTTCGTGGCAACTGAAATACAACTTACTAGTTTACTACACATAATTGAACCAGATTGGGCTAGTTATGTGGTTACAGAACTTGGCCACTCATCTTTAAATGGGATGGTACAGGAGAGGAAGAAATCAAGGTTGGCTGATTCTGGGATCTTATTTATTTCTGTTTAGGCCATGTAACAGCTATAAATGAATAAATACACAAAAATATATGGATCTTACATGGTTGTTATATTGTTACATTCTGGGCAGAGAGTAAACAATGTCTGCACCTAGCAGATTAGAGTTAGAATTTGAATGGTGCATTCAACTCCCTTGCGGAGTGTTATAAACCATTACATTTCTTTTCAGAAACGAAATTACTACTGCATATGGAGGATAGGACTGAGCTGCCTTAGTGGGAAGGAGTGATGAATTTTGTTTGTCCTGAGTGCTCAAGACTTTTAATCATTGCCCTTATGACTGACTCTGGGGTTGCAACACTCACATTTTATAATAGATACTTTCTCTAGTGAAGGGACAGGGACAGTATTCCATGGCCGTCCTTTGGAGTCTGTTCATTTTGTAGGGGACAGAAGTCTCTGTTTAAAACCCCAAGAAGGTGTCTGTGGAGCTTTGGGCATAGTGGTCAGAGGCCAGTGTCATGGACCTCGGTCCAGTTTTGGATTTATCTGGCCTTTGGGTTAAGCAAATAAGCTGGTGATGTTTTGTGGTGACAGAGGCTTTTGAGGGCAAATACTGCCATGTCTTATCAATTTTTTACATGATTTGTAGAGGAATTATAAAGACTTGCTATAGAATTGCTTCAGATAATTTAAATGCTTTCAAGGTTGAGATTTTTTCATTTTGCTTCACCACAAGACTTCTTTATCAAGCTCACACCTTTGCTTTTAGATTAAAAAAAACAAAGCAAACTACTTGGGTAGCTGAGGCGGGAGGGTCGCTTGAGCCCAGGAGTTTGAGACCAGCGTGGGCAACATAGCGAGACTTCATCTCAGAAAACAAAAGGCAAAGGATTCCTTCTATTTTAAACTATCTTAATAAAATAATAACTGGAGCCTTTTTATTTGTATAAAAGGCCTAGCATTAAGCTAATTACATTTATTATAAGAACAAATGATCAATGTTTGTTTATGAATTTTTTCAGCTCCATCCAGTAATGTGTAATTAAGAACCCTATTACTGGAAGCAAAAATGTTCATTTGCCTTGCATTTTGATTATATTTAGTAATTTGGAATGCTGACTTTTAGGACAGATAGGACTTAATGCGACTTTTTTTTTTTTTTCTCATTTGGTACATTTGATTCTCTAAAGTACTTTTTTCACTGATCTCCTATTTCAGAGCATGTCCCTGAAGTAACAGAGAATGTAGAGATATTGACTCCAAATTTCACTTACTTTCTGTGAGTGTCAATTTTTTTTTTTTTTTTTTTTTTTTTTGAGGCAGAGTCTCTGTCGCCCAGGCTGGAGTGCAGTGGCACAGTCTTGGCTCACCGTAACCTCCGCCTCCCGGGTTCAAGTGATTCTCCTGCCTCAGCCTCCCTGGTAGCTGGGATTATAGGTGCCCGCCACCATGCCTGGCTAATTTTTGTATTTTTAGTAGAGACAGGGTTTCCCCATGTTGGCCAGGCTGGTCTCGAACTCCTGACCTCAGGTGATCCACCTGCCTCGGCCTCCCATAGTGCTCGGATTATAGGCGTGAGCCAACGTGCCCAGCCACATATGGGGGACATTGAATGTTCTCAAAAGTACACAGAGTGATATAGTGAATTCTTATTACCTATTGCCTGGCCTCATCAACCAGCAACTTATGGGCCATCCTCCCCTAGGTACCCTTTGTATACCCCTTTCTGTTTTAGTTTGAAGCAAATGTCAGACCTCATCTGTGAGATATTCTCATGTTAAAGTAGAAATGGTGTTACGGTGAGTCCATTCACTTATTCACCTGGGGGCTGGATGGCTGGACATTTAAAATAGACAGGGACCAAGGGTGGGCTGGGGCTTGGTGGTAGGGCCACTGCCTGGATGAGTTATTGTGAATTTCTGCAGCTGTCAGTAAGATTTGATGAGTATCTCCCCTAAAGTGTAACACAGATCTCGTGTGTTGTCTCTGAAATTATTACTCAGCACTCTGCCATTCCCAAAAAGATAGGGAGATATCCCTAAAAATGTACACAAATAAACTTTTAAAAAGAGAAGAAGAAATCAGTGGAAAGAGTGAATGAGGGTCATCTTGTCATATCAAGCCAGTTACAATGAATAGAAGACCAACATGCTGCAAGGTTTTGTAACAGTAATCAAAGGTGTGCTGGTGAAATTTCCTGGTGGCCAAAGTCAACAGGAAACACAATTATTTTTATATTATCCTTTGGATTTCTTAAGTGTTTCTTTTTCTATCACTGAAGAAAAATATCCTGCATAGGATCTTCTAGAAGTAGACATTGGCCAGCAGTTTCAGACCAGCCTGGCCAACATGGCGAAACCCTGTCTATACTAAAAATACAAAAAAATTAGCATGCCTGTAGTCCCAGCTACTTGGGAGGCTGAGGCATGAGAATTGCTTGAACCCGGGAGGTGGTGTTTGCAGTGAGCCAAGATCGTGCCATTGCACTCTGGCCTGGGTGACAAAGCGAGACTCTGTTTCAAAAAATAAAATAAAGGAGAAGGAACCATTGGGATGGCTGTTGGTGGTAGTGGGATAACTTGGTCTCTGAGCCGATGGCTCTCAGGGTGGCTTAGAGTACTTTTTTCATTTGTTTTTGGGGTTTAGAGATGTAATACCAGCAGCAGCTCTAATTTATTGAACGCCTATTGTACATCAGGGGTTGTGCTGTGATTTTATTGCATTTAACCTTCAACATATTTCTTCTCTATTGCTATTATTATTTTTCGCCCTTTTCAGGTGAGGAAATTGAAATTCAGAGAAAATAAACAACTTGCTAAAGTAAGGCAGCTATCTGTACTGAGATTGCTGAAAATGTTTGACACTTAGATAAGTGAATTGTAGATTTATGGTTTTTGGATATGTATGTTTGAGTATATAGTTACTTAACAAAAGAGCATCCTGGCATGTCTTTAGATTGTTGTCTCATTGGGATTGTGTTCACTTTGGAGAGGATGGGTTTTGTGGGCCATGGTTCATAACAGCCCTTTTTAAAAATTTTTTTTTAAATTATTTATAATTATTTATTTTTTGAGATGGAGTCTTTCTCTGTTGCCCAGGCTGGAGTACGGTGGTGTGATCTCGGCTCACTGCAACTTTCGTTTTCTGGGTTCAAGTGATTCTCCTGCCTCAGCCTCCTGAGTAGCTGGGATTACAGGTGTGAGCCACCATCCCCAGCTAATTTTTGTGTTTTTAGTAGAGATGAGGTTTCACCATCTTGGCCGGGCTGGTCTCGATCTCCTGACCTCAGGTGATCCGCCTGCCCTGGCCTCCTAAAATGCTGGGATTACAGGCGTGAGCCACCGTGCCCGGCCTCATAATGGACCTTTTTATTGATGCTAGGTGTTCATGATTGTGCTGTTATTTACATTGCACATTACCAATTCTGGATTTCATTCTTTTTTATTTTAATGCAGAGAGAAAAGGAACAGCAGGAAGAGAAGTCTGGTTTGTTCAGGAACATGGGGAGGAATGAAGATGGTGAAAGAAGAGCTATGATAACTCCTGCTCTCCGAGAAGCCCTTACTAAACAAGGTGAAAATCTTCAAGAATTGTTGTTATATGACTGTAGTCTTAGGCATTCTCATTTGATACCTGGAATGAAGTCTCTCTCTAATTAGCTCAGCAGCTGTTCATAGTGGCAGATATAACAGTCTAAAGATTTACCTTTTTATTTCTGCGGATTGCTTCTGTTGGCTGCCTGCACCAGTGAGTTACCTTTTTTCTTGGTTTATTGGGATATTACTATCAGTGTGGGTCAAGTTCACAGATCAAAAGTGCTGTCATTGGGAAAGCTATTAAAAATGCATAGAAAAGCTTATATGATATGAGACTGGGTTAATTAGAAGTGTTTATGTAGAGGTGTCATATCTGGGTTTTTGTGGTCTTACCTTATTAAGGAGGTTATAGTTGCATGAATGAGTAATAATATTAGTTTCCTGTGGAGGAAAGAGTAGTAAAATGGGAATCAGTAGACCGACCTCCTTTCCTTCATCCCCCTCCCCACTTCCCCTCTATATTTATGAGAGGCCTTTTATGTGACCGTTCTGGCAATGCAGAGAAACACAGGAAACTATATCTGCTTCAAGGAACCGTCGGTCTGGTGCACTAGAGAAATATATATATGTTTGTATTTTAATATCTATGTCTATATTTTAATTAGGGTAGATTATATTAATGTGATTTCATTATAGATTTAAATTTATCTTGCTATTTTCTATTTCATCTGCTTTTTGATTTCCCTTTTCCTGTTTTTCTGTGTTCTTTCAAATTAATTCATTTTTTAAAAATGACTCTATTTTATATTTTGTTTGCTTACTAGCAATAACATTTTCACGAATAGTTGCTCAAGGTTTTACACTATACCTCTTTTTTTTTCTTTGAGACAGAGTCTCTCTCACCCAGTCTGGAGTGCAGTGGCATAATCTTGGCTCACTGCAACCTCTGCCTCCTGGGTTCAAGTGATTCTCCTGCTTTAGCCTCCTGAGCAGCTGGGACTAGAGACATATGCCACCATGCTCAGCTAATTTTTTTGCCATGTTGGCCATGCTGGTCTTGAACTCCTGGCCTCAAGTGTGATCTGCCGCCTCAGCCTCCCAAAGTGCTGGGATTACAGGTGTGAGCCACTGCACCTGGCCTACACCATACTACTTTATCATTTCATAGTATATCTTTGAGTGATGTTATCTCACTCAATGTGTAGAAGAACCTTACAGTACTATACTTCCATTATTTCTTTCTTAACCCATATGTAATTTTTATCACACATTTTACTTTTACTTTTGTTTTTTGGTTGAGTCGGGTCTTGCTCTTTTGCTTAGGCTGGAGTGCAGTGGTATGATCATGGCTCACTGTAGCCTTGAACTCCTGGGCTCAAGGAATCCTCCTGCCTCATCCCCCTGAATAGCTGAGACTACAGGTGTAAGCCACCACACTGAGTGTTTTACGTATGCTCTAAAGCCTACACTTTATTATTATTTTTTTCTTCAACAAAAATACCTATTTTTATATCTAACCCAATCAAAACATCTATTTAATTATGTACTAAAGATTTATATACTTAGAATCTTAGAATCTTACATATTTACTTATGTAGTTACTATTTTCAGTACTCATGTAGTTGCCATGTCTTATTCATGTAGATCTGTGTTCCGTCTGGTATCCTTTTCCATCTGCCTGAAGGACTGTTTTTGTTTTTTTGTTTTTTTTTTTTTTTCTAATTTAAGCTTACCTGTGGCGACTCCAAGGACTTTTTGAACATCTCTTGTAGTGCAGGTTTGTTGGTGGTGAATTCTTTCAGCTTTCGTATATCTGAAAATGGCTTTACTTTGCCTTCATTTTCTATCACTGTGTCTTCAAGTTCAGTAATTTTTTGCTGGATATAGAATTGTAGGTTGACAGCTGTTTTTTCCTTCAGTGTTTTACAGATGTTACTCCACTGTCCTCTTACTCACATTGCTTCTGATTAGAGTTCAGCAATCAGTCATCCTTTTGTTTGTTCCTTTAAATAGGATCCTCCTTCTCCCAACCCCCTGCTACTTGGAAGATTTTCTCTTAAGGCTGATTTTGAGCAATTTAATTATAATGTGCCTCAGTTTAGTTTTCTTCATGTTTCTTTTATTTGGGTTTTGTTGAGTGTCTTGGTTTTGTGGATTTATGGTCTTCATGAAATTCGGACAAATTTTGGCCATTATTTCTTCAA